>NC_000002.12:229004769-229307799 GCF_000001405.40 Homo sapiens | reverse complement strand
GAGCCACTGCATTCCAGCCTGGGCAGCAGAGCAAGACTCTGTCTCAAAAAAAAAAAAAAAAAAAAAAAAAAAAAAAAAGAATATGTTTTAGTGTGCTTAGCCCAAGACAGAGAAGAATTTACCTATGCAGAGCTCTAAGTTCACTGAAAAAATTGGTTTTTATTTGACTTGATTTCTATAATGAATAAAGATTCTCTGGACTTCAGGAGAAACCAACTCGTTGGTCAGTGATAGATCACAAGAGCCACAGAATTTCTCATATTTCTCATGTGAACCATTTACCTGTTTAGTATAATCAGATACCACATTAATGTTTCCAGCAAGGAGATGACTTAGGAAATTCATGAATTATGCAATTATGTAAACTTCAAACATAGTAAACTAATTTTGGCTAAGGGATTCGGACCTGATTGATCCATGAATGATAGTTCAGACTATTTCTTCTTCATTTCTTCTTTTTCTTGTTTTTTTTTTTTTTTTTTTTGTTGTTGTTGTTGTTGGTTGTTTTTGGTAGGAGTGAGTGGGGGAGAAGGGGTAAAAGTCTGTTTAGAGTTCAGGCTTCTTGATTTTAGTCTATGACATTGAATTCTTTTAACATTTTGTATGGTGTATGGGTTGAATTTTGTCCTTTTCAATATTCACATAATGAAGTTTAACTTCCGGTCGCCCAGAATGGGACCTTATTTGGAAATAGGGTCATTGCAGATATAATTATTTAAGATGAGTTCATATGGGAGTAGGATAAGCCCCTAATTCTAATGTCATTATAAAATGGGAAAATGTGGACACAGACATGTACACAGGAGGAATGCCTTCTAAGAGACACAGGAAGAAAATGCCCATCCAGAAATCAAGGAATGCCTAAGCCTTCTAGAATCTTGGAGGCAGGCCTGGAACAGATCCTTTCCTATCATTGTCAGGGAAAGTATGGACTGCTGATACCTTGATTTGGGGCTTCTGGCCTCTAGAGCTGTGAGGAAATAGATTTCTGTTGTTCTAAGCCAACCAGTTTGTGGCATTTTGCTAAGGAAGCTACAAGAAATGAATACAGCTAGTAACAATCAAAATAGGAGGAATTACATTAGGATTCAATTCACTTTCATAGGAAAATTGTGACATTCATTCATTTTATAATTTTTCCTTGCTACCTGTTATGGACTTAATTGCATGCTTCCAAATTCGTGTTTGAGTTCTTAATGCCCTGTACCTCAAACTGTGACTGAATTTGGAAATAAAGCCTTTAAAGGGTAATTGAGTTAAAAGTAGGCTGATAGGGTGGGTCCTAATCCAATCTGGTGTCTATGTAAGAAAATTAGGTCAGGAATTCCTCATATATTTTGAGTATTAACTTTTTACCAGATATATGGCTTGGAAATACTTTTTCCCATTCTGAAGGCTGCTTTTTAATTTTGTTGATTATTTCTATTGCTATGCAGAGGCCTTTTAGTTTGATGTACTCCCACTTCTCTGTTTTTGCTTTTATTGCCTGTGTTTTTGGTGTCATATTCAAGAAGTCATTGCCAAGGACACATCCAGAAGCTTTTTCTCTATGTTGTCTTCTAGGAGTCTTATAGTTTCAGGTCTTATGTTTAAGTCTTTAATCCACTTTGAGTTAAATTTTGTGAGTAGTGTAAGAGAGGGGTCCAGTTTTTTTCTTTTGTGTGTAAATACCTAGTTTTCCCATTGAAGAGACCACACTTTCCCATTGTGTATTCTTAGAACCCTTGTCAAAGATCAGTTGATCATATATGCATGGGTTTATTTCTGGATTCTCTATTCTGTTCCATTGGTCTATATGTCTTTTTAATGTCAGTACCATACTATTTTAATCCCTGTAGCTCTAAAATCTATTTTGAAACCAGCAAGTGTATGCCTTCAGCTTTGTGCTTGTTTGAAATTGCTCTGGCTATTTTGGGTTTTTCGTGGTTCCATATAAATTTTAGGATAATGTTATTTTATTTCTGTACAAAATGCCATTGGGATTTTGATAGAAATTGCATTACATCTGTAGACTGCTTTGGGTAAGTACATTTCAACAATTTGAATTCTTCCAATCCATGAACATGGATGTATTCCCATGTACATATTTGTGTCTACTTTACTTAATTTCATCAATGTTTTATATTTTTCAGTATGCAAGTCTTGCACATCCTTAGTTAAGTTTGTTCCCAAGTATTTTATTTTTTGGATGCTATTGTAAATGGAATTTAAAACATATTTTCTTTTCAGATAATTCATTGTTAGTGTATAGAAATGCAACTGAGTTTTGTATATTGACTTTGTATCCTGCAAATTTTCTGAATTTATGTATGGCTTCTAACAACTTTTTTGTAGAGTTGTTAGGGTTTTCTAGATATAAGATCATGTGGTCTGCAAACAGAGATAATTACTTCTTCCTTTTCAATTTGAATGCCTTTTATGTATTTTTCTTGCCTAATTGGCCCTGAAAGTCCTAACTGACTAGGACTTCTAGAACCATGTTGAAGAGAAGTGGCAAATGTAGGTCTCTTTATCTTTTTCCTGATCTTAAAGGAAAAGCTTTCACTTTTTCACTATTGGGTAATGTTAGTTATGAGCTCTTCATATATGACCTTTATTGTGTTGAGCTAGATTCCTTCTATATCTAATTTGTTGAGTATTTTTAAAAGGGAGTTAAATTTGGTCGAATGATTTTTATGCATCTACTGAGATAATAATGTAATTTTTATCCTTCATTCTATTATGTCGTATACCACATTCATTGATTTGCATATGTTGAATCATCCTTGCATCCCAGGGATAAATCCCACTGGATCATGGCATATAATTTGTATTAAATATGCTGTTGAATTCAGTTTTAAGGTTTTCTTTAGGATTTTTTTATCCCTGTTTATTGGGGATCTTGGCCTGTGGTTTTCTTTTCCTGTGGTATTTTTGGCTTTGGTATCAGGGTGATGCTGGCCTCATAGAAAAAGTTTGGAAGTGTTCCTTCTTCTATTTTTGGAAGAGTTTTGGGATGATTCGTATTAATTCTTCCTTAAATGTTTGGTAGAATTCACCTGTAAAACCATCTGGTCCTGGGCTTTGCTTTGTTGGAAGGTTTTTTTTTTTTTAAATTACTGATTTGATCTCCTTATTTGTTGTTGATGAGGGTCTGGAGAAAAGGGAATCTGTGTACACTGTAGTGAGAAGGTAAATTGGTGCAGCTACTGTGAGTCTTCCTCAAAAACTAAAAATAGAACTACCGTATGATCTGTTGATCCCACTTCTGGATATATATCTAAAAGAATTGAAATTAGGATCTTGAAGAGATATCTGTCCTCCCATGTGCATTGCAGCATGAATCACAATAGCTAAGACACGGGAGCAACCTAAATGTTCATCAAGAGATGAACGGATAAAGAAAATGTGGTACATTCACAATGGAATATTTTTTAGCCTTAAAACAGAGGGAAATCCTGCCACTTGAGACAACATAGATTAATCTGAAGGATGTTATGCTCAGTGAAGCAAGCCAGACACAGGAGGACAAATATTATATGATACCACTAATATGATGAATCCAAAATAGTCAAATTCATAGAAGCAGGGAATGGAATGATAGCTTCCAGGGGCTGGAGTTGGGGGAGATACAGTCTAGGGGTACAGAACTTCAATTACACAAGACAAATATGTTCTAAAGATCTATTGTACAGCAATATACCTATAGTTAATCATACTGTATTGTATACTTAAAAATTTGCTAAGGGGGTAGATCTTATGTTAAGTGTTCTTATCACACATAAAATAATGATAATAATAAATAAGAGGTAGTGGTACAATCTCAGCTCACTGCAATCTCTGCCTCCCAGGTTCAAGTGATTTTCCTGCCTCGGCCTCCCAAGTAGCTGGGATTACAGACGCCCACCACCACGCCTGGCTAATTTTTGTATTTTTAGTAGAGACGGGGTTTCTCCCTATAGGCCAGGCTGATCTTCAACTCCTGACCTCACGTGATCGGCCCGCCTCAGCCTCCCAAAGTGCTGGGATTACAGAACTAGATCATTCTCAAAAATAAATAAATAAATAAATAAGAGGTAGGAGGAAACTTTTGGAGATGATGGATAGGTTTATGGATACATTGTGGTGTTGGGTTCATAAGATAAACGTATACTTAGCTCCAAATTTATCAAGTTGTATATTAATTATTTACAGCTTTTTGTATGCCAAAAATTAATTTTAAAAATTTATGATGTTATGATAAGCAAGTCAAAAATAATAGGTAGAGAAATAGAGAAATAATGTAATAATATATCGGTTCAACACATAATAATAAATATTAACACTGAAAATTAAAAAACATTAACATTGTTTTAAAAAGAGGAGATTAGATCATACAGAGAGATACCAGAGATGCATACACACAGAGGAAAGTCTGTGTGAGGTCAGAATGAGAAGGTGGCTATCCATTAAGCCAAGGAGAGAGGCCTCGGGAGAAACCAAATTTGCTGACACCTTGATCTTGGGCTTCCAAACTGTGAGAAAATATTTCTGTTGTTTTAGCCACACAGCCTGTGGCATTTTGCTAAGACTTTCCCAGCAGTTTAATATCCTACCTATATCAGCTGTTGATTGGTCTTATCCATTAATTAAAATGTGTTGAGTTATGGCCAGCATATGACGCATTTGGACCATACTTAGAATGAAGTAAAAATTTTGGACTTGGAAACTTATTTCTTCTAGTCAATCTATGCAAGAGTCATGGCGGCAATTAAGTTATCTATTTTCAGTGAAACTAACCTCCAATTCCACCTTCATCCTTTTCATCTGATGAAGAGACAAAATTCCTTGTATAGAGTAATGTTAGTTGTTTGTAGCACTAGCATTTTTGGTTTACGGAGCGTTTACTGTCTGCACACCTGTAATCCGTCAGCTTTCTTCTTAGCACTTTAATGAGCATGAGGGTCCGCTGTTTGGAATTTCCTCGTCCACAGTGGCTGATGAGTACAGTCCTAGGCCATTGCTGCAGGGACAGTCTGTGGTGTGGGGGCATGAACAGGCCACATGGGAAAACATCTTACATCCATGGACATCAGTGCCTTACATGATTGCCTCAGCCCTTTGTCTCCACAGTCTTAAGCCAGAGTTGTTCACATGCTGGGTTAGAGTTCACCTGTATTCCAAAGAAACTAAACATTCATTTTTGATCTCTAATTTTTCTTGTGATTTAGCACGTGCCTACAGGACAAGGAAACCCCAGTAAATTTCTCCACAGTTGTAGAACATTTGTAGGTTTGGTGATATCAGTCAACATCCCCAACTCTTAGGCATCTAGCACAGGTGACCCTATCCTTCTGACACTGCTCCACTTTCTCTTCTACCAGCTGCACATTCATCCTAACGTTTAACTGCCTGCTGTAGTCTATCAATATAGTCCAGCATAAGTAAGAGTAAAAGATCTCCCAAGTGTTTCACAAAACACTTAAATCCCGTACATCAGTTAGAGCACCCTGATGCAAGTAACTGAAGTGTACTCTGGTTAAGCTAAGCACAAACAAATTATAGGAAAGCTGTGGGAAGGTCACAATATTAAACAAATAAAAAAAAATAAAGCAACATGGAACAAAGCAATATCGATGACTAAAGAACCAGACGAAGAAAGAAGAGAAAACAAGTGACTCTGAAGAGTCTCGGTAGTAGAACTATATGAGTACTGTCAGGCTTTGCTGCTGGAATTCATCAGCTTCAACAAGCTTTCTTGTCTCCATCACTCTCATCCGATTCTACTTCTAGGAAAGGGTTGGGCTTCTGACCTATATTGGGTCACCTGCCTGCTCCTTGTCTAGAGAGCACAAGGCACCTTGGGTAACTGTTCCATCCAACTGTATTCAATGAGGTGGAGCCCATTCCGCAAAAGAAAATCAGAATGTAATTTTCCAAAAAAGGTAGAGAAGAAAATTGGCAACCCAAAGGCAACAAATGGAAACATGAGCGTCTTTATTATGGCAGAGTTATATGTGAGCATACCATGTTAGTTTGTGCACAGTTTAGTTAGTGCCCATCCCCTAGAGTGTCCCAGTCAGTGCTCCTTTCCAGACGGCAGCTGGTCCATGCGCACTGTCCTATGGACAGGAAGTGTTCCTTCTGCTGTGCTCTCTCAACAATCAGTTAGCTGGTCTCAGAGACCACTCTGGATGCTCCACTCCACGAATCTGGCCCTGAATTTGTGGCAGACTAGTTCTGAAGCATTTTGAGATCTTTTGGCACAATGAAGAGCTTGTTTGTGTAAATATTATTATTAATAGTCATTAGCAGAAACAAGGAACATCTTGATAGAATGAGAAAAAGAGGAACCAACTCTGCCTGGGTGCCAAGTAAACAGCTGTGTGGAGCAGACATGGATCTTTGAGCTGCCAGACATGTGGGAAACTGCTCTTCACTGTTTGGGTTTTAGCAGAACTTTCCAGGAGATGAGATGGCACAGCTCCTGCGAGGTTCTAGGTGCTGGAACATGAATCCATGTGGTTTAGAAAAAAGCAAGCTGTCTCTTTAGGATAATTGTGTTTGCAAAGACTCCCAGGGACAGTGGTGACCACATTCTGTCCTTCTGAGGCTTCCAAATGAGAATGTGTGTTTCTATGGCAGAATATATTAACTCTCTTTAGGTCTTCCTGTCGAGGGAGTTGGAGTCCAAATGGAGGGAGGTTCATCCGGGAGTGAGAAGCATGTGAAGTCACAGCAAAGTGACCTTTCCTATTATGAATATAGCAATCACAAAATCTAGTCAAGTGTAAAATGACACCTTACTAGTTATTGTGCTATTGCATAATATTTCAATGATTCAATACTAAAAGAAGAAATACAGCTATATTGAGTAATTCCATGAAACAAAACCACAATATTCAGCGTGGTGTTCATGATGGATTAATCCTTTCCCTACTGAGGAAGTTGTGAAGGGAACCAAGAGCTTTATGGTTGGACCCATGGAGATGGGGGTACTTGCAGAGGAAGGTGTTGCCAAGAGTTACATGTATTACTGGTGTAACTTTATGATTCCATGCAATGGAAGGGGAGATCATATAGAACAAGAGAAATAAAAGAATGTCTTTAAGAAGACTATGCCCTTTTCTGCTCTAAGCAACATGGTTCTACTTGTTTGTACCAGCAAACCATGGGGAGTGGAGTGACGTCCATGGAGATTGGGGATGTATCCAGGGAGTATCTGAGGGACAAGGATAGCACAGAAAGTGAAGTTCTGGGCAAGCTGGAAAAACTGGGCTCTTGATCTTGGAAGCAGTATTAAAGGCAAAGTTGAGGTGTTGAAATCCAGGAAAATAAAATTTCCATTGGCCCTCTCTTTCTCTGCCCCTGTGACATTTAATAACAGAGATTGTCTGGTGAGATTTTTCAGGTTCAAGTAAATTAGGTGCTTATTGTTATTGATCCCAAAAGTGTGGAAAAAAATTTTATTTTCTTAGAAGGGCAATATTGGCCTCTGTTGCCTAGCACAGATCTGATTTTTGTTGTGTGAAAAATTTGTAAGGGAGTGTATTCATAAGGGTTCTCTAGAGGGACATAACTAATAGGATATATGTATATATGAAAGGGAGTTTATTAAGGAGAATTGACTTATATGATCACAAAGTGAAGTTCCACAATAGGCCATTTGCAACCTGAGGAACAAGGAAGGCAGTAGTGGCTCAGTCCAAGTCCCAAAACCTAAAAAGTAGGGAAGCCGACAGTGCAGCCTTCAGTCTGTGGGCAAAGGCCCAAGAGCCCCTGGCGAACCGCTGGTGTAAATCCAAGAGTTCAAAGGCCAAAGAACCGGATTCTGATGTTCAGGGGCAGGAAGCATACTTCCTGGATGAAAAGAGTAGGAGAAAGATGAAGGCCAGAAGATTCAGTAAGTCAGCTCATTCCACCTTCTTCTGCTTGCTTTTTCTAGCCTTGCTGGCAGCCAACTGGATGGTGCCCACACAGACTGAGTGTGGGTCTGCCTCTTCCAGTCCACTGACTCAGACGTTAATCTTTTCTGGCAACACCCTCACAGACACACCCAGAAACAATACTTTGCATCCTCCAATCCAATCAGTTGACACTTAGTATTAACCATCATAGGGAGAGAGCCCCTCTACCAAACACTCCACACACTTCTAGAACAACAGCAATGGGGCATGCTTGGATAATACATAGAAATTCAAGTGATTTCTAAGAGGACACAGGCCCTAAACTCTTAGGCTGCTTTTTCTCCCTGAGTGAGAAAGGCTGGAGCTCAGCCCAGTGGAATGGATTTGTCTGGGGAGAGTAGAGAGATGAGTGGCAGAACTTGGAGGGGAAAAGTTCCAAGGAAATACAGAAATGTCTAATGGAGAATTTTATTACATTTGTCTCTAAATCCTCTTCCTCAAACCTTCCTGAAATTTTCAGTAGGATCAAAATGACTTGTCAATGTACTGTGTGGTTGGATCTGTTTGGAAGATGGGGCAATGGGCTGCTGGTCTCATGGTGGAGAGGGTGTGTGTGAGGATGTGTGAGTGGGGGAGTAGCAGGGAAATGGAAGGTACACATGAGAGACCTGTCACATCCCATTACACCATTTTAGCCAGATGTCACTCTGTGCCTAATGCCACGTTGAGCCCTTTCTATCTGTTATTTCATTTAATCCTCACAACAACCCAAGAAGGCAGGACTAGTGTGTTTTCTGTTAAATCCATGTCAATGCCTTCCTCCTTACACAAGAGGCCATGAGCTTCTTTTGGGCAGGGATAGTATTAGTGTTTTATTTATCTTCGTATCTTACTCATTCAAGTATCTGGCACACAGAAGGGACTTGTGAATATTTGTTCAGTTGAACTGAACTGAGAAGGGGATATGATTAAAGACATAGATTGAAGCTAGACTTTAGAGCCTTGATTGACAAAGCAAGTTTGGATTTCATCTTTAATTATTGGAGTGACTGAAGATGAGAAAGGGTGGGTCAACAGTGTGGGAGGTTTTTGATCAACGAAGTACATCCTACTCGTCTCGACTGATAAGCCCCCAGCAGGTAAGAGTTATATCTTAAAGCTCAGGTTGAAGGGAACTCAGCTGTTTGTCTCATGAATATCCTCTTGACATATCGTTTTTGATGACTGGTTATGATGTCAAGGACCAGTCAACGGTGAAACTCCGGAAGCTAAAGTTTCTTTTGAAGCTGTCGTTTGGTAGATAAAGGAAGTGGGTACAACAATGCTTATTAAAACTCTGAGGAAAATTGCTATTTTATAACATTAAAATATCTACAAAAACAAATGATTGGTTGCCAATTGATAATAAAGATTATTATTCTGGCCATTAGAAGAAGGGCATGGTTTAATATATTTCTTTAGATTCATTTTCTATTGTGAAGTTTTCTTTAAGTCTCTATTTCTCTTATCCAATTCGGTAAGAATAGAAGAATAATAGAACTGCAGAAATCACCAGTGAAGGAGAAACATGATAATTACTATCCCAAAGTCTTCTAACTTCAGGGTCTGCCAGATAGCAAAAGGAGTCCATAAGCTACTTTCAGTTTTTCTAAGAATTTAGTAGAAACCATATATTTTCCTATGATAAGATCATGCAAGCTAACCATATTAAGCTTATTTGCCTTTGGTAAGTATTTTGTCAGCTTTGTGTGCCAACCTTGTCCATCTTTTGCTGATTGGAAGCTCTGATTAGCAGTTATATAAGTCTTTGAATAAAAAAAAATGAGAAAACCTGTGAATTATTATTTTATAAGCAATTCTTTTGTTGAAAAATATTTTCAAAAAGTATTCCTCAGGAAACATGCATAATAAAAAATGCCTTTGAAAAGGACTATTGGGAAGCAATATCATCATTCTTCTTACTTTTATTGATAGGGAAATTGAGGCCTGAGGGTTAAGACAGCCCCGCCAGGAGTTTCAGATCTCTCTTACCTCAACATTTATTTAATCCTTCTTGATGCCTCAGATTTTTTTGTTGAGCTGTTTGAAAACATATCTTCCCAACAATTTTAATTTCATATGAGGAAGGTATATTTTACAGATTCTGTCCCTGGGATCTGCTGCTTTTAGTTTCCCAGTGAATCAAAGGTAATGCAAACCCTTTTATTTTTGGCACAACAAGACAGGTGATTACAGGATACCTGATTACATAGAACTGTGATTATGTAGTTGAGGTGACAACCAAAGAAAGCCCACAGTTGTTTGCTGGAACTTGGCAGAATGTCCATTAAAAAATCATCACCAAGGCTCCGTCTGAACACCTTGGTATGCTTGTCCCTCTCTCATGTTCTCACGTCATTATCATGGTCTTGCTGCAATGGCTCTCTGTTAGCTCCACCGCTTCCTTTGGAGAACGTAGGACTTGAAACCACAGGGGAGGACTCGACAGAGAAAGCAGAGCCTGTTTGCTAACACTTCAGTCTGGGCAGAGAAGCCTCCACTCACTTTTAAACGTTCATTTAACCAGTATTTCTCCAGAAGAGTGAAGGAAAATATTGAAGAGAGAATACATTCTTATTAAAGGAAGCAAATTGCTGTTATTTGAATCAAAGGAAGGAACACAGCCAGCCTGCATTTCAACAAGACAGACCTCATGTAAATTGCAGCTAATTCTAGAAAATGGAATGTAGAATGTAGTAGATACATTACTGGTGTCTGCAGTGAAAGACTGACACATGTGAAATACTGACCTTTTGGAAAATGACATAGAGATGCAAAAATATTAAGAGTTTGTTTTTCAAGTTATTTGCTTCTATTTTGGTTGAAATAAGATTAAGGCCTGTGGCATGAAACAAAGATTTGGGAAAAGTTGAAGTAAGTGAAATATTATGGAAGTATAAAATTTAGATGTGGCATTCTTTTTCAAAAGAGAACATACATTAGCAATGTCACCTCCAGAACTCAGTATATGGAAATTTAAATAACAGGAGCACACAAAGAAATTTTCTATGAGGAAAATATTTTATCAGCCCCTCTTCTTTTGCTCTGCCAGTATGCAATGAAATAAAGAGAGTCTGCTTTTCCAGCTGGCTCACCATAATCATACCCCGTGCCCCAAGCCATGGTCACGTTTTAGCCAAGTCTTGTGACATCAGTGGGGATTTGGCCAGGATGGAGCTTTATGTCTTCTTTTCTTACTTGGCTTTTTCACTTGGAATAGGAAGTTAACTTTTACAAGTAATTGTTAGACCAAATGTAGGCAAGTCGAGGACAGCCAGCTTCATCTGCTCATTGACAAATCAATGGGGGAAATCCTTCCAAGATGCACTGCAAAGCTACCCTGCCCAACTGTGATTGAAGGAATCAGTGTTCCTCCTCCCCAACGCATGCCACCCAAAAGGTGCCTGACAAGAATAAAGGCAGAGGGTTGATCTGCCCTTGTTCTATCTTATGATGCCCCAAAGATGGTCTTCGGTCTTTAACAAAATTGGAGCTTGCTACCTTTTCTTTTAGCAACCATACCATTTTCTGCACTTTAAAAGCTATAGACAGAGTCCTATTTTTTTCTTTTAAGAAAATGCATATGATTCTATCTGGAGAGACTATATGAAAGAACTCATTGTTAATGTTTGACTATTTTGAAATTTTGTGGTCAGGCACAGTGGCTTATTGCTGTAATCTCAGTGCCTTGGGAGGCTGAAGTGGGAAGGATCACTTGAGCCCAGGAGTTTGAGAGCAGCCTGGGAAACAGTGAAACCCTGCATCTACAAAACTAAAATTAAAAGATAAGTTGGTGTGGTGGCACACACCTGTAGTCCTAGCTCCTCAGGGGGCTGAGGGAGGAGGATCCCTTTAGCCCAGGAATTTGAGGCTGCAGTGAGCATCACTGCACTCCAGCCTGGGTGACAGAGTGAGACCCTGTCTCAAAAAAATAAAAATAAAAACATAAAAAAATTTGTGTTGTGGGCCTTCCTGGAGCAGATGCTGGTATACAGAGTCCCAGAGTTTCATCCTCCAGACTGTGGAGACCTGTTTAAGGGCTCGTGATCTTAGTTCTTTTTGCAAAGGACGTTCAGAAGAATGCAGATATTCTTGCACTCTGCAATGGCTGGCTAGATACAGCCTGTAGTGCCCAGATTCAAATCTTCTCTGGGTGACCAAAACTTAGCCCTAGTGTCTTAGAGAAGCAGCAGGTGCTTTTCAAGAGGCAGTGTGCTCAATGGTGAAGAGCACAGGCTTCAAAGACAGAGAGTTGTGAATCTAGTTACTTGTGAATCTAACAATGTAACCCTCAGTAGATTATGTTATAATAAAAATTGTTAACATTTATTTAGCATTTTTATGCCTTTCTATGCACTAGTTGTGTGTGTGTGTGTGTTAAATATAATTTCATTTATCCTCACAATATCGCTAAAAGGTACAAAATACTATAACCTCCTTTATGTAAATTATGCAATGGGTTCAGAGAGCTTAAATGACCTGCCCAAAGTCACACAGCTAGTTTGTGGCAAACCCTGGGTAAAGTGCATGTAATCCCATGTAATCCCATGTAATCCCATGTAATCCCATGCCAGAGGGCATGTTCTTATTCATAGCATTATAGTATCTATAGGGTGCTACTCAGAGTGTGATTGGAGAAGTGAAGGCTGTTGTTTAAAAGGTAAAGAACTTATAAACAAATCACATCCCTAAGCACACTACTTAGTTTATCAGACATTTCTTTTTCATAGTAAGGATTTCTCAATAAAGGAAGCAGTGCATTGATTTGCATTTCTACACACGCTTCCTTAAAGGTTGAAAAACAGCCTTCTGCATCCATCTGGTTTAAGTTGAGTTTCTCACCTCTTTTCTGTCTCCACAAATTGTTTTTCCAAGGTCTGATTTAGAAATCTCAGAGGGAGGAAAGAACAGTGGATTTAAGAATGCTAGAAATGGAAGAGTTCGGAAACTTTCACGATACTATTCCACTACACTGTCTTGATTATCATAGCATTATAGTTAGTATTGAAGCCAGGTAATGTCAATCTTCCACATTTCTTCTTCCTCTGTATTTTGGAAATCATGTTTTTTTCCCCCTCTCCAGATAAACTTTAGAATCAAATTACCAATATCTGGAAAATAACTTGCTGGGATTTTGATTGAAATTGCATTGAATCTATAGCAAGTTTGGAAGAACTAATGTCTTGACAATATTGAAGTTTCCTGTCGATGAACATGAAATATGTCTACATTTATTTAGTTCTTCTTTGATTTTTTTTCAACACAATACTATTTCTGGTAAGTTCAATATGAAACATTATTTGAAAAACTTTTTAGTATATTTGCTTATTTTCTTTTCCTCTTCATCAGGAAAAGAAATTCTCTATAATAGACCTCTCTATCACTCTGGGAAGAATTTTCATGCCTCCTTCTTTTTTTTTTTTTTTTTTTTTTTTTTTGAGATGGAGTCTCCCTCTGTCGCCCAGGCTGGAGTGCAGTGGCACAATCTCGGCTCACTGCAAACTCCGCCTCCCGGGTTCACGCCATTCTCCTGCCTCAGCCTCCCAAGTAGCTGGGACTACAGGCACCCTCCACTGCGCCTGGCTAATTTTTTGTATTTTTAGTAGAGACGGGGTTTCACCATGTTAGCCAGGATGGTCTCGATCTCCTGACCTCGTGATCCGCCCGCCTCGGCCTCCCAAAGTGCTGGGATTACAGGCGTGAGCCACCGCACCCGGCCTCTTTTTTTTTTTTTAACCTTGAAAGCCACTGGGATAGAACTAAAACCATGGATAATAACCCTTTGCTTACCCAAAGGTTATTTTTTTAACTATGAGAATGACTTGAAGGTATGTATTTTAATCTTTGTCACATGGACTGTTATTTTCACACTTACCACTTCATATCCCAGTTTCCCAGTTTTATACTTGGAAATATACAGATGCCTTTCATACATGTTAGGCTCTCTTTATCAACCAGGTTAAAGTTGTCATATTATCCTATTGTGCTATAAACACAGAAATAATTTACACATGCTGATATCCACCCATAGCTTAAGGAGTGGTTAGAATGAGAATCTCCACATCTTTTCTGCATTAGAGCCACATTTGCACCGGAATTCTAGCCTAAATTTCCCTACCATCTGAAACAGAAAGGAGAGTTAGCTGCTTAACAATCACTTCAAATTCATACAAAGACAGTATGACTGCTTGAAGTTATCATTTATTTTATGATTTCCATGTGAGGTAATAACTAACAAAGCCTCTAAATTTTATTGTGGACAAAGTGAACCCACATTCACAGGAACAGACAAGTATCTTGAAAATGCTTCTTTCTATGAATCTGACGATGTTCACTTTAGCTCCAAGATCAAACACCCTGGGGAATCACTCTCAAAGAATAATCTAATATAATTTTATGTGTGTGTAAAAATATTTAATTAACATCAGCAGGCCTGGCTGAACATTCTCTGGACAGATCATTTTCAGTCACAGGGACCCAGGTAATGCTCCAGGGCTATACTGCCCAGTACAGTAGGCATTAGCCACATACAGCGACTTAAATTTGAATTAAATTAAACTCCTTCCTTCTTTCCTTCCTTCCTTCCTTGCTTCCTTCTTTCCTTCCTTTCTTTTTTTTTTTTTTGGAAGTCTCATTCTGTCGCCCAGGCTGGAGTACAGTGGCGTGATCTTGGCTCACTGCAACCTCTGCCTCCTGGGTTAAAGTGATTCTCCTGCCTCAGCCTCCCAAATAGCTGGGATTACAGGCCTGCACCATCATGCCCAGGTAATTTTTGTATTTTTAGTAGAGACGGGGTTTCTCTATGTTGGCCAGGCTGGTCTTGAACTCCTGACCTTAAGTGATCCACCCACCTTGGCCTCCCAAAGTGTGTGGATTACAGGTGTGAGCCACCACACCTGGCCAATTAAATTAAACTTCTAACATGTAAAATTCAGTTCCTCAGTCACACTAATCACATTTCAAGTGCTTAATAGCCACATGTGCCTAGTGGCTACCATACTAGAGAGTGCAGAAATAGAACATTTTCATCACTACGAAAAGTTCTGTAAGACAGAGCTGGTCTAGATTAGTGGTTCTTAAATGTTGCTTTGCAGAAGGATCGCCTAGGAATCTTGTTAAAGATGCAGATTCTCACATTAAACTAAAAAGTTTCTGCACAGCCGAGGAAACAATCTACAGAGTGAAGAGACAACCATAAAATGGGACAGAATATCTGCAAACCATACATCTGATACTGGGTCAATATCCAAAATATATAAGAAGCTTAAACAACTTGAGTAAGACAACAAATAACCCAATTAAAAATGAGCAAAGGATATGAATAGATATTTCTCAACAAAACACATGCAAATGGCTAACAGCTATATGGAATAATACTCAAAATCACAAATCATTAGAGAAATGCAAATTAAAACCATAATGAGATATCACCTCAGGCCTGTTAGGATGACTATTACAAAAAAGATGAAAGATATGTTGTAGAGGATGTGGAGAAAAAGAGGTCTCTTGCACACTGTTGGTAGCAATGTAAACTAGTACATCTATTATGGAAAACAAAATAGAGTTTCTTCAAAAAATTAAAAATAGAATTACCATATGATCCAGAAATTCCACTACTGGGTATCTGATGCCCCAGTACTGAGGGGACTTCAAAAGTTTTGTGGAAAAATGGAAGTAGTTAAATATAAATATATATATATATATTTATATATATAAATATGTGTGTATTTATATACACATATACATATATATGCACATATACATATATATACACATATATACATATATGTATTTATATATATTTAAGGTAAATATATATATGTAAATTTTATTTCTCTGCATAAGCTCCATCAAAGTCAAGGCACTGTTGTAAGCAATGACACAAGCTATTTAGTCCATTAAGAATTGAACATCCTGGCCAGGCACGGTGGCTCACGCCTGTAATCCCAGCAATTTGGGAGGCTGAGGTGGGCATATACCTGAGTTCAGGAGTTCGAGACCAGCTTGGCCAACATGCTGAAACCCTGTCTCTACTAAAAATACACAGAAAAAAATTAGCTGGGTATGGTGGCAGGCACCTGTAATCCCAGCTACTCAGGAGGCTGAGGCAGAAGAATCACTTGAACCTGGGAGGCGGAGGTTGCAGTGAGCCAAGATCATACTACTATACTCTAGCCTGGGTAACAAGAACAAAACTCTGACTCAAAAAAAAAAAAAAAAAGAATTGGGGATCCTGGAAATTTAATAACCATGTCAATGTAGTATTTTGTGTATTATTAACTGAAGAAAAATGGGGCTCCTTAAAGATTTTATATGATTAGGAAATAAAATTCAAAAGTAGCCAAATCACAACTGTAAAATGGATGCCTAGTGACTTCCCATTGAAATGCTTACAAAGTTGCCCTTGTTTGATGAGCGCAATGAGCAGACGCATTGTCATGGTGGAGAAGGACTCTCTGAGGAAGATTGCCTAGGTGTTTTTTTCTGCTATTGCTTTGGCTAACTTTCTCAAAACACTCTCATAATAAGCAGACATTATTATTATTTTTTTGCCCTTTAGAAAGTCAACAAGAAAAATGTCTTGAGCACCCCAAAACATGTTGCCATGACCTTTGCTCTTGACCAGTCTACTTTTGCTTTGATTCGACCACTCCCACCTTTTGGTAACCATATTGGTAACCATTGCTTTGGTCATGCTTTGTCTTCAGGATTGTACTGGTAAAGCCATGTTCCAGTTCTTTGAAGAAATGCTTCAGGATCTTGATCCCACTTGTTTAAAATTTCCATTGAAAGCTCTGCTCTTGTCTGCAGCTGGTCTGGGCACAACAGTTTTGGCATCCATCAAGAGGAACATTTGCTCAACTTTAATTTTTCAGTCAGAATTGTGTAAGCTGAGCTAATTGAGATGTCTATGGTGTTGGCTATTATTTCTGCTGTTAATAATTGGTCCTCTTCAATTAGGGCACAAACAAAATTATTTCCTCACAAATTGATGTGAAGGGTCTACTGCTGTGGTCTTCATCTTCAATATCATCTCATCTCTTCCTAAGATAAGTTTTCCATTTATAAACTGCTGATCTCTTTGGGGCATTGTTCTCATAAACTTTTTGTAAAACATCAATGACTTCACTATGCTTCCACCCAAGCTTCACCATAACTTTGATGTTTGTTCTTGCTTCTATTTTAGCAGAATTCATGTTATTTTGTGTTAGGGGCTCTTTTCAAACTGATGTTTTATCCTTTGTAGTGCCTCAGAATAGATCTTGTTCAGACATGTTATAACAAGTTAGCTTGAGTTTATTTTGGTGCAAAAAAATTTGAAGTCCATGCATAGTTTTTCATGACACACATTTTCCATGAACTTTTTGAAGACCCCTTATATAAAGCAAATGAAATCGGTATATCTAAGCAATGTCTGTACTCTCATGTTCATTGCATTATTCATAATAGCTAAGATATGCCAACAGCCTAAGTGTCCATCAATGAATGAATGAATAAAGAAAATGTGGTATATACACAGTGGAGTATTATTCAGCCATAGAAAGAAAGAAATCTTACCATTTGTGACAACATGGATAACCTTGGAGGGCATTATGTTAAGTGAAATAAACCAGGCACAGATAGACAAATACCACAGGATCTCGCTTATATGTGGAAGCTAACAAAGTTAAACTCATAGAAGTAGAGAATAGAATGGTGGTTACCAGGACCTGAAGTCAGGGAGGTTGAGGTCATATTGGTCAAAGCACACAAAATTTTCAGTTAGAAAGGAGGAAGAAGTTCAAGTGATCTATTTTACAATATAGTGACTATATCTAAACAATATAATGTATTTTTGAAAATTGCTGCCGGGAGCGGTGGCTCATGCCTGTAATCTCAGCACTTTGGGCAGCCGAGGCGGGTGGATCACCTGAGTTCAGAAGTTCGATACTAGCCTGGCCAACATGGCAAAACCCCGTCTCTACTAAAAGTATAAAAATTCTCCAGGCATGATGGTGGGTACCTGTAATCCTAGCTACTTGGGAGGCTGAGGCAGGAGAATCACTTGACTTGAACCCCAGCGGGGGTGGAGGTTGCAGTGAGCTGAGATCACACCACTTCACTCCAGCCTGGGCGACAGAACAAGACTCCGTCTCAAAAAAAAAAAAAAATTGCTAAGATAGTAGATTTTAAGTGTGCTATGACAAAAATAAGATAATGCATATGTTAATTTGCTTGATTTAGCCACCCCACAATCAAAATATACCATTTTTAATTGTCAATTAAGAAATAAGTAAATGTTGAAGTAAAAAATAAACAGATTCTCAAATCTTTTCTCAGTTGGTCCTAGGTGGGGCCCAGGAATCTGCATTTGTAACAAGCACCTGTGTTTTTTTTTTTTTTTTTTTTTTTGTGAAAGCTGGGTCCAGGGGGGTCACCACCTTCTGGTCCCGCGGTGCTGCCAATGCACTGGATATACCAGAATTTATTATTAAGTTTAGTGAGGGCAGGGGTAGGTTAGTGAGGGATTTAGGGTCATTTGATTATGAGGTGAGATGGTCACATGGGGATGAAGTAATTCTTTAACATAACATCTGTATGCAGAAGTACAGTATACAGAGATAAGAATTTACAATATAGTGTGTGCATCAATAATTTCTAACAGAGCCTTAAAACAGAAACACAGTCTTTCCATAACCTATGATTAGCAAGATATTAATCAGCAGTAACACTTGCAGCAAAAGCTGGTTACAAACAATCCATAGAAACAGGATGTGAAGCTAGACAACTGGTTAGACCAGAAATTCTCAGAAGGGAGTATGCCTTAACCCTAAAGAGGCCTAGAAGAGCCGTGGCAAGATGAGGGCGTTTATAGCCCTATCTTATCCATATGGACAGGCGCCCCTCATGCGTCTGTTTATAGGCTCTCCACAAGGGTCGCATTCCATTCCCAGAGCTATGAACATCTGCTTTTCTGGGATAGGAATCTTGGTGATGCGAAACCTCCTTGACTGCACGTCCATTCATAGGCTCTCTGCAGGGGGAAGCACATCACACACTGTTGGCTCATTCTGGCAGTCCAACCTGGCATTGTCTTTACACGATCCTGCATGCAATTTTGTATTTTCAATAATCAGGATCATTTCATCTTTTATTCCGTAGCAATAGTTTCAGGGGGTGTCCCTGCATCTCCCCCTTTTCTCTGATTTAAATGAACCGTAGCAATCATAGCTTGACAAGCACCTGTTTCAGAAGCAGAAGGTCTATCAACCAGATTTTGACAGACATTATTCACTAGGGTTAAAAATATTTGCTTCTTTTTGGAACAGTTTTTTTTAAGTTCTAAGCCATCATGAATTAATATAATAAAAATGAATTACTAGAAAAGTAAATATTTAAACGTAAAATATAAAATATAAGCCCCATTTTTATTAGATTTAAAAGACATATAATTACTCTGCCAAACTGCTATACAAGTATATCAAAATTCTTACTCTCAGTTTCTGGACTTGTCTGTTTATGGACCACATTTGTGGTAGTAATATGCTTGAAAAACTAAAGGACTTGCATCAATAAAAGAATAGACCCAGGCACAAATGAAAGGGAACTCAGTGATTTGTATTTGTTTTTAGTAACCTCACTTTTTTTTCATTAAAAAAGATCTGAGCCCTCTGTATATCACTACAAATGAAGGCTTAGGAAATAGTGTATGGGCTTATTCGCTTGTTCTGATGTGAAAAACAACTGAGTACCCAAGTTTTATTTACAAATGACTGAGGGAAAAGTTATGGGAGGAAGAATAAATGGTTGTTACAGTGAAGGAGAACAAGATTAATGCCTGAGGACTCCAGGAAAAAAAAAAAAGGAAGTGAAAAAATAAAGTGGGAAGTTACTGGGTGTTATTACTGAATCTAGTCATCATATTGGCACAGTCACTGATAACTTTCCCATGGCTACTAAGTGTTACTTTATCCTTAATTCTCTGAGGATGGTCATAGTTGATGTTGTGATGTTGTCTCTTTTCCTCAGCACTTACTGGGATAATCTATACACATCTCTGGAGGACAAATAATCAGGAATTTGTGAGGAAGATTTTGAAAGTAAAGCTACTCAGTCTGTCATTTGTGGACATTATGGAGAGCAGAGCTGTCCTCTCTGGTGGGCTGAGATGAGAGAGTCTGTATGAACCAGTATACCCAAAATAATTAATAGTTAACTCCCTAATGGCTTCAAAAAATCAGTAGTCAAATCTCCTATTTGGGTTGACTGTTCAGATCAGAGTCAAAAAAGCTCATACACTGCTAATTTTCATTATTCCCTTTTTAATCTAATTTTCATAATTCCCTTGTCATATAACTGTTGAAGAAATCTGGTCATTTGTTCTACAGTGTCCACATTCTGAGTTTTGTTGATTGAATTCCAATGGTTTGCTTAAAGTGCTTTTTTGTCCCCCATATCTTCTACAAAATGGTGGTTAGGTCTAGACCAGCACTGTCCAACAGAATTGTAATTCAAGCCACATATGTAATTGCAAATTTTCCAGTAGATATCTAAAGAGAGTACTAAGAATCAGATGGAATTAATTTCATAATAGCTTTATTAAAGATAATTGACATAGAATAAACTGAACATATTTAAAGTGTACAATTTGAAACCATCACCAGAATCAAGATATTGAATATATCCACCACCCCCATGAATGCTACTTATGACATTTGTTCATAAGTCTTTTATGGACACAATCTTTCTTTTCTTTTGGGTAAGTACCTAGGAGTGAAATGACTGGGTCATATGGTAGGTATAGGTTGAAGATTTTAGAAAACAGCTAAACTCTTCTCCACAGTGAGTGTACCATTTGACATTCCCACAAGCAGTAAGTCAGATTGATTTTAATATTATGCAGTATTTTAACTCAGTATATCCACAATATTATCATTTTAATATATACTATATTAAAATATTAATAAAGTATTTTACTTTTTGTACTAAGTATTCAAAATCCCATGTGTATTTTACCCTTATAACATATCTCAGTTCAAATTAGCCACACTTCAATTGCTTAGAAAATAATGTACAGGGCTGATCTAGATGCTTTATCTGATTGCTGTTTTTTTAAGACAAAAATCCTTAATTGTTGGTGTTTGCTTCTATAGACGAGTCTCTGGTCTCTTCCTTTTATGGTATTTAGTTTATTTGGTGTATGCAGATGCTAACAAACTGAATTATACCTTATAAATCCTTCATTAGTATTTTACATAATGCTTTTAGCAGAAACTAAATTTTTTTCTAGATTCATCGTTTCATTGAGGATTGAAAAATGTTATTTCTTATTTATTAGCTGAAATGCTTGAAAAACAACAAAAACCCTTAGCCACATCAACAATTTGTTTATCTTAAGTATAGTTTGTGTAGGTAAGTCAAGAGAAATGCTTGATTCTTTCTCTTTATTTACCAATTGTCATTTTTTGTTATTATTCTTTCCAGCTTTATTAAAGTATAATTGACAAATATAACTACATATTCAAGGTATACAATGAGAAGACTTGTTATATGTATACATTGTGAAATTATTACCATAAATAAATTAACGGACACATCCATCATCACAATTAGTTACCATTTTGTATGTGTGTGTATGTGTGTATTCCCTGTCTCTTGGCACCACACTATGTATATTGTTCTTTACTCTTTGTTTCTTGTTTAGCAATGTATCCTGGAGAACACCATAGCTTATAGAGATAGTCTTTTACAGATGTATAGTATTTCCTTGTGTGGATGTACCATTGTTTATTAATCAATTCCATATTAATAAGCATTTGAATTGCTTCCTTTCTTTTCGCATTACAAAAGCACTGTCATAAATAACCTGTGTATGTATCTTTTCATATTTTGCCAGGATATCTTTGAGATTGCATCCCAGAGGTAGGATTCTTGGGTCAATGGCCATATGGATATACAATTTTGGCAGATGTTGCCAAATTCCTGTACACAGGGATTGTGCTATTTGCATTCCCACCAGCAAAGCACAAAAATACTTGTTTCTCTACAACCTCATCAATATGTTATAAAAATATATTCTATTTTGCCAATCTAATAGTGACAAGTGATATCTTTATGTAGTTTTAATTCATTTTTTTCCATTATGAGCAAGATTGACCATCTTTTCACATTTTAAGAGCCATTTACATTTTTTTTTCTGTGAACAGTTTGCTCATATATCCTGTTTGGTGTTCTTTGAGTTATTGCCCTTTTTCTCTATTTTATAAGTTCTTTATACATTAGGAATATTAGCACTTTTCTGTGGTTAATTTTCAAATATGTTTTTCAGCTTTTATTTGTCACTTATCAATAAATAATTTGCTTACAAAACTTTTTGCTATAAAAAATTTTCTAAAGATATTGTGTCTTGTCAAATTTATAATTTTTTTATTTTCTAAATTTTGAATCATAGAAAATTTATCCTATAGTGAAATTCATTTATATTTTCTTTCATACTCATATAGATTTTATATTTTACCTATTTAAATCTCTCTTGTATTTTACATTTATCTCAATGTACCAAAAAAGAATAAATCTAGTTTTTATCTTTTTTCCATCTGGCTACTCAGTTATTCAAGTACCACTTTTTAAAAAGTTGATTATTTTCCCACCAATTTGAGATGCTATCCTTATTGTACACTAAATTTCTATATGCATTTGGGTCTGTTTCAGTATTTGTTGTTTTGTTCTGTTGGTATTTTTGTATGTTTAAGAGTCAATGCTATGAGGCTTTATAATATGTTTTAATATCTGCTAAGGCTAGACTTCTCTCCCGGCCTTATATTTTCCGAGAAATTTTCTTCCTATTTTTTTTCAAATGATAATTTAACATCTAATAAGTATCAGGATGAAAAATATAAACCTACACACTAAATTTCTTGTCCACCATGATTGGCATAAAAATGATGAGTTCTTAAAGTAGGATAAATGTGGGTTGAAAATGTATGTAAAAAACTTTCATGAAATTAGAAGCAGAATTAAAAAGCAGTATAAATTATATTTTTAAAAATCAAGAAGGTAAAAATAAATATCAATAAGAAATTATTGAATGAAAAAGTAAATATCAAGCTAAAAATTATACAGAAGTCAAATATAACATATATAATATGTATAATAATACTTTTAATACTATTTATTTACTAATAAGTCTGTGGTAAATAAGGTTTCAGATTTTTTGAAAATGCAAAAGAAGGAAAATGATATTAAAATATTAACAGTAAGAGTAATATGTCAGTGAACTATAAACAATAAAGAGCAAGAAATCAAAGTAAATATAATTAGATAGGAACAAACAAGATATCTTAAATTTCATAGAGAATTATTTTATATTTGTAAAATTAGAATTACTAGTAAATAACAGTAGTACTGAAACTATGATCCAAGTAATATTGCAATGACATTTATGTCTCAAAAAATGTTTAACATATGTGGAGAAAAATGACATAAACATGATAGAAATGGGACATTTTGATTCTAAAAGTCATTCTGGAAGAAAAGGTAAGGAAACAGAAAAATTAAATAATTACAAAGTAAGATTAAAAGACATATTACAGTGTGTATTGCTAAAAGCAAGAGTATATTTCTCCTGAAGCACATATGAAGCATTTTCATAATAGGCCAAATATTCACATATACAAAACCGTAATAATAATAATTTATTATAATATACAGTAGTATAACATTGTCTGATTGTAATACAATAAAAATAGAAATAAATAATATAAACTTGAAATATTTTGACAACTCAGGCCCAAAAATGCTGTCTAAATAAGTGTATGTTTTATAGAATTATGAAGAACATTTTAACTAAAATGTATGAGATGTATAAAAAGTATAATCAGAAAAAAATTATTGCCTTAAAGCCTTTTTGGCATTCAATAGCAAGCATATTTAAAACTATTTGTCTTATATGGGAATCTTAAAAGAATAAAACTGTGACTTACAGTGAAAAAATATTATTAGAGGATGGTATAAGGGACATAAACAATAAAACCAAAAATTCTCTGACCATTGTAATCAATAAGTAACTGAAGCAAAATTAGAAGTTGGAAAGGGAATAGCACTTAAACATAGAGATTTAATATTTATTACCTATGGTAATAAATTTTGAAATTAAATATGCAGCAGACAGTTGCATTAAAAAGAGGGATATGAACAGATAACTTATAAAAGAAATACAACTATTTTAATATCAGAAAAATGTTCAATTTCAGTTATAATTGAATAAATGCACACTAAAATAATAAAGCATTTTGTTTTTAAAGTTGTTAATAGAGTTGAATGAAAATATCCAATGCTAATGATGACATGATATTCTCATATTTTGCTGCTGACTGTATATTTTCACAATCTTTTTTGGAGACAATTTGGTAACATGTACTAAGAGTCATAAAAGTATTCATATTGTTTGCATAATTCTTGGGGAATATTTTTTAAGATTAAAACACATTGAGAAATTGGGGGATGACTATTCTCGTACTCTTTGCTGGATTTACGTCAACGTAGTTTTAGGAATTGCTTAAGTGAAAAAGGGATTCCGTACAGTCACTCAGGAACTGGCTCAAAAGACAGTCTGTGGTCAGTGCCAAACCACAGAAAGGGAGTGAGCTCAGACGATGATAAAAGAAAGGCCAGTGCCAAGACTCAACCCAGGGATGTGGAGTGCAGGTCTTAGGAGTAGAGGAGACTTTGGAACCACCACATTGGGCCATTTTCCTTACCTGAGCCCTGGTGGATGGTAGTCAACAGCCTGTGCTTTGGAGACTGACTAGCAATGTTTGAATCCTGGCTTATTAGCTCTGTGTGACTCTGTATAAACTTACTGTGCTTCAATTACCTGTTTCATAGGGTAGAGGTAATATAGTGCCTGGAGTTGTTGATAGGACTAATGAGATAATATATTTCAGATATGCACAGCTCAGTGGCTGGCACAATTTGACCACTAGATAAACCCTGGGTCTTATTTGTTGCAATATATCTGCCAGAGATTCTAGAGGTCTGGTCCTAGCCTACCACTAACTAGCCAGTTGAGTTTTTACACATCAGTTAATCTTTCAGAGAGTTGGATTGTATTAGATGGTCTCTCAGGTCCTTCTAGACTTAGAAATTTGTTGATGAGACAGTCCTGTCTAGCCTAGTGCCTAAGAACTTGAACTACTGGAGCCAGACATGCCTACATATGAATTCCAGCTATGTCTTTTGCTAGCATTGTGAGTTGAGGTATATTATTTAATGCTTCTATGCCTCAGTTTTGTCATTTGCAAAATGGGACTCATAAGAGCGCCTACATCATAGGGTTGTTGTGAGGATCCAAGCGGTGGTAGAAGTAAGACGCAGAGCCAAGTGGCTTGCAAAGATAAGGGTTTACCAGAAGGTGGGTTGGTGTAAAAGCAATTGTAGTTTTGCCATTAAAAGTAAACGTAATAGCTGTTAGGTTGGTGCAAAAGGAATTGTGGTTTTTCCATTAAACTGTAATTACTTTTGCGCCAACCTATTAGTGATTGTTATTATGGTTTGAACATGGTTAGAATCACACTACCACGGTTTCTGGGCATTGGTAGGGACATTAGAAATACAATCATTCCGATTTCAAATATTCTATCCATTGTCCACATAAACTATAATCTGTGCTGAGAATTCAAGTACTATTTCACGGGAAAATTTCTTGCTACTAGGTAGGTACAGAATTCCGAGTAATCCCAATACTCAGAAAATAAGGTTACTGTTTTTTTTTTATTTTTGGCTCAGAAAATAAAGTTACTGTTCTTAGCAATCACTCGCTATACATTTAAACCATGGCTAGAGGACAGCTAGATGGATGTTAGGCAGAAATGAGGGTCAAGGATGATAACATCCTATGGAAAATACGACAGGATAAATGGAACTGGACTCACAAATGGAACCCATTAGGTGGAATCCCACTGAAGTAGTTTGTGTTTGAAATTATCCAGTTCTAGGGAAACTTGTCGGGACTGATACTACCACCACTAGCAGTATAACAATGATGTTCTTAGCAACCAAGGATTCATTATTTTATGGGATGAGATTTCCTTTTTGCCTTCTACCAACATATTAGGATATAAAATAACTTCTAATCTCGCTCCTTAACCTTATGCACCATATTTGGAGTTGGAGATCCCCAAAGGGCAAATCACACAGCTACTCCTATTCTGAAAATAGATTTGAATGATGGTGAAGAAATGTGAAGCAGTCATGGGCCTTAAAGAATCCCATTAGTGTTATTGATGTACTACATTATATACTTTTAATGGGATCATTAGCCAAAGAATAGAATAATAAAATTTTAAAGCTCGAGCAGAGCTTAGAGGTAAACGAATCCAAATCATTTATTTTACAGATGAAGACAATGAGACTGAGAGGTGAAGTGACTTTCTCAAAGTCACCTGGTGCTGTAGTGGCAGGGATGGGGCTGGTATCCAGACCCGGACTCTGCACACACGCCTGTCCTTATTGATGTTTGAAGACCATAAGCTTTCTTACATTTCATGAGGACATCACAGGACAGTGATTAAGGAGGAATGTTTATGATGTTTATAAATTCATGTTAAACATACCGTAGATTAACAAAGCAAGGACTCTTTCCTTATCCACTCTTATAATATTAATGATCCTTTCAGTGGGTGGAGGGGAATCTCAGAATTGCAAAATGATGGATCTCAACCCTGAAGCTAAATAGTGAAAGGCTCAGTAACTCGCCAGAGACTAAAACTTGGAAACATTTCCACTGTATCCCTTAATTCCACACAATGTTCTAAAACTGGATTTTTAATTCCATTGAAGAATTATATATCAGAGAAGGAAAGATGAGAACATTGACTCACTGTAGGTAGCCCAAGGAAGCAAGGGTGACTGCCTGCTGACTGCAGCGATCGTAGTGGGAACATGGAGGGCCCAATGTTTAATGTATTGTCAGTAGGACAGAATATGACCCTCCATTAAAATATTCAAAATTTAAAAATTCTAGAACATTGTATTTATGTAAAGATTAAGTGGGACTGTTTCTGTGGTTTTAGTTTCCGGTGAGCTTTTGGAATGATAATTGAACTCAGGTCTGTCTGACTCTGGAGGCTCCAGGTTTCTTACAGGTCTCTTTCCCTGAGGAAGCTTATAAGGAAAGATGAGTGGGAGTCAGCACAGCCTCATCAATGCACCGTGACCTGGAGTCAAGGCCCCACTGATGCGCATCATCTCCCTCCTTAGTTACCCATTCCAGGTTTGATTCAACCTCGGCTGGCAACCCAGCTGGTCTTAGCAGTTCACTTGATGAGATGACCCGGGCCATCATACCTGAAGGGACCTCAACTCCTGGTCACCATGTCCTTCTCAGGCCATGACTGCTGCATTTATTTATTTACTGTTAAAACTGGGCAGGGGAGTTCTAAGAGATACCCTAGTGTATCACATGAATGTCAAAATGAAGGCCTCCCTGCCTGTGTTTATAGGAGCAGCCCTACATCCTCTCCATAATGCAGGTCAATGACCCCTGCAGCAGGATCAGTATTTTTCTTGACTGCTGACCTCTCAGCATGTGAAATCAGAAGTAACTGGGCATGGCTATCACTTAAATCAAAAATAATTTTTAAAATAAATTCTTTTGAGGTATAATTTACATGAAATTAAATGCATGTGCATTAAGTGTACAGTTTGGTGAGTTTTGATTCATCACCATCACAATAAAAATCAGGAATATTTCCATTATTTCAGAAAGCTCCCTCATGTCCACTTGTATTCAATTACCACCCGCCCCCTGGGATTCCCCACCTCCAATCCTAAGAAACTACTAATCTTCTTTCCATCACTATGTGTCTATATATAAGCTTTGCCTGTTCTAGAATTTAATATTAATGGAATTATATAATATGGAGTCTTTTGTATCTAGTTTCTTTTGCTCAGCATAATGTTTTTAAAAATAATTTTAAGTTCCAGAATACATGTGCAGGATGTGCAGATTTGTTACATAGGTAAACGTGTGCCATGGTGCTCTGCTCCACCTATTAACCCATCACCTAGGTAGTAAGCCCCGCATGCATCAGCTATTTATCCTGGTGCTCTCCCTCCTGCAGCCTCCTGCAGCACCACCCCCCACAGGCCCCAGTGTGTGTTGTTCCTCTCCCTGTGTCCATGTGTTCTCACTGTTCATCTCCCACTTACAAGTAAGAACATGTGGTGTTTGGGTTTCTGTTCCTGCTTTAATTTGCTGAGGATGATGGCTTCGAGCTCCATCCTGGTCCCCGCAAAGGACATGATCTCATTCCTTTTTATGGCTGCTTAGTATTCCATGGTGTAGAGGTACCACATTTTCTTTATCCAGTCTATCATTGCTAGGCATTTGGGTTGATTCCGTGTCTTTGCAATTGTGAATAGGGCTGCAATGACCGTACGCCTGCCTATATCTTTAAAATAGAATGATTTATATTCCTGTGGCTATATACCCAGTAATGGGATTGCTGGGTCAAACGGTATTTCTGGTTCTAGATCCTTCAGGACTCACCACATTGTCTTCCATGATGGTTAACCTAATTTACACTCCCACCAACAGTGTAAAAGCATTCCTATTTCTCCACAGCCTTCCCAGCATCTCTTCTTTCTTGACTTTTTAATAATAGCCATTCTGACTGGCGTGAGATGGTATCTTATTGTGGTTTTGATTTCCATTTCTCTAATGGTCAGTGATGTTGAGCTTTTTAAAGTAATCAACATAATGTTTTTAAGGTTCATCCATGTCATTGCATTTGCTCGTGGCATGTTCCCTTTTACTGCTGAGAAGTATTCTACCGTAAGGACGTACCACAATATGTTCGGCTATTTACCTGTTGATCAATGCTTAGGTTGTTTACAATTTGGCCTATGATGAATAAAGCTGCTATAAATACTTGCATCTTTGTGTGGACATATGTTCTCATTTTTCTTGGGTAAACACCTAGAAGTGGAATTGCTGGGTCATATGATAAGCATATGCTCAACTTTATAAGAAACTACCAAACCGTTTTCTGAAATGGTTGTGCCATTTTATGTTCCAAGCAGCAATGCTGAAAAGTCCCCATGAGATGGCTCTTTCTTTTTTCCAGATTCTTAAGGCAGAAGCTTAGATAACTGATCGTAGACATCTTTTCTTTTCTAAATATAAGTTCTAAATTCTTCTTGAATACTGCTTTTGCTGCATACAACATTTCTGATAGGCTGGTTGTTTATTATTATTTAACTAAACATATTTTTAAATTTTCTTTGTGATTTTTTTCTTTAAACCACAGATTATTTAATAGTGTATTGTTTAATTTCTAAATATTTGCAGATTTTCCAAAGCATCTCTCTGTTATCCATGTCTAAGTTAATTCTGTTGTGGTCAGAGACCATATTTTGTATGATTCCAATTCTCTTAAAGTTACTAAGACTTGTGTTATGAAGCAGTGTATGGTCTATATTAGTGAATGTCCATTTGCACTTTAAAAGAGTGTGTATTCTGCTTTTGTCATGTGCAGTGTTTTATAAAAATCAATTATGTTAAAATAGTTATCTTGCAAAGCAGAGTTAGATGCATCTTTCACGAGCAAGGAAAGCGGCACTACTCTCAATAGAGAAGTGGGCCATTTCTCAAGGTGCAGAGAGATGGAAGAACCTGGGAGCTCAAGATTTCCAAAGGGCAGAAACCTGTGTTCACAACCTAAGCCTCAGGGTTTCACTCCTTCCCATTAAAGGTTCTGAACTTGCCACAACACTTACTGGACTGGTGAATTCAATCTTCTCTGGAGCTCCACTGTCTGTATAATGAATTCCTGGACCTGATCCTCAGCTTTCTCCCTCATTTAGCTGCAGGAGATGAGGGTCTCTGTATATGCTGCAAAGGAGCACCCTGGCTTTCATACGAGCCATAATCACTAGCAGCATTTCCATGTCTTTCTCTGATGCATCCACAGCACTCAGCAATAACCATCTGACTCTGTAATCCTTATAATTACTATTTCCCCTAAGTCTCTCTAATGCTTGGGGGCAGTGCACCTATCAGCACATTTCCTTCCATTTGTATTCCATTTCAGTTCACCACTGGTGAAAGGTTTAACAATAGCCCTGCTACCCTACCACCTCCCAGCAGTGAGCAGTACTCTACCTGCTACTATCCAGTGGGTGGTCCAGCTTCCAAATGCCTACTTAAGAATCTGGAAGCAAATGAGGAATTTTGAATGAGAAGAGAAGCTGGACTCTTGAGGCAGCTGCAACTGAGATTTGGCTGATCCAATAGGAGGCTCTAGAGTAGGGATGGCCCTCCACGATTGTCCCCCATTGAGGCCTTCACACCCCCACACTAGCCGGCCTTTGGAGGTGGGTTGCATCAAGGGAGGGAGCAAAACCTTGAGCAAGTCAGCTCTCTTTGGCCGAAGGCAATGCCAAGAGAGGGACTCAGACGGGGTCACTGGCTCACACTCCCAGCATCATCTGATGTTCCTGGCTGCTGAGGCAATGAACTCAGTGCTCCTGAAGGGGGTATCTGGATGGCACGCTGCAACATCCACTACACCACTACCAACAGATAAATCCTGAATGTTTTCAGCACTTTAAGAGGTCATTGATGATTTCCTGCTTTCTTGCTGCCACTTACAATATGACCAGTAAAAACAGAGGACAGACTATATAGCCACAGTTTTTGCAGTACTCTTCCTGCAATCCAGGTAGAGCTTGTTAAAGATGAAGATTTCATTTATCCTTACCTCTCTCCAATTCTTATCCATAGGGTCACCAACTTTATCTACACCACTCCCTTATGATTTTATGATGGAGTAGTCCTGTGGATCTCTGAATGAAATGCAGAGAAAAAGTAGTCTAGCCAGGGCTGCCATGTTCAGCAGCGCAGGTTGTGCACTGCACAATTGTACATGGAGGTTTTGAGTTAAGCAAAGGCCAGGGTAGATCAGGAATCATCTTTCTTATTGTGGAGACTTTTTTTCTAGACAACCTAATTTCTATAAGTTATGCCCAAACATTTCCTATAGGTTTTAGGATAAGTAATTCTTGGCTTTGATAATGAAAGTGGGAAGAAAAGGGAGAAAAAAATAGAAGCAAAGGAAGATTGGTTTTTGTGTGAAGTCAGCTCAGATGGAGAAAGGATGAAGTGGGAAGATAGCATAAGGTGTGGCTTCACACAAGTCCCCATGAGAATGTATTTGGGATCATAGAGCTAATCATTTCATCACGAATACAGATGAGGACAAGGACCCTTAGAAACCACAGAGAACATTAATAGTGCAGAGTTGCCCCTTTCTGGGCTAAATGTGGTGAAGGCAAATCTAAACACCACTCTCCATTTCACTCTCAATTCCCCCAGGCTCTAAGTGAAAGAGGAGCTGTATTTACCCATCCAAAATGATGGGCAGATAGCTGTCTAGAGACAGTGTCGCTGAGAGGGTGAGAAGGGCTGTAAAAGAGCAGATATGTTCATGTTTATTGCAAATTGTGCCAGAAAATAAATTCATCTTAATCATTATATGGCTGGCGCCCAGCCCAATTCCCATCTTCTTTTCAGAGGGACTTACTAGAAAATTTAACAGATGGGACTTGGATACAGGGCCCACACAATCTGAGACTAGGATGGAGGTGTGTATGAGGGAATTGTGAGAGCAGAAATAAAACCAAAAGAGGAAATAAGTTTTTATGTTAGACTATTAGGCTTCATTTTACTGCTAACCCTGATCAATTGGTTGTTAGGAAATGTTGAGAAGGGTGTGTTTAGCGGGAAAGACAGACACTTATTAGTGATGTTTTCTCTATCAGTTTTCTATTATTACCTAACAAACCACCCAAAACTTAAGGGATAAAACCCAACCTTGTTATGTACTCATGATTCTGTGGGTCAGCAGTTGGCAGGTCTCAGCTGGGTGGTTCTTCCACTGGTGGGACCCACATGGGATCACCCATGTGGCTGCTGTCGTGTAGTGGCTTGAGCTGGGTGTTATGAGATGACCTTACTCACATATCTGGCTGTGGGTGCTAACTCATGGTCTGACCTCCCTCTGTGTTGTTCTCATCTTGAGGAGTCTAGTCCAGGCTCCTTCATAGGATGACTTATGTTCCAAAAGGGTGAGAGCAGAAGCTGCAAAGTGTTTTGTGGCCCAAGCTCAGAAGTTCCACAGTGTCACATCTGCTGCATTTTATTGGTCAAGTATGCCACAAGTCCAGCACAGATTCAAGGAATGTGGACAGATTGCATCTCATGATGAGAGAAGCAGGCAAGTTACAGTGCAAATGGGCATGACTTCCTTGGGGAGGGGAGATTTTTGTGGGCATTTCTGAAAATAATCTATCAGGTGTCTAAGGTTTGTGAGGATATGAGGAGTCAAGAGTAGGAGAGTCACAACACACGAATGAGCCAGTCCTACCCTGTTAAGCGTCATCTTAACATCCCAATACATTCCTATCACTCTGTAGGGACGAAAGCCAGTGGTTCTGTCACTACTGGGAGGTTTAAATGGTCGAATGAATTTTCAGACTTTTTTATATTGCTCATTTATATACAGCTGTTTTGGTGATTTTGAAATAAGGTTAGTGATACCATAACAAGGGCTTTTTAATGATAATTCTGCTAAATACACAACCATAATAAATTTTGCTGTCATCTGCTTAAGTTAGAATTGTAAGTGGGCCAGGTATGGTGGCTCATGCCTGTAATCCTAGCGTTCTGGGAGGCCAAGGCAAGTGAATTACTTTAGCCCAGGGAGCCTGGGAAACACAGCAATACTCTATCTCCATAAATTTTTTTTTTAATTAGCTGGGTGTGGTGGCACAAACCTGTAGTCCCAGCTATTCAGGAGGCTGAGGTGGAAGGATTGCTTTGAGTCTGGGAGGTTGAGGTTGCAGTGAGCCGAGATCGCGCCACTGCACTCCAGCCTGGGCGATAGCGTGAGATCCCATCTCAAAAAAGAAAAAAGAATCGTAAGTGAGCTTGAATATCCTTTGTCATTTTTATTTGAGAATCTAAAGCAAATAATTGAAACCCACAAATATTCCAAATGGAAATAGTGTAACCACAAGAAGCATGGGCCGCTTTGTGAGAATTGGATCATTCCAATAATAAAAAGAGAAAGAAACATAATGGGGATGAAAACGAATGTTTCCCACACACCTACCATGTGTCAGGCATGCTGCACATATTAATTCATTCACTCCTCCCCAAAATCCTAAGTATTAAGTAATATTATCACCCATTTTATAGAAGAGAAATCTGAGGTTCAGCAAGGCAAATGACTTGTGAAAAGCTGATACCTAGGTAGACAGTTCGAAGGCTGGGATTCAACCTGAGTCTTCTGCTTGTCCTAGCTCCTTTCCAACATTTACTGAGATTGATAAATATTTTATACATATATTCAAATTATATACATTTTATCCTACTTTAAAAACCATAATTGTATCATTTTCAGCTGCAACACAACTTTATAATTATCCTTTTAAATGCTGCATAATATTTTAATATTTCTTTGATATGCTGGACCATACTTTCATTCACCATTACTCTGACTTGGACATTGAGGTTGCTTATGCTAGGGCTCAGAACCATGAACTAGATCAAATCTGGCTTAACACAATTTCTAGGGATGCTGTAATTATTTTTCTGAACCAAATGTGTGAATAACGCATCTGTGCCTTGTCAAGCTTTTTTGATTTCTGTCATTTGCCTTCAAATGGTATTTATTGACAAGATTAGACCTGTTTCGGTAATTGCAGGAGACTAAGTACATGAAATTAGGCACACATTTACATGCCTAATATTTCTACTCATTGCACCAAAACACCTTCTGCTCATTTTAAGGGTGGTTTCTTGCTCAGAACAAACCTGTTTACATCGTAAGGCAGCATTTTCAGATTCACCAGGAAGGATGAGGTTCCAATGTCACAGAACAGAGCTGGGAGACATTGGCATGCAGGTCTCATCTCTAGCCAGCAGATGTCTCTATTTCATTCACCCTTCATTGCAGGCTCCTCCTGAATGGGAAGACTTGGGAGCAAAATCTATGAGTGGGAGGTTGTCCCATCCTTTTGTCACCTCCCACAAGCCTGCAATTGCCCCTCCTCCACCCCCTCCCCTAGCTTCCTGATTCGTGGCATAAAGGTAATTGAAACAGGAGTGCCATTTGAGTTTAAATACATTCTTTACTTTACCAAATCTGTTTGCAAAGTGGGAACGGTAACTGAAAGCAATCTTTACAGAGCCAAAGCTTTTTCTCTTTAAATAGCACCATACTCCGTACTAAAAGCTGTATTACTGAGTCATAACAATTAATTACGTTTGGAGGTGAGAAGACAGGATTTAACGCTCTAATGCGATTTGAATTTAGGCCGTTAACTCATTCCACTGCTATTTAAAACAAAATCACTTTTCCACGGAAGCATCTGCAAGCAAGGATGGTTTCAGAGCTTAAGTCTGAAGACATCCCTGGCAACTGAATATTCCTGTTTTAGCTTCCTGGGGGGGTTGGGGGGTGGGGTTTATATGCATGTCTGGATTTTCTAGATTTTTGTAATGAATTGCATTTCTTTCTACTTTGGGATTTGATAAAAGAGAACTGGGGGCTGGGAAGGTCATAAGGAATTTTGTAGGTGTGGAGGTGTGCAGGAGGAGTTACCGGAAAAGCAAACAGAGACCATATCACCAAGCATGTGAGGCACATGTCTGTGCGGGCTGACAGGCAAACACCTCATGAAAAGAGATTTATTAATAAGTTCAGAACAAGTAGCAGGAACTGGAGAAGGAGCTGAGAAGGTTCAGGTGGTTATCAGGCAGGAGTGGGAGGGTCCTGTGGATATCCAGGGAGACAGAGACAAGCTCTTCAGAGGCAGCTCTGTGGCTTTGCCAGAGGCTCCTAGAGGCACTGAGGGTCCTGGGCTTGCCAAGGCTGGTGGCACCAACATAGCAACCGCAGGGTCCAGAAGGATCTGCCTGGAATCCTGGATCTGAATCGCCATTGTAACTCCCCACAGTGTGACTCTGTGAACCCTGTGCTCCCCAAGCCTTGGGAGATAGGGGCTTCTGTCCCACGGAGAGTTGCTGCGAGGGTCCGATGAGCTGAGGGTTAGATTCTGGAGTGGTTCCATATCTGGAAATCATTGTAGTCATGCAGAACAAGGAAAATGGACAGATCCTCCTTCCAGACATGGAGTGTGGATTTTGACATTGCATGAGTAGCTCACGGCCCAAGCTGTGCAGCTGTCTCAGTATGAAATGCCTCTCTTTCACACCCCTCTGCTCTCAGGACCCTGCCTTGTAGGAGCCTAGGGCTCCCCACAAACATTGTGTTCTCTCTGCTCCTCTCTTTGGTCATTCTATGTCCTGAGTTCTTCCCACCATGTTCTCCTCTCCCACTCTTCATCAGCTCGAGAATCAGCTTAGTATCCCTGACTTGCCAAGTGCCTTTAACCCCCAGCCCTAGACGGATGCTCTTTCCACTGGGTTTCCATGGTCAGTTAGAGGCGCAGGGCCACATCTCCTGCCCTGAAGTCATCTGACTGTGCACTCTCTAAGCCACTCACTGGCTGTGTGACCTGGACAAGTGACCTAAACCTTATAAGCCTCATTTGTTTGATCCACATGGTGAAAATATTAATAGTTATTTTGCCGAGTTGTCAAGAGAATGGGAAGGGCTGGCCTGTTTAGGACAGGAAGTCATCTCATGGTGGCCGGCACTAGCCGGGGAGCCTCCAGGCCTGCGAGCCCAGAGCGGCTTTCCCTTGGGTTCTGAGAGCCTCCTGCTGCACCTGGCAGATCTCAGGATGAGTTAGTGATTCGGGAGTCTGCATGGCCCTCCTCACCCCTGTATAGGTTAGGAGTCGAGTCCTCTCCCCATCATGAAGCATGGCCTCTTCGTGGCCAATCCCTCTCATCTCTCAGGTCTTACTCCAGGCATTCCCCAGGGCCCTTGTCTAAGAAGCTCTCCTCTCCCCTTCTTCCCACATCTGCCCTGTTTTATCACCACCCGATATAGCACCGGCTTGTTGATGTGTTTGCTCAGTCACGACTCTCTCTCCAAAGCAGAAGGTAAGCTCCAGAGAGAAGGAACATTCTCTTGTCTTCTATTCTGCGTCGCTGCATCCTCAGAACCCAGCATAGGGGCTGGAGCCTAATAGATGCTCAGTTAACTGGAGTGGGAAGAATGAATGGAAGTGTCTCCCTAGCACAGCGCCAGGCACAGCACAGGCACTTCAGAGATGCCTGTTATATGGAAACCCGGGACCCCCGGGGCTACGGTTTCCTTATTTTAGGAATTTCCCCCACCCCCGCCACCCCCGACATCCCCGCTGCCCCCACCACCCCCGGCTCCAGGCCCTTCCCCCCTCAGCCAGTCTGTCCCTTTTCCCAGACCCCAACCCAATGGGGGCTTCCTGCAGGGAAGGGCCGGCTGTTCTAGCCTCCCCATTCACCCCTCACTAGGATTTAGAGTCGGCCGCGCTGCACTCCCGCCCCGCGCGGCCCCTGGGCGCCCGCCCCGGGCATGCTCAGAGCGCGCAGGTCCGGGCGGCGGCGGCGGGGGAGGAGGGAGCGGCCGCCCCCGCCGCCGCCGCGCGCTCGCCGGGCCCGGGCGGAGCTGCGCAGTCCTCTCGCAGCTGCGCCAGGACAGCCGGCGCGCGGCCGTGCCCACAAGTTGCCGGCAGCTGAGCGCCGCGCCTCCTCCTGCTCGCAGCCCCCTACGCCCACCCGGCGGCGGTGGCCAGCGCCAGGACGCACATCCCGCGGACACCGACCCCAGATGTAAAGCGGGACCCCAGCCCCTCGCCCCCCGGCGCGATCGACAGTCTCGCCAGCGTCTCCTCTGCCAAAACCCAGGGCTGGAAGATGTGGCAGCCGGCCACGGAGCGCCTGCAGGTAAGGGGCACCCGGGAGCCGGGGGCCAGCCTGGAGGAGGAGGTGCCCGGGCAGAGGAACCTAGTTTTTGCTTCTGCCTACTTTAGGGGATTTGCCCAAAACCATCTTGTAAGACGCATCGATGGCAACATGATGCTGTCGGTTTACCCAGCGCCAGGAACCCGGCAGGGGTATGGGGATGATGAAATTGATAAACGCACGGGTTCAGGCGTTACAACTTTTGGCTTGGAGGTGCTTGTGTGCGTGTTGGTTGGTACATATAAGGTTGGACTTTCTGACTGGCAATTTAGATTGCATTCCACTGACACAATGCAGTGGTCTGGGGTTAGGATTTTTGAAGCCAGATTTTTTTTTTTTTTTTTTTTTTTTTGTGGTCACCAGGAAAGACAGAACAAGTGATATGTGAAAGCATCCATTTGCCAATATAATGTGGAAATATCAAGCTTGGTTTGGCTTGGTCATGGTATGCTACTTATTTTATTTTTCCCTATTCATTGGTTCTCTCCCTTTATCTTCCTTAAACCCAAGCTCCTTCAGATATTTAAGAATCAAAAGTAGGTTCAGCCAGGAATATTTATGTCCTGGGTTATCCCATCAAAAGTTTTTTACTGCTGTCTCCTGAAATGCCAGACTGCCTTGAATTGGATTCTGGAAGCTGGGGATTTGCGGGAGGCGATTGAAGAGAAAGAGGGACCTTTCCCAGAAGAACTCCTTCAGTGACACGTTGGGCCTTGGGATTGCCCTGGTTGCAAGGTTTGAGGACTGCCTTTTGCTGGCAAATATTGTCAAGAGTCACGGCAGCTACTCTGCCAGATAAAATCCACTGAATCCTGCAGTTAAACTTTTGGCAAGCTAGGAGCCACATTGTTTCGTAGTAAACTTTGAAGACGTGTTTAACTGGTAAAATACAGCACCATTGGAGGCTGAGTGCATCTGAAGACTTAGGACAATGAGGCCAGGCCCTGGCTAGGTTGGAGGCTTCTCAATGAACATTTACAGCCCCAAGCACAGTTTCTCAGATGCAGGGAGAGGCTAACCTTTGTCTAGGAGTCCTCATACAGAGGAACAACCCGCAGAGGGCATTGCATTTAGCAGAAACAGATGCCCCACAGCTCCTTTCCAAAGCTCCCTGGGCCATGATTTGCGGGGAGTGTGTTCAATTTATCAGAGCCTGAGACACCAGACCAGTTCCCCAGGGTCTCAAGTAGAATAAACAAGAAAACCTGCATTTAGCCTTGCAGATGAGGAGGTGGATGACCAACCTCCTAACCCCCTCCTTGTCTTACTAAGAGAATATCAGCACTGGGCTCTGAATGACTGATAGAAGGTGATGTAAATATATTTTGGCAGTGGCACCAGATACCAGTGGCGCATTTGAAGTTCTCCTTCGGTTAAAGGCGTAACTTCTATTCCAAAGGAGCAGAATGATTGAGGGGAGCTGGCAGGTTTCCTGTTCAAGTGCAGAGGGTAGCTTTTGGAAGTCCTTAGAGAGATGTGACCAAAATTCCTTGAGGTGGCTTTTATGGCCTGATGATCTGTACCTCTGAAGAGTTTGTAGATTTTTGACTATTCAAGTTCTTCCTACCGGCCTGTTTCACTTAGGGAATCCTGTGCGCTCTGGAGCATGTGACCCTTGGCAGGTGGGCGCTCTCGCTTGCCTTCCCATAGAGATTGCTCCTCACTAGAAATGTCTCCCCCTTATTTTGTGAAATGTGCACGTGTGCATTTTGGCGTGAGCCTGGTTTATTGCAGTTGGTGTTTGCAATGCGTTTATTTTATTTCAAGGTGTCATGTTGAAAGAACCTGTTTTTAGGCTTTTGAAAGCTCATATAAACAGGGCTTATCACCAATAAGACCGAGTCACTGTTGGAAGGTCCTTACCAACAGGGGGCTCAACTTCATGCTGCCCAAATTTCGATGAGTCTCTTTTGAAAGTACATACATCTCAAGCCTTGAGATTAGAGAAGTGAGACAAATGCGGAAAAATTTTTTTATATCCGTGGCTTCTTCCCAAAGAGTATTGCTTGACTCTCCTTGAAAACACATAATTTATATGTTTTTACTTTTGCCTCTGAGAGAGCTGTTGAGGATGAGATGGTGAGTGAGCTGCTTATCATATTTTATTTACATTCCTTGTGGTTATCTTTGTCACAATCTCTGTTTGCTGTCTGGGGTTTTTTCCTTTTCTTTTCCTTTCACCGTGATATAGAAACATGCCTGTCCGATTCCTCAGTGAGAAGCCACTTTGCCACTCCCAGGCTCTGTGGCCACAGAGATAGCAGTGGATATCATGCTGGATAGGAAACTTGAGAATGAGTTCTGCTCTTTAATGATGTCTGAGCTCCATGTGCCTTTCACAAATCTTTATAAACCTTCTCATTCGACCTCATTAATTTTTTTCTCATTTATCTTTAATACAAACATTCTAATTTAGATGAGCCAGAGTGAAGAAAATTCGTCAAGGAAACATTCCCAGAACTTCCTAATAGGACTAAGGAGTCAATTTATTTTATCAATACCTAGAATCAAAAGAGGGGATGGAAGAAAATAACCAGACCCTTTCTTGATGATATAGTTCATATTCGATGAAGCTGGTTTGAGAAGTCTGTGTCCCAGGGGAGTGTGATAGATCTTTGCGTAGAACAGTCACCCTCTAAATAATGGACTTTTGAGTGTAGCAACTGGCTCCGTTGCTCAGGAAATGGCATCTTTGATCAGGTTTGATTATCATTATTGTTACCCACACTTCTGTGTCCCCACAAAATGATGCTGATATTTTCTGATTTGAGGTTTAGCTGTTTGACCCAAATCCAGCACAGGCAAAGGGACCTATTGCCCTGAGCAGAGCTGCGCTGGGTAATTTCTCATTCAGTCACACAAACCGAGGCAAGTTCATCTGCTCCCTTGAATGTTAAAACTTCTATTGCATCCCACTCGAGCCCTCGCTGGGAGCTTCTGCCATTAAAAATATAATAGGATCAAAAGGGATGTGAAGATTTAATTTACCACCCCAACTTTTTACAGTGAATAAATATGAATTCTTCTCTTTTCACCTTCCCGTCTGCACAGCAGACTTTTTTTTTTTCTTGGAGGTATTGAGGAGTGTTATACATTTTTAAAGAAGCAGATTTGAAACAGACTCCTTTCAGAAAAGTAAAGGAGACTTTTCTGAACAAATAAAAACCCTACTGGTTTTTATGAAATAGAGATGAGATTACCTCTGGCCTTGAAATTTTAAAATTTGTATGAGTTTCTGGATTGACTTGATGATTGTACTGGGTGGATCCCTCAGAAGTAACAAACCCATCCATGCAAGACTGTGTCCCATCCATAGGAACAAGTATTTTCTCAGAGCAAATGTCTTCACTGAGCTACCAGATGCATTTTCTGGAGGCCTTGATAGGAGGAGAAAGATGAATCAAGACTGACTTAGAAACGAAGGAGGTCAACACATCCTTAAAGGTCTTTGGTGTAGTTATTACTAGGATAGAGTGGAATGTGATAGGCGTATGAGTTCTAGCAGATTCTAATTGTGAAGTTTACATGTAACCATCTTCTCATGAGGCATTCTATAAAGGTTCCAATATAATCATCTAGCTGTCTTCACTGAGATTACCATTTCTCCATGGCAGATTCAGAAAAAACAGCTTTTTATTCACAAAGCTGGATTTGAGTTTTGCAGCCTGGGCAATTTTTTCTGTTCCATCCATTACTTCCTTTTTCATCCTCGTTGTGGCCAATGTCTGTGTACTAGCACTTCCACAAGAGGGAGAAACACAGTGAAGAGTAGGGAGGACCCCAGATCCTGAAAAAGCTTTCTTTTGGTTTCTTCTGAAACTTTTGGTTGATGAAGTGGTTGAAGTTTCCAGCTAAATACTATTTGGGGATTTTAGGAGCCAAAGTCCTCCTCTGAGGATTATCTCACCCTTTCTCTGCCTTGTCCTATCTGGTAGATGTTGTCTTGACTTGGAGTGTGGATCGTTCTAGATTTTTCTTCTCTATGATGATGCCACTTTCACTTTTCCCCTGAGAAGTGAGACTGGAGAACCCTCTAAAACGTCAACTGGAGACCATTAGCCCTGGCCCATCAGGCAGGGTGAAAACCGGCAAATCTGATACTTTTCCAGGCTGACCAAATTGACAAAAGGAGCAAGGATTAAGAATGGGAAGATACTAGTAACCTGCTTTTGTGGTGCAGGCACTGTGTGTGGCACTGTGCCGAGGAGCTTTATTTTAACTATCTGGCTCATTTGCATCCTGTAACCACTTTTATCCGCATTTTAGAGAGAAACTGAAGGCCAGAGAGTCGAAGTGATTTGGCCAGCGTTGAGCAGCTAGAAATGAACTGAGCTGGAGTTTGAACCAGACAGTTTGGTTCCAATCCTTACTTCTTAAGCACTTCACCATAGTGCAGAAGGATAAGACAGGCACAGTGCAATGTACATGTTGGTGCTGTTGTTATTAATAAATACAGTTAGAGCAATGACTGTTTTGTGGGCTCAGAGAGGCTGCTGTCCTATTTCTTGCTGAAGCAGTGGGTTGACCAAAGGCTACTCTGTTTTTGGTGGCTCAAATCTTTGGTGGCACATAAGCTGCTGTCTCCTATTGAAGTTAAAATTCACAAGTGCCATTGAAGAGCTTTTCAGCTGAAGCACATAGCATTTATCCAAACTAGAGACCTTGAAAGCCGGTGATTAGGGTGGATTGTGTACACATTCATTCCAAGTTTAGACAAAAAAAAAATGGGGAGAAGGAGGGAGGAGGTTGGAGATTTTCAGAGCGGTTGCTTAGAAAAAAGCAACAGCTATTATTACAGAGGCACAGGTTTCTCACTAAACCCATTCTAGATTTTGTTGTTGTTTTCATCAATTGTAGTTGAGTAAGCACAAAACATCGGGCCCTATTGTTCATAAAGAAAACTAGGAGTTGTCATTAATCCGGGGCCTTAGTCTCCCTCAGGAATAAAATGCTATCTTACATCATTGAGTCTTTCTCCAAGTTTGTCAGCAAATCTCTTTCAAGCGATTTGCAAAATCCTAGCCTGGGAACAAACTCTGTGCCCCTTGCTTAACCATGGCCTAATGGCTGTTTCGTGTTGACTGTACTGAGTTATCTTGGAGTGTTAGGCAACTTTTGCATTTTGTTTGATGTTCCAGATTAGGTCCCTCCCATACCAATACCCCTCCACACTGACCCCATTCTACCATGAAAATTAGCCTTGGAGGAGACTCTGGGAGAATCAGCCTTACAGCTTCAAGGGTACTGGAGATCAGGCTGCCTTCTACAAGGTATTTTATTCTGTGAATAGCAGCAGTTCAGGGACTTGTTAGTGGTCAGGAAATAAAACTAGTCCAGAACACTCAATGACTGCAGTGTGCTTCTTTCAGCCCTGTGGACACAAATTTAAACAGAGGCTTTATATAAGTAGAGCAAGAAGAAATAGTTGAGTCGTTTGTCCAAAGACCTCCTTAAAGTCTAGTGGAATTAGTCTACTGTCATTTTGTGTTCACTTAAAAAAAAAGTTGTGATCCCTATTTAGCTGCTAATCAGTGATAAAGCATCAGTGTATTCACCAGGTCCAACCCTTGAGGCCAAAGACTGCAAAAGGAAGGTGTCAGGGAAAAGACACAGACTTGTTTTGTGACTGGCATATTTCAATGCTTCCAGCATCTTGACATGCTCTTCCACTTAATGCTGATGCCACGTGGATCAATAATCTGGCTGAGGTCTTCTTTCCCATGCCTGATGGCCCAGGATTCCTCTGCCCTCTTATGTTTCAACCGAGTTCTTACTTTGATAAGGGAGGCTCCAGTAATGGCCTTCTTAGCCAGGTTGTTTCCTGAATAAGAAATCATTTGGGTAAAAAAAAAATAACGAAAAAAAAGCATATCTGTCTCTTTATAAATAATTTTGACACAATCGCTTACTAGCAATGTTTCAGTTTTGTAACTTCTCTGAGCTTTGCTTTCCCTATCTGTAAAATAGAGAGATGTGCTTTGCAGAGATTTTGGTATGTAGCGTATAGTAGGTGCTCAATAAACAGAAGCACTTCTTAATGTTGTTATGGTTGGTCACTGTAGGAATGGAGTGTTGAGTTTAGATCTAAGCTCCTGTCTTCTCTTCTGTCCATCTTTCTTGTCCATCTACTACGTCCCAAGTACTATGCTGGGTGTGGGTGAAGGGTGAGAAGAAGGGCATAGTTGTAAACTTAGAGGACTCACGGTCCTATTCCTTATTGTTCAAAGTTGGACTTAATATATATTTCCTAGTATGATTGTAACTTTCAGTGTTTCTGTTCATATGAAGAAGATCCCTAGCTAGCTCAGCTTTATAAGCCAGAACCAGTATGTTAATGACCTGCTCACTGTCCACTTGTCTCTGTCTCCTCACTTGGGGAAGCTCCTTTTATTCTCAATGTATAGGAAAGTGCGACGCACAGAATGCAATTGTCTTTACAGTTGGGGGTGAAGATGATGGAGGTTCATATATGATAGTGGGTGTTAGGGTATGGGTGAGCTGGGCTGGGACTTGGGGGCCACATACCTTGTGGCCCTTGATCACTTGGGTCCCTGTTTTAGAGAGGCCTGGGTGTGACTATCCTGAAAATGGTCTGAGTTGACATACCTCTTATATCTCCTTTAGTTTCTGCCAGGCGGTGGTCTCCAGGTCAGGATGAAGTGTTAGTTCTCTCATGTTATAAATGTAGTAAGGGAAGTCGTGCTGAAGTTGACTATTGGGAAATTTCATGTATACTACTGAGTTGAGAGTCCACTCCTCCAAAAGAAATTTTAGATAAGTGAAGCCGTTCTAGAAGCCATCAAATGCATGTTTGCTCCCAACTATCCACAGCTAGAAGGTTATATAGCGTGGCAAGTATTCTCAAACAGGGCACAGAGAAGGGGTGCTGTGGTCAGGGTCCCAGAAGCAACATTTCCTTCCACTCCAGCAGTGCTGCTAGCAGACTCTCATTTAATTGGGTTTTATTGGTGATTTTTACTTTTCCAGCCATACTCATTTCCAAGTATGGAGAAAATCAAGAAATGTCAGCTACCATTCATTGCAGGCTTATTTAGTAGTAGTGTCAGTAATAATAACAATAGCAGCCACCTTTTTCTTAGTATTTACTGTGTTCCCAGCACTGACCTGTCCTCCCAACAGCCTTTGGCAGTAGAGCTGGGGTTCATAGCCAGCAGACTGGTTGTAGGGTCTGCACTCCTAAGCACTGTGCCTCTTGTGTCATGGAGCAGACATTTTGTTTTATATGAAAAGCATATTTAATCCTTGAGAAAATTCTAAGGGACAGAGATTTTGTTGTCTCATTTTTCTGGATGATGTAACAATTCTCCAGAGACTACAGATAACTTTTGCTTGAGTTCATTAACTACACATCTTCCATCTCACCTTTTTCTCTGCAGATGAAGCCCCAGCTTGTTCAGGCAGCAGATGGTCATACCTTGGCCTGAGGGTGGGTGTTCTAGCCCAGCCATGATAATAATCTCATACTGGTCCAAGGATTGTCAGAGACCAGTTTTTAACCATTGGGATATGAGAGGATATCTACTAAAGATACTTTACCTTCATGAATAACAAATAAAGCTTCTTGGGGAAATAGCCTTTTCCTCCTTTTCTGTCTTCTTGCTGTCCTGAGCATAGATGTGATGTCTAGCATTGCAGCAGCCATATTGTGATTCTGCAGCAATACATGACAAGCCTTAAAACCAGTCCACTAAGAAGGCTAGCATGATAAGATGGAAGGACTTGGATCAGTAAGCAGCACCTGAACCTACCTCCTAACAAAAGTTATATGAGAAAAATGTGACCCCCTTTCATTTGTTTATGCCCATATGTGAATTGGGACTTCTGTTACATGTATCTTTGACATTCCTAACCAACACAGCTACTAAGGGACCAAAATTCAGATTCAAACCCAAGCCTCCATATGTTATTCATTGTTGAAGGTTGAATTGTGTTCCCCTAAAAGATGTGTTGAAGTCTTAACCCCTGGTACCTGTGAATGTAGCTTTATTTGGAAATAAGGTTTGTGCAGATGTAAGCAAGTTAAGATGAGGTCATATTGAATTAGGGTGAACCCTAGAGCCAATGACTAATGTCCTTATAAGGAGAGATTTGCAGACACAGAAGCGGCACAGAGAAGGCCATTGTGAAGATCAAGGCAGAAACCGGAGTTATGGCATCATAAGCCAAGGAATGCCAAGGATTGCTGGCAACCACCTGATGTTAGAAGAGTCGAGGACATGTTCTTCTCCAGAGCTTTTGGATGGTGTGTGGCCCTGCCAACCTTTACATTTTGGACTTCCAGCCTCCGAAATGGTGAGAGATTAAATTTCTGTTGTTTTAAGCTACCCAGTTTATGGTTATTTGTTACAACAGCCCTAGGTAGCTACTACACCAGTGAAACCATATAGCCTCTTGACTATGTTTGGTCACTCTACTTCTGTGATGTAGGTATCCCCAACTTTCACATACTGCGACACAATGCATGTGTCTATAAGGAATCCTTTTTTTAATACCGAGTGTGAGTTTATCTACTGTGGATTAAAAAAAAAATGAAAACAGCAAACAACTAAGCTATTGCTTCTTTCTCCTTTATTTCCTTCTGGTGGACAACATCCTAGGAAAAGGCAGCAAACCTTGAGTGTAACATGTGCTGTGTTGCTCAGGGAAGGTCCTCTGGAAAATATGGTACATGAGCTTCAGGCCTGAAGATGGTTCGCTTTGGAGATGAAACTTATGGGCTGGAATGTGAAACACAGTTACTTTGAGGTGGACCTCAGTGAAACTTTTCCAGACAGGCTGAGACCAAGGGAAGACTAGTATTAAGGATTTTATCCTCAAAACAAACTAGGTTGTCAGAGTCCCTGTAGGCTCTCTGGGTAGCAGCCTCTGTGATTTGCCTCTTCCTGACTAGGAAAACCTGTAAGCTGACAAAGAAGTATATTTAAATTGACCTCCAGGTGAGCCTCATGGTATGTCAGGTTGATTATTTGTACCTGGTTTGGTGTTTTGTTTTGTTTTTTACTTGATAACTGTATAAATTATTTTAGTGAAGAGCCTGTTCTTATTCTGGAACTCACTTTGAAGACAAAAAAAAAAAAAGTCAGCCATGTCATAATACTTATTTTCTTGGGCAAGCTTGTCTTTTTTTGATACAGCCAGGAAGGCACAAATGTTTCCAGTCCCTCTGAGACGAAGGCAGGGAGCCTGTCCAACTGCAGAACTGCTCTGTCAGTGTCTCTTTCTGAGAGTGAAGAGTCATTCTGGTCTTAAAATGCTGTTTTGCTTTTCATTCTCTTCTCTAGAAGGAATATCCCCTGTGTCCATGGGAGCAGGAGGGGAATGGACAGTTACCAGGGGAAAGGAGCTGCATAATTGTTAGATCCATCCTAATCCTTTCATGACAAACCTTTCCTCAGAGTTGCTTTATAGTTGTGGGTCTGAGAATAAATTCACAGATTCACCCACTGCATGCTTTGATGGTTTCACGTCAGGAATGGGCCTACTTTTCCTCAGGTGAGAGCGGAATCCTGCTGTACAAGCCACCTGTAATGTGGGCAGTGGCAACTGCTGTTTCCTTTCCAAGTCTTCTGAGGTTGTTTCCTAGTAAGTGAGCTGGAGGCTATGGGGCCTGGTCCTGGTGGTAGCTATTTTGCTTTTGGACATAAAATCTTGGTAGCTTAATGTATTTGTTCCTAGGGCTGCAATAGCAAAGTACCACAAACCGGGTGGTACTGGTACTGTGGGTTGTCCCGCAGTTCTGGAGACTGGAAGTCTGAAATCAGATGCTGGCAGGGTTAATTTGTCCTGAGGGCTGTGAGGGAGACACAGCTCCTGGCTTTCTCCTAGCTGCTGGTAGTTTACTGGCAACCTTTGGCATTCCTTAGCTTGTGGCATCATCACTCCAGTATTCATGTGATATTCTTCCTGTGTGTGTGTCTCTATGTCAAGATTTCCCCTGTTTATAAGAAAACCAGTCATATTGGGTTAGTGGTTGAGCCCACCTTACTGACCAAATAAAGTCACATGTCGAGGTACTACGGGTTAGGATTTCAACATGTACATTTTAGAGGGACACAATTTAATCTATAATAGTGTGGAATTTTCTTTTGGGTATCTACCAGTCACCAAGATATTTATCCCTACTTGACCAGCCACCAAAAAAAAAAAAAAAAAAAAAATGGCAATCAGAATTTTCTCTACATCTGCTCCATGTCATGTCTACTACTTTCTTGATTGTAAAAAATTACAAAATAATGTCTGCTTAGGGTAGCAAATCAGTCAGTTTAGAAGTATGTAAAGAAGTTAGTAATTTTGTGCCTTTTCCAATTCCCAATTCTACCCATGAAGGAAACCCATGGTTTCCTTCTATCTAGTGGTTATTTTTCCACATACTTTCCCCAGGCTTTTGCAAGTGTATACATATGTGTAAACACATGTTTAATTTTTCTCATGAATTTCAATTATATATATGTATATATATACACACACACACATGCACATATATATACATATATACATATATATATATATATGCAACTTTTTAAAAAATTCTACTTTACTGTGTTTTGTGGGTATCTTTTCTGGTCAATATATGTAGACCCAACTCATTCCTTTTAGCACCTGTGTAGAATTTTGTGGTGAAGCTGGACTATAATTTATTTACTCATTCCCCCATTCCCTCTTGAGGGAGTATTTAGGTTGTGTTCATGTTCTGTTTTTTTTCCCTATAAATAATACTGCTATAAATTTTTGTGTCTATCCTGACCTACTGGTGCCTGTATTTCTTTAGGCTGAACTGCCAAAATTGATATGGCTGAGTCAGAGTATACATGTTTTAAATTTCAGCAGCTGTCAATGAGGGCTTTTATTGAGAGTTATGCTTTTTGATCAGAAATATATATTATTTTGACAAAGGTGCAGAGAAGATAGTTCACTAGTGTCTTAGTCTGCTTGGGGGCTGCTGTAACAAATTCCTTAGACTGAGTAGCTTAGAAACTACAGACATTAGTTTCTCATGGTTCTTAAAGCTGTAAGTCCAAGATAAAGATGCCAGCAGATTCAGTGTCTGGGGAAGGCCTGTTTCTGATTCATAGAAATGGTGCCTTCACGCTGTGTCCTCACATAAGGTAAGGGCTGGATGAGCTCTCTTAGGCCTATTTTGTAAGGGCACTAATCCCATTCATGAAGGCTACACTCCTATGACCTCCCCAAAGGTTTCATCTCCTCATACCATTACCTTGGGCATTAGGATTCTAACATATGAGTCTAGACCATAGCGACTGAAGAAAGGATAATAGTGTTTTCAACAAATGATGCTGGAACAATTGGATATTCATATACAAAATGACAGTGAAAACATCAACAAACCCAGATACTTCAATCCATTCATCATGCCATTTACAAAAATTAACTCAAAATGGGTCATAAATCTAAATATAAAACCTAAAGTTATAAAACTTCTGGACAAAAACAGCAGAAAATCTTTGTGCCTTTGTGTGTATCTGTGTAAACATTACTGCAATCAAGATGATGAACATATTCATTACATCCCAGAGTTTCTCTGGGTTGGGCAGAGATTCCTTAGAACAATGACAAAAATGCAATCAACAAAGAAAAAATTGGACTTTATCAAAATTAAAAACTTCTGCCCTTTAAAAGATATGGATAAAAGAATGAAAAGGTAAGATTCAGGCTGGGAGAAAATACTTGCATCTCATGTATATATTAAAGGATTTAGATCTAGGATAAATAAACTGTCAAAACTGAATAATAAGAAAGAGAATCCAATTTTTAAAAACCAGGAAAAGATTTGAACTAAGAAGGTCTATACCTGGCCTGAAAAGATGTTCAATGTCATTAGTCATTAGGTAAATGTGAATTAAAATCATAATGAGGTATCACTACACAGTTATTAGAACTACTGAAAAAAAAAAAAAAACTACGACCTTGCTAACTGTTGATGAGAATGTGGAAAAACAGGAACTTTCATACGCTACTGGTGGGAAGGTAAAATGATTTATTCAGATCAGTAGTTACCTGAGGATGGACTTGGAGGGAGGGGCCTGAAAGGGGATTGGGGTAAGTTTTGGGGTTGACGGATTTGTTCAACATCTTTTTTTTTTTTTTTTTTTTTTGAGACGGAGTCTCGCTTTGTCGCCCAGGCTGGAGTGCAGTGGCGCCATCTCAGCTCACTGCAAGCTCCGCCTCCTGGGTTCACGCCGTTCTCCTGCCTCAGCCTCCCGAGTAGCTGGGACTACAGGCGCCCGCCACTACGTAGGCCCGGCTAATTTTTTGTATTTTTAGTAGAGACGGGGTTTCACCGTGTTAGCCAGGATCAACATCTTGATTATGTGATGGATTCATGGGTTTATACATACATTGAAAACAAATCAAATTGTGCAGCTTATTATCTGTCAACTATATCTATACAGAGCTGTTAAAAATGTGTATGTGAAATCCTCATTATTTGCCAGGCATAGTGCTAGATGTTGGGAGAACTAAACAATACACTGTTTCTGTTCTCACTCCTGAGAATTTTTCATTTCCTTTTTACTGGAAATAAAAATTCTAACCCAGAATATAAATAATGAACTCTATAATTTTTCTTGGCGTTCTCTTCTTTTAAAACATTTCTTCATTTAGTTCTTGAAATGACATTTTTCATCCATCTCAGTTTGCCTAGGGATCTTAGTCAAACTAGTGGTTGAGCAAGAGAACAAATCCAGACCAAAGGGTGGAAAGTTCACGTTGCCTTGTTGATTCTTCCTCATTCTGGATGGCCCTGTTTCTCGTTCATGCTCCTAGTTCATGCATTTTTCTCCTGTTTCTAGCATGTTGGTGTTCCAGCTGACTCTCCCATCTGGCTCAGTCCTCTGAGACCTTTTCCAGCCCTGTATCACAGTGCCTGGCTCCAGCCTCCATGGCCAGTAGACTCAGGAGATATTGCTGTTGAAAGGGTAAATTTCTGGGATGTGGCCCCTATGACTGGCTGGGCTGCCTTCTTGTTATTTTTCCTCCCGTGACAGAAAGCAAAGAGCAAATCCATCATGCAAAACCATTAGTGGGTCTTGATTCTAGTTTGTGGATTAAAGTAATGTGTGTAGCAGACGTAGGGTCTGGATTCCTTGTGAGGCAATTGTTTTTCTCAGGAATATGGCAACTGAAAACTAGACAGGATGGAATAACTTCACTAGTGGCAACTGACCCTCAGTAAAAAGCTAATGAGAAACATTCACAAAATGACTTTAACCTAGTAGTTTAAAAACATTTTGCCCCTCAAGGAGGAAAATTTGAGACATTCAACTCAACCTCCTTTAAGGTCAAGGGTAAGGAATATAAGACTTTGTTCAATAAATAGGTAAGGAAACGATGTGGCATATTGTCCAGTCTGGGGCTCTGTCGAGGTGATGAATGCATTGTAAATTAAACTGGAACAGCAGGCATAAACCGAGAATCCCCTGTCAACCTGTACGTGTGGTTATCCTGAGACAGCAAGTAAACTACTGTACTTCTGCTTCTAACTCTATTTTGAGGGTGAAGGAAAGAAATGAAATACATTGAAGTGAGGGACATCACGTGGACAGGAAAGCCAGGAAGAGGGGACAGGAGAGTCGGAGGGGCAAAGGATGTGCACACAAAGAAAGAGAGAGAAATGGTAGGCTAGAGGAAGTCACACGAGCAGTTAGCACTGTCCCTGGCACATGAATGCTCCACCATAATTATCTATAAGATATGGAATGCAGTGGTTGGATACTAATACATTATTACTTGGAGCCAAGACATCACATGCTCACCCTGCTCAGGTGTTGAATGCTTTGGTGGATTATCTGACTCAGTTGGAAAAACAATGCCCTTTAGAGGAAGAGCTTGGACACTTTGAGGGATCATAAAAGCAGATCTAAAGCCACAGGGGTGAGCAGTTTGGGGGAAATGGGGATAATGAGAATATTTCTTTAGATTACAAGTCAGACCACTTGTAACCCATTCAGACTGTTAAACAGTGGAAAGACCATGGGTTTTTAAATTAGGCACCCATAGTTACAAATCTTGGCTGCTTCACTTATTAGGAGTTATTTCAGAGCCTCTGATATGTATTTTGTGTTTGTATTTTCTCAACTTAAAAATAAGGATAATATTATAACACTTAGCTCCTGGTTGCCGTGAATGTTAATTGAGATATGGACTACAAAGAGCGTAGCTTAGTATCCGGCACATCTTTGGGAGTCAGATAAATACTAATATCTTCCCCTATTTCAGATCCAAGGGTACCCTAGGAATAAAAGCATAGAACTTTACAGCCATGTGAATAATAGAGGTTTGCTGTTTCCCAAAGTGTGTCCCATGAATTCAGTGTGTTGCTCATAAGTCTTGCCACAGAAGTTTCAGTCTTTAAATAATTTGGGGAAGCCTTAGATGAAACAAAGTCAGGCTGATTACTTAGTGCAAGACTTCTTGTAGCATTTAAGATGCCAGTGCCCTGGGAGTTTCCAAGTGAAGGAAGAAGACAGCTTTAGCTCCTTTGTAAAGAAGCATTCCATTGTCCAGGGTGCTTCAATACTTGAACTCCTTTAGGTTGACAAACTGTGGGCCTGAGGTTTGGCTTTAGCTTGCAGAAATATTTCCTTCGGCTCCTTCAATATATAAAATCTTTACAAATTCATTTCCAGGGTTCGAAAATTAGAGGAATTTATAAGAAAATCTGGACTTCTTAATTCTTTTGAAAAACGTCAGATCACGGAGGGCTTGAATTTTCAAATAGCGACCACTGAGCAGCTGCTGTTCCATCTGGATGGAATGTGGCCTCCAGCTGGTTCTGAGCTTTCCTTGGTGCATCTCACTGAGTCACCCAGCTTGCTGAGCCCTGTGGATACTTGAATTGGGGACACCAATGTAGTTCAGCTCCTTCATTTGGCCAATGTAAAAGCTGCCTCTCAAGTTCACCTTGTGTTGGAAACAGAACCAGGTCCTTGGTCTTCTGACTCTTAAAGGCCAAGGTGGTAACTGATTTTACTTGTTTAGCACCATTCATTGCTCTCCAAGTACAGCTCTCGCAGCCCACCTGCAGGTGCATGGAGGCCAACTTCTGTCCCCTCTATTTTGAGAGCTGTGCGATGGAGTTTTCATGATTGGAGTGGGGAGCCATGGTCATTGCTTGTCTCCTGGGTAAACCAAGGCATAGAAACTAGAAGTGTTGGGGCTTATCCTATTTTCTAATCCAGAGCATCTGGGAGGGGTTCCAGGCACAAGTGGGAGGCTTCTTCTACTTTTAACTAAATGCAGATCCCTGTTTCCTACATATCCCACGCCAGGCAACTAAAACTTCTCATTGTTATGATATTGGATTATTTTGGGGAATTTTACTGCCAAACATTGGAAGAGATTACTTCCAAAAATGGAGGACATGTAGAGGGTGGAGAATAATTTTTTAATTTAATGGATTTCAACATATTCCTCACAGATTATCAGCCAATGGAAGACCCATTCAAATGCCATTTCAGAAAACCCAAACTGAAAAACATCCATAATGGTGGTAATACCTCTCTATTTAGAGAATCTCCGTTCCCACCAAAAAACACTCAAAAGCACTTTGCAGACATTTTACTGGTCATCTTGGGAGCAAACTTACTGCTGCTTTCATTTACTTTGCTGAGTGTGGAACCCATCTGCTTAACGCTACCCATTTCCTGCAGTTACAGGATTCTGATGATTTTTAGCATAAACATACTTGGAATCGACTCACACAGTGGCTTGAGCTATAGAACAATGAATTAGATCTCCCACCCTCAACCCATCTACTTGATTCATGAAAGCACGGATGCTGTGTGCATTCCAGTCCCTGAGATATCCATCATCCATCTGAGTTGGATGAGGCTATTATAGACTTGAGACAGTTGTCTATTGCTCTCCATTTGACCCCCTTCCCGTAAAAAGTGAACTCTATTGATAACTATTTGAAAAAATATTGCACACTCTAATCACATTGAGATTTAGTGTGCATACTCTCTCTCCTCGAATCTGTTTTTCCTGTAGCACCTTTTAAACCCAGAAATTCATCTGAAATAGTTTCTGCTGCAGAAGCTTATTATTTCTGCAGTAGCAGAAAATGAAAGGGATGGTGCTGCCCACAGAATATAAAAGTCCTGGCCAAACTACAAACTCAGAAAATACAAATATACATTAGACCCCTATATAGTTCTGAAAAGGTTGGCTTTTGGTTAGTAAGGGAAAACAATTCACATGCTTTTGAAGTACTTGTCAATAAAAGAGAAACATATCATTTAAACATTAAAACATACCATTTAAACATAAAACCCCTTGAACACCAGTCATATAATGAAAGGAGGAATTTAGTTGTGCCTGAAAACCTAGACTAGAATTATAACCAAGGTCATAACTCGGCCTAAAACTTTTAGGTCTGAGCTTCCTAGCAGCCCGAGGAAAAAGAGAAACATGATTAGTTACTTAACCTTCATGGCCTAATAGAAGAATGTATATTGGCTCATCTGGAGCCCTGACGTTTTTCTAACTTGAAGGCCCTGGAATTTATCATGTGGTTCTTTATATGGGACATTGTAACGCAGACTTGGGTAATAGCATTAGTTGTAGTTTTTGCCAAAGTTGTCCCTAGAAGTTGAAAAAATAAACAGTTCAATAGGAATGCTAAGACTGTTTATGTAGAAGCAGAAGTGGACATCTGTGTTTTGTTTTTGTTTTTGTTTTTTTGTTCAGCTTCATTTCCCATCTTCTGGTAACAATACCCTGATTTTGCTTTGGGGAACTATTCTATCCCTCTTCAGTAGGGAGACTCCATTCAATTTTGGAGGTTTTTTTGTTGTTGTTGTTCGTAATGAATGTGCCATTCTTTAGCCACGGGGACTATGTGTGACCCAAACTAGATTGATTAGACACTTTCTCCCGGGAGTTGGAATCCTCAGCAGGGTGACAAAAAGACAAAGTAGTCATAGCTGACAATGCTGGCAACCATTTCCGAAGAAGGTCTGTCGTCCTGCTGCCCAGACCCTGGTAGTGGCTCTATCCCTCTCCTTTCTGAGCTGTATCCTCTCCCTCTCCTTTCAATTCAGTGTTACTCCAATATTTTTTCTTTCTGCTTAAGTCAGCCAGAGTTGGTGTCTGTTGCTTGCAACCATAGAACTGAATGATATACAGGTAACATTTCCCTTGAACCAATTGATGTTCAGTCTTCAAATTCTGTTTCACAAAAGGTGATATGTGGGGCAGAGCATATGTCTGGGGAAAAGTGAAGGAGCCATGCTTGAAAGCTCTGTAAAATACCAGAAACCTATGGACGCACAGTGTCCTTGTATATGGGTACCCTTCCGTGTAAAAACTGTGCATGCTTAACTGGGAGATGGAGAAAGGGTGCAATTTTTTTTTTTTTTTTTTTGCTTGGAATTTCTTTTAAGCACATACCCTTACTTTATTAAGTGACTTTGAATGAAGATAATCCTCATTTTACCGTAGTACTGGCCCACAGCTTCCAGGTTCTGGCCCATCTTTGGAGAAAGGTTTTTTGGTCCTTGTTGTTTATAAGGGTGTAGTCCTGCTATTGGCATCTCCTATAAATCTTAAGATTTTTATAACTTGGATGTCACTCTCACCTTCCTGCCAAATTGCTGCACTGAAAAAGCAGAGTGTCATTTTAAGTAATGATGCTTTTACTGCATCCAAAACAAATAAAGTAATTTTGGTACACATTATGAAACAAATCCCTCTTATCTCTGAGCCTAGAGTGGAAATAGTGTCAGGGATGCAAATAGCTGCTTTGGCCAAAATAGTCAAAGAAGACATGGCCTTAGTCTGTCTGAGCTTCATTTCTTAAGAAACATTTGTAGTTGTTGGTTAAAAATGTGAATGGCTCTGTAAGTTCACTCTAGGACAATGTGGATTCTTTAGCCCAGAAAGTTAAATACCTCCAACTTTGGCAGTCCTGACCTTCTGGGTAGAGAATATAGTTCCCCAGTTTTCAAGACCTGCTTTGCTACTTTGATTTAACACAAGGCAGAAATCTTCAAAACAAAGCCCTCTGGATCCAGGAAAGTTCATCTGGCATTAGTTAGCTTGGCACCCCCTACCCCCTTCCCCACCCACCTCCTTGTCTTTTCTCTAGGAACTTGATGCTTTGTAGGAAATGAATGGCTTTGCAAAAGTGCAAATTTGGGGAAGTGTTGTGCAACCAAAGAAATTCAAATTAGTATTCCCCTTGTGGGAATCTTCTTGGAGAAATTATATTAAAATATTCAGGTATAGAGTACAGCCAATATCTGTTTTAGGAAGTTGACAGACTGAGTGATACAGCTCAGGGGTTTTCTGGAAGTAAGGCAGGCTAGGGAAAGAAGAATACAGAGTTTAAAAAACCTACTAATTTATGTCTCCTCTCTACTCTGTTAATGGTAAATAGCTCAAGCTCAATGCTGATCTCTTTACTCCTTGACCCAGACAATTGGCATTTTTCTTCATAATGTAATTCAATGCCCTTGCTGAACAGGAGCTGGCCCATGAGATATGTATTTGCTCTGCACTGGAAAGGATGTGTGCTGGCACGTCCTAGGAGTAGGCAAGCAGTTGATGAAACTTAGAGGGAGTCTTTTGGAAATCAAAATTAATTTGCATTTACAGGGATCCCAACTTTGCAAGTAAGGTGGAATTGCTCTGTTATTTGTGACCACATCTGTGTTTTCTGCCCCCAAATTAAAAACACAAAAACAAAAACAACTTTCTTCCTTTCTTGCTTCTCTCTTCCTCCTTTCCCTATAATTAATGGGAGTGAAGTTCTTTCCATTCCTGATTTCTTTGAACTCTCTTGCTAACTGCTGAGCCTTTTAGACACTTTTTTATGGCTTTCCCAAGGGGCCATCACCACCTCTCCTTTCTTCCATCTTCCTTTTTCAGTGGCTGTAAGCTCTTGGTGGGCTGGAAGACACAAATGAATTGGACAAAAACAAATTTGGCTGTTGCTTCAAAGCCATTGCATTCTTTGTGTGTTTTTTTTTCTTTCTTTTTTTTAAGCTTTTCTTTTTTTTTTTTTTTTTTTAGCTTATGGTTAAGAGGGCATTATCTTTGCATTAGATGGCCATCAAAACTTATTTATTGGGTTATAGATGAAGAGAACGAATGGACTTATTTCGATCCAAGGACTGGAAGAAATGGACATATTGTTGATTTCTTGTAAAATGCACTGAATGTCTACCTCAGAACTTTAGCAGATGCCTGCTTCTGCTAATTTAAGGAACTGATGCTATTTGTCTTTTTAATTTTACATAGGAAATTTAATTTTGATTTGAAGCTTTTAATGCCTAATGGTAAATATGAAAATGTGTGATAGAGCAAATTATTTTTCATCTCTTGCATTTCTTCGTGTATCTCACACTCAGGGGAATTTTTATGTAGCATAACGATTTCATAAGTGTTAACATTTAAGAAAATTTTCACATTATAAATATGAGCAGAAGCCTGCTTTAGAAATTGGAAACCAAGTTTGGCCAAAATGAAAGGCAAAGTCATGGCTATGTTAAAACTCACATCTTGGGGAGTTCTGGGTGGTATACTGACAGTGGAATAGACTCAGATACAGTGCTTTTAGTATTGATTAGTAATTCTTGACCAACGGATCTTGGAACTCAAGAGGGCCATGGAATTACTTCCAGGCCACTGTTAACTTTCTGTGCATTCTACATTTCCTATACACTGAAAAAAAAAAAAATACAGTACCTTGCAAATATTTCAATTACTTTTCAAATCTTGTGTGCTTTATTAAAAGAAATACTTATTTGAAATCATTATTGATTCACAGTGGCTTTTGGACTTTAAGTGCATTTTCAGTCCTTGAGCATCAAAGTACTATGTGTGGGTCGGCAACATTTTGGATGTAAAAAGGATGGTGATACTTGAAAGATTTGGGCACTCTTGAATTGATTGATGGAGATTACTGTAGGGTAAAAGTGCACTGACTGTGATTTGGATTTGTCACAGTGCTTCTCCTCGTGTTAATTTCCCATAGTCTTTACTTTCAGCAAATGTTGACTGATCTTTTGTTTTTGAGTGAGGAGCCAAACTGAGTTTTAAGGTGGGTATAAAGAAGAGGTCCCTGTGCTCAAGAAGGTTTCAATCAGTTAAATGCCGGGTAGATCCATGTTACTACAGGGGAAACTTCCATCCTAAGACGCTGTAAAGGGCAAAGATGAGGGTCTTCATCATCATTGGGTTTTTATTAGGTAAACAAAAGCTTCCCCTCGAGTCCTACCCAGAAGGATACTAACACCTCAGGGATGAGAACTGTGACATGTGCCCAAATATTTGCTTGGGAAAGAAAATATTTTAACTGGGCACTTTTTTGCCCCCAACCAAATCGGAGTTCTGTCAATAAGGAAAACGAGAAAATTGGCAGCATCATACCAGCCACCTCTACCACAGGTGCTGAGTTTAAAATAATGGCAGATGTGGAAGATGCGATATCCCCAGATGCTGTGAACTTTTTTATTTGCCGTAGAACCTTTGTGCTTTTTTCCTGTGGTTTGGTGCAATAATGCTGAAAGCAACACAGTCCTCTGATTTGAACAGTCAGTTGATACTGGGTCTGATATGGTATCAGATGGTTTTCTAGCCCATCTTTAAATAAAAGCATTTTGTCCAATGGCATGTGTTGAAAACTGCCAAGAGTCCTAAGAAAGAAAGACTCTTTTTTGTGATTAAAAAAATTGCATCTGAGTACTCAGAAGTTGGGAATTTTTATGTTTGTTTGGACAGATGCTGTTTGGATAATTTTCTATTTGGGAAAATATCATTTGGTTTATACCTTCTTTTCCTTTTATTTCATTTTTCTGCAGTCTTTTTCACATTGGATGTGAGCAGATTGTAGGGAACAAAGCCAAATTAACTCAAATATCAGTGATTAGGTGAAACAATTTCCCTTCACTTTCTGTAGTTAGTGTTTATAAAAAAGTGCCTTTATCGGATGCTAAGGAGTTGCTTTGATGCTTTGGTTCAAGCTCTTAAACCATCTTCTTCATCTCTCTCTACATCCTTCCATACATTCCAGACCATCTTCCACAGTTGTGTGTTTTGATGTTTGATGCTTTTGCTAATGTTGTTTCGTAACTTTGAAATATCCTTTTCTGTCAGCCGCCTGCTCTGCCTGGGGGATCATACTCCTGTCAGCCGCCTGCCCTGCCCAGGGGATCATACTCCTGTCAGCCACCTGCCCTGCCTGGGGGATCATACTCCTGTCATAGCAGTTGAAGTTGCCCCTCTTCTGCCAAAGTCTTTCCTGGTATCCAGTTGCAATGAGTCATCCCTTTCTTCTGGGTGTCCACAGTTTGTTCTTCTGCTTCAGTTATACCATTCAGCTCATTCTTGTTTTTCTTTTTATTGGAATTATGTGTGGACTTCTATCTTCCAAAAGCCTAGAAGCTGAGGGCTGGGTCTTTGTTCATCTTTGTGTGCCCCATTGCACATGGAATAATACTTGGAATACAAGGCCGGCAACACCATACAAGCTCAGTGAATATATTTATGTCATGCTTCAATAAACTAATGATATTTTATAATTTATTTTTTGTCATCTCTCTTAATTTCTGTGGATGGAAAGGTAAGAGATAGAGTGGCATAATGAGCATGCTAAGAGAAGAATTTTACTTTTGTGTTGAGAGAGGTATTTTTCTTACATTTATCTTTAGAGCCACATGTTAATGGGGGAAAATGCACAATTCTATGTGTTTATATTAAACTTTTTTGAAATGTGTTCTGGATTTTCTTGACATTTAAATAAAGATATTATACATTGCAGATAGCTTGTACCCAAGTTATTTCTACTTACTATTAGGGACATTCCCTTTGTTATATTTAATTTCAGGAATGCAAGAGATGGCAATAGTTGGAGCTATTCATAAATGGCAATTAATTAAAAATATAAAACATAGAATCTGTCTTGTTCAGAGTTGCATCTGTTTTCTGGTGGGCTTTCAGATGGGGGAGAAAGTTTTAGGTTGCTTTTCCTTGTGTAAAACAAAGTGAGCTCCATTTGAGCATCATCAAGAAAGCCAGAGGTCTCTAAGATTCCTAAACACATTATCTGTTGTTGTAGAAAGCAAGGAAGTGCTCAGAAAAAAAAAGTTATTTCAACATGACACAGAAGGCCCCTTGGCTTTCATTGGACAAATTTAGTACACCTCAAAATAAATAACAGCTTTTGAGGATTTTAGCACTTTAAAAAAAAATAAGTCTATGAGTTCATACTAATATAAACTGATTTAAACAAAGGAATAAGCAAACAAATAAATAGATAAGAAAGGTAAGCTCTTCCTTACAATAAAATGTTACCTAATAAATAAAGCAGGGATGATGGAGTTAGAAAATCACCATTTTCAATCATCATAATAATATTTAATCCAGGCAAGAATCATTAGTGATTATAAAACTAGTGTGTGAATGTTTTATGTGGGACAGGTTATTTATAGAATCTCAAAGTATCTCACCAGACACTATCAGTTGACTACAGGAAAATGCTAACTTTCCACTGGAAAAGTCCAATGGAAGAAATTAACTTAGACAAAGAATCAAAGTTAGCATCACCCATAATGAGGCAAACCATGATCGTCTGCCTCCTGATACAACGCACTGAGAAGGCTCACTCGCATCATATTCCTGTTCCAGGAGCATGTATTCTCTAAAACAACTGTCTCAGGCTCTTCAAAAATATCAGTACCATGAAAGAGAAAAAAAGGCTAAGAAACTGGTCCAGATTGAGTAGACATGACAACCCAGTGCAGTACATGATCTTGAATTTGATCCTGGACCAGGAAAAACATTAGTATAAATGACTTCACTGAGTTAGTTGGTGACATAATTTTACTATGGTTAGGCAAGAGAATGTTCTTGTTCTTAGGAAATATATACTGATATATTTAGGGATGAAGGGGAAATAGCGTCTGTATCTTACTCTCAAATGCATGTGGGTAAAGGGAGGAAAAAGGTAAGGAAAGGGAAGAGAGAGAAGGAAGGATGAGGAGGATGAGAAGGAAGAGGAGTAGTAAGAGAAGGAGGTGGGAGAAAGTGAATAAGTGAGAATGACAATATATAATAAAGCAAATGTGATAAAGTGTTGGTGGTTGGTAGATCTGATAAAGCTGTCTTATTCTTGCTGTGTTTTGGTATGTTGGAGGTTATTTCCAAGTAAACTGTTAAAGAAGAAGACATTATGCATGCGTGTTCATAAATGTCACTTCTAGTTGTTTTAGGGAGTGGTGGTCACTGAAGTGTCTGTGCCTAAAGGCAGGGGCTGTTCTCCAGTGCAGAGCCTAGTATCCGGCAAAAGTAGGTAGTTTCTAAATATCTTTTGGATGTTTGCATGGACCCCAAGGCCCTGAATTCCCTCGAGCTGTAAAATATTTATCTTCCAACCATTGCAAATGCCAATTGTAAAGAAATATTTTGCTATTTCCAAGTTCGCTTGCACTAGTTATGAGATGTTTTGCTATTTCCAAGTTCACTTGCGCTAGTCCTACAGCAATTTAGTTGTAGTTGGTGGGACATAAGCAGGGATATCTTACAGGCAGGATGCATGCATCTCTGCACTCTTCTTCCTGTAATCTGGCAGGAATATAAATGTGATGGTCATTTGAGAGGCCCTTTTAAGCCATGTGAGAGGAGCCATGTGCTAAGAACTGTAGAACATAAAGATGTGTGAGTTCTGGAGCTTTCATACTAGCCTTGGGCCTCTCACTCCAGGCTTTGTTTCTGTGTGAGAGATGGAAATGTCTATGTCCTTTAAACCAATGTTCTTTTGCTTTATCTTTCATTTGCAGCTGAAGCTAATCCTCAATGATACACCGTGCTTTCTAGAAATCATCATTGTTAAATTTTTGCTCCTCTATGGAGCTTTGTATTCAGTTTGCCCCATATGCACATTAATGATAGAAGTTTTCTGGTTTTATTTATATTCCCTTTCTGTTTTCCCTGAGTAGAATTTTTCTTATTGTGATGTGGATTCTGTTTCTGTACTTGAGTTGGTGGGTCATTGTCTGTGGCTTTGGTTATTTTTACTGCTGAGGCTACCTTACTTTTTTTCCATCATGATAAACCTTCTCCATTTTGCAAATTGCTAAATTGGTCTGAAAAGATTGTGAGAACTGGCTTTCTTAGGCGACTTCTTGTGCTGACCAACCCAGCTGGAGACCGGATGTGCAGAGGTAAGCACTTGGAATAATCAGAAAATAGGAAATTTTAACTATTCCCAGTTGCCAGAGACATTTTGCTTCAGTTGAAGGATTGGAGGCAGGTTTTTATAATGCTGGCCTTGCCTAGTGAGTTTTGTTGAGCAAATCTTTGTACTTTTTGGAATCCACTCATGTTTTTATTTGTTCCGTGGATGGTTCTTCCTCTGCAACTATTTATTGCCACTAAAGTTTGCGGCACAGTCAGTCCCACAGATAATAAATGGGTGTGTGTGCCCACAGCTCAACATGAATAGAGTGACTGACTTCCAGCTTGTTTATTGTTAGACGGGTATGTAACCAAGGAAGCCTAACTCTTCAATTATGTGTATGTGTGTTTCTGTGTAGTGAAATATGGGCCTGAAAATGGACCTTGCAGGGATATTGCATGATATTCCATTATTTCCTTTACAGCAATTATTTTTCAAATGTTACGTGAATGAGGATGGTATTTACTTGCATAATTTCATAGTTATGTTATTTCATGACCTGAATGCCAGCAGCTCCGCAGTTTGAAGCATCATTTCCTTCTGGTAGGCTGGCTGTATTGGCTCCCTGGCTAATATGAATTTGAAAGATAATTGATAATTACCTAAATGTAAAGCATTGCATTTGGAACTGCTGTGGGTGAGGTCTTCCAACTTTTTAAACTCTAACTAGCCTAGACAGGAATCAGCGATTGCTATTATATGCAAATTCTGTTTTTATTTCTACAGAAAAGAGAAGAAATAACTCTTATTTGTTCAGGTTTACCAAAGAAGTACCTGTCACAATTTGGTCTGCAAAATGAAACAAACAGAGCACGAAAAACAGCCCAACAACCAACGAAACTACAGCCAAAATGAAGGATGCAGGATAAAACATGACTTAAACATTCCCTTGGCCTAAGTGAACGTGGTATAATGGGAACAGGGTAGAACTAGGAATTGGGAAATTTTCAGGGAAGTTTTAGCCCTACTAAGTACTGTCTTTATAACTTTGGGCAAGTTACACAAACTTCTGAGCCTCAATTTCCCCATTCAGCAAAATGAGTCTAATAAAATCTACCTCATTAGCTTCTTCTGAGTGTGAAATGAGATAATATATGTAAAAATGTTTCATAAACTATAAAATACGTTCAAGTATTTTTTATCAGTCTGCTGATAAAAGGTGTGGCATAGCTGCCCCAGACCCCCAGTGCTAATTGTCTTGGTAAGCAGCACTGTAATTTGCACTCTAAGTAATAGTAAGTGTTAAGAATTTGTAAGAATTTTTAATGTAATGTGCACAAATCTATTCTGATTAAAACAAGTAGCATCTTCATACCTTCAGGATTATAATTGTTGTTAGTAAAGGCTGATGAGAGGGAAGGAAAGTAGGCAAGGCAATACAAGTTGCCTTTTTCACTTGAACTTGGGAATGAGGAGTAAGAAGCACTTGAGCTTATATCCACCACTGCATCTTTTACCAGGAGGCTTGGAGTGTTACAAGAAGCATCATTTTCATCTTGGCCTTGTTTGGGAGTAGGGAGGCACATGGCCAAGAGACAAGCTTTATGAAGTCATGTGCTCCAAAGGGAACACAGGAAAAAGGGAGTGCAAGAGACTTAGTCATGCAGAAGAGTTTCACACAACAGGTGGGCTTTTAAGAGTGTTGTCAAGGAGAAGATGCAAATGCCTTAATTAGTTTGGACAGCTCTTTTAAGTGTAAAGAAAAACATGTCTACTGGTGGAGATGGGCTTTGCAACACAACAGACCTGTGTGTGCGATTTTGATCTTAGGCAACTGAAAAGCAAGTAACGCTCCCTTTCTATTACCTGAAGCTTCTGCTTATGGAGTTTTGAAGTTCTCCAGGATGGTTTTTCTATTTCTCTGAGCACTGAAGTGGCTAATGCCATGGCAGATGTCATACCTAATGCTGCAGAGGCAGAGCATAAGGTAGGGAGGATTTTGTAGGAACCTTCTGATGGGAATCCAGAGAGCAAAGCCTGGGACATGAAGCTCTCAATAAGGAAATGGGAAAGGAAGAGTCCATGGTTTTACTTTTAACAAAGTAGGGAATTGCTTTTGCAGATTAGATAATATGTGAGGATTGTGGCAATAGAAGAGGTATCTTGTGTTTGTAATAAATGCATTATTTGGGGGGTTACAAAATAAAATCCCAAAAGAGGAGAAGATAATTAACTTTCTTATGAGAGGTTACCTAATTTTGACTGAGTTGAAAGGAAGAAAAATTAAAGGATTTTAAAGGATTGAATCTCTCTTTCTGTCTCATTTGCTTTCTCTCTTTTTAAAATGAAATGGTTGGCAGAGTTGGAATTTTGGAAAATAGGGTCATGAATATTTGTTGATGAAAACAGTCATGCTTAGTAGCTTTGAGGGGACTCCCTATAGACAGACTTGATTCCTAGTTCTAGTTTTCACAGCTGGTTGCAGTTGTTTGGATGACGATAAGAATCAGGGATACTTGGTTCTGTATTTGGAAAAAATGAAACCAGACTGCTTAAAAATTTGACTGGAAAAAGGCTACTGGGTATGGGGTTCTTTTGGACTATGCTGACTGCTTAACAAGGGATCCTGGTTTGTCTTGTGTCACATTAAAATCCCATGTCTCATTGAAATAGTGGTTAAATGAGGTTGCATGAGTTTTCAGTTGAGAACTAAAAAATAACATATTTTGTTTACATAATGCTAGTTTTTGCTTTATTCTTATGTTTATATTAGAAATGAGTAATTTAGTCCCAGAGAAATTACACGTGGGGCTTTCTGCCAAGACCCAGTGCCAAACATGAGTTTTGTGATTAAAGTATCCAATATTAACCTTTGCTTGACAAAAACCAAGATAAGATGATTTTTTAAAAAAACTTAGATGATCTGAAAAGAAAGCATTATAACAAAAATGTATGAGCTAGGAAAAGCTGAGAGTTACTAAATTGGGCTTTGAATGGTGTAGATGTAACTTTGTGTAAAAATACATGAGTTTCATTTCTCTTGGTATTGGAGGAATACAGATAAAGATGATTGAGATTAATACTAAGCCTCCTTATTTATTGTTTTATTTGATTAGTTCCCTTGGGTGGTGGGATTTACTGTGAGGCAGATACTTTGTTTCATTCTTGTTTTTCATCTTTGGGCTTCATATTCAAATGCCACGTACCTGTAGAATGTTAGCTACAGAAAATTTTTTTAAAGGTGATATTCATTTATTAATTCAACAAATGTTTCTTGAGCACCTACTCTGAGCCAGGTACTATACCAGGCATTGTCATTGTCTTCTGGGAGTGCGCAGTCTTGAGGACGCAATAGACCTATGGATAAGTAATTACAGTACAGCAGAATCAGTGCTATAATAAAAGCAGAGTGGGGAATTATAAACCTTGCCCTAGAAAGGAACCCTTCACAAAGAAGACGATGTAACCTGTTTAAGGATTGATATGGTTTGGCTCTGTCCCCACCCAAATCTCATCTTGAATTGTAACTCCCACAATTCCCATGTGTGGTAGGAGGAACCTAGTGGGAAGTAATTGAATCATGGGAGTGAGTCTTTCCCATGCTGTTCTCATGATAGTGAATAAATCTCACGAGATCTGATGGCTTTAAAAATGGTACTTTCCCTGCATAAGCTCTCTCTGCCTGCTGCCATCCATGTAAGATGTGACTTGCTTCTCCTTGCCTTCCACCATGATTGTGAGGCCTCCCCAGCCATGTGGAACTGTTAGTCCATTAAACCTCTTTCTTTTGTACATTGCCCAGTCTTGGGTATATCTTTATCAGCAACGTGAGAATGGACTAATATAAGGATGAATAGGCATTTGGTAGGTAGAGAAGATTACCCTAGGCATAGGGAAGAATCTTCACAGAGCTGTGAACTCAGGCTGTTCCAGACAAGAGTGAGCACATCACATGAGGCTGAAGGGTTGGAGAAGGACTAGAGTGAAAGAGTATGGAAGCACAACTGGGCTATAGCACAACATTTTATAGGATGTTACTGAGCATGGACTTCATTTTCTAGGCACTGGGAAACTATTGGGAGCTTATAGGTAACAAATGACTCAGATTGGTTTTAAGATGATTCTGTTGGTGGTATAGAAAATGTATTGCAAGCAGGGAAATGTTTTAAGGAGGCTGTTGGAAATGGTACAGGCAAAAGGGGATGAAGATGTCATCTAAAGCAGTGACTTTGGGGTTGAGGAGGTGGCAGAGGTTTTGAGTGAGGGTGAAGAGGCAGAATGGGTTGACAGCTGATTAGAGAGGACGGGAAATGTAGAGGAGAGTCCTGAGGTTCCTAGTGTAGGCAGCTGAGTGGAGCATGAGGCCAGATATGGAGTCAGCCAGTTTTACCAGTCGAAGCAGCATATTTCAGGTGGCAGTGGGATAGGGTGGGTGTAGAATCACGGGTTTTTCTTTTGGACCTATAACTAAGCTATATTTTAGCTTGTGGACATGCAGTTCTTATTATATGGAGTGAGCTGAGTCATAGCAAGTGCTGTGAGTTTTGATTTTAGCTGGCCTCTAATTAGGCAGAACAGGAAAACTCTATTTTAGTTGTTGGATTAAATATTTTTCCACCTCATGATCTAGAGGTAGAGGTCTCTGACTTTAAAAATAGCTATTTACTAGCCAGGCATGGTGGCTCCCACCTGTAATCTCAGCTACTTGGAAGGCCAAGGCCAGAGGATCATTTGAGTTTCAGGAGCTTGAGAAAAGCCTGGGTGAAATAATGATGTAGTGAGATCCCATCTCAAAAACAAAAACAAAAACAAAAACAAAAACAAAAACACTGATTTACTGAGTGATAGCTCTGTACCTGATGCTGTGCTTAAGAGGTACTGTGTTACTAGTTACTAGTTACTAGTATTTTACAAGGGAGAAAAAGGGTACTTATAGAGGTTTATGAATTTGTCAAAAGTGGTGAAGATGGGAGCAAGACAGTTCTGTATTATATGTAAGCATTTTGTTATATGTGAGTTTTGAAAAAAGGTAACTTTTGTAAGAAAGCAGGTGAAAAAATGAAAAGATTCTATTTTAACTTCAGCAGAGAAGTGGTTAGGTGCTTTGCTTCTTATTTGGTGATCTAGGTTGATTATTATAACTTTTCTGACCATATGGGGGAAAATAAAGCTTGATTTACAATGCTGAGAATTTGTACTACCTAATAACTCACTAACTTTTCAGGAAAGGATATAGTTTGAGTAGCTTTCAGAATTATAAAGAAAGAATTGGACCTCTTAAAAACCTGTGCTCTCATAAAGAATACTTTTTCATTCTGTTTTATTTGTGCAACAATCAGATTTCTGTGGCTAGGTTAATAGTGTTTTATAGGCTTTTCTGGGTAAAATAAATTTTTCTGTTGGACTGAGGGCAAAATGGAAACAGACCTAGCCTACCAAACTGTAAAAGTCAAGCCTCCACATGTTAAAGGTGATTAGCCAGTAATTTAACTGCTTTTTAAAACACAAATCAATAGTCCTGTTATTGCAGAATGAGAACAGAATACAGAGTCCTAAAATGTGTCATCCACTATGGTCAGTGTAAACTAAAAAAATTCTGGCAGGAAAATGAAACATAAACAAGAGAAAAAGGAGTCAATAAAAATAGACCCTAAGAAGACACAGCTGTGGGAATAGCAAATGCTTTAAAACAGCTACTATTAATTTGTTAGAGGAACTAAGGATTTTGTCATAAGGAGTGAACAAATGGAAAATCTCAAATGAGTAATGAAAAGTTTACAAAAGGGCCAGATAGAAACTCTGGAATTGAAAAGTAAAATATCTAAAATAGAAAATTTTGCAATATGGGCCTGACAGCAAATTGAAGAAGAAAGAAGAAAAGGCCAGTGAATGTGAAAATGGATCAATAGATATTACTCCAGTTGAACAATGTAGAAGAAATAAAAAGAATTAACAGAGCCCCATATGGGACACATCAAGCAATATAAGATACATGTGATTGCAGTCCCAGAAAGAGACAAGAAAAAGACTGGCACATGAAACAATATTTTAACAAATAATGGATAAAAATTTCCCAAATTTGGTGAAAAATATTAACTTGATTCAAGAACCTTTGCAAACCATAAGTGGGAGACATCTAAAGAAAACTACACTTTTGTTTTTTAGGCAAATCATAGTCAAAATGCTGAAAGTCAAAGCAATGAGGTAATCATGACAACAGTGAGAAAAACAGTCCATTATATACACAGCAATGATGAATATTCACTAACTTATCAGAAATAATGGAAAGGAGGAGGCAATGGGAATGACTTGTTTTAAGTGGTGAAAGAAAAGAGCAATCTGTCAACCCAGAACTCTATATCCAGGAGAGATACACCATGGACATGAAAACAAGATGTTTTGCTTACTTGGTTTGGGAACCTCTGAGTTACACAAAGCTAAGTAGATTTCTGTACTGTATGACTTCTCAGTAATAGAGAAGTTCTAAGAAGAGGATGTCACATTCACTGATATCCAAGTTTTTTTTTTGACCATAAATCCTTTATTCACAGAATGTCTCAGGGGATTCATTTTATTTGTAAAACACGTCTGGAAATACTAAGCTTCGGGAATGGAATTTGATATTTATTCTTCATTTTTATTTTCATGATATTGCCAGGATGAAGTGATTTTGGAAAATAATTAGCAATGTATCTGTTTGCATCTGTAATAATGAAAATGTGACGTTTTACCTACATTGACTTTTCTTTCTTCTAATAACACTTTCAGAGTTGAATGGCTTTGGGCTGTTGCCAGGTGACATACTTTCCAGCAGGCCTAATGGTTCAGTCTTGCCTTGTTGGACTATTTAGATATAGATGAAAATAGAACTCCCACCTAGAGTTTTCAATGCATATTTTATGAGTATAATAGTGCCAGGAATATAGGTTGAATTGGATTACAATAAAATCATTATCTTTTACGCCTCTGTCTTGTGAGTATTTATGTGTACTCTTACATGTAGTTTATACATGAGTGTTACAAATTAATGCTACCAAAAGCAAGTTGTAAAAGTAGTCCAGAATTACATTGTAAATGACTTAAGCCATCTAATTAAAATAAAATTTCAATGTCTTGAAATAATTCAGTGAAGGATTAGTGACTTAAATTTCATCGCTGCTCTGAACATGACCTTCTCTTTGAATATATTAGAAAATGGAGCTTAAGAGATCATCATTTAAAAGGTTTATTGTGAAATTTTTTTCTTTCCATCCCCTATTCCTAAATCTAGTCATAACCCCCTAGATGTCTAACATATTTCCTTTCCACAGCAGAGTTTGAAATCTCTACATAGCCAACATTGAGGCTCTCAGGCTCCCACCGCATTAGTGTTGATTGACACGGGGGGTTCGGCTTTGTCTTCTTGTCTGTGGCTGTAAAGGGCAAGGTGGGCATTCCTCTCTCTGTGTTTTTCCCTTACTCGTTTCCTCCAGGAATTTGTGAGTCTCAGTCTCTTTTCCCTCTCAACCAAAGGCTTCCAACCAATGACTATAAACTTCTTCTACAGCAGTGGTTCTCTAATTGGTCCTCAGTTCTTCAGCATCTGTCACTTGGAAACTTGTAATAAATGCAAATTCTTGGCCCCTCCCGCTAGCTTACTAAATCTGAAACTCTGGGAGTGCAGCCCAGCAATCTGTGCTTTAACAAGCTTTCCCAGAGATTCTGAGGCTCTATGAAGTTTGAGAACTTGTTCTCTATAGTAAGAAAAAACTTAAATCATTTTTTTCTCATCCTTTTGGTTATTTGACAACAAAGGTAAAGCAGAATCTAAGAGTTCTTGGTGGTGATAGTAGCGGGGTGTTGAATAAACCACTTTTCAAATTAAGTGATGTATTTTAAATAGTAACAATAATTAGTGGTAATATCTTTACAATATTCTTGAGGTCATTACTAATGCTATTGCTGTGTTACTGTGAGGAAACAGGTTTAGGAAAGAAGGTAGCCAAAGTCAAGGTGTTTAGTAGTGGAGCCTTGATGATGATGCTGGTTTGACCAATACTAGCACCCATGCTGCAGCCCACTTGGTAATGCTCTCTGAGATGCCTGGTAATGCCTGTCTCCTCTTATCCCTGCCCATGTCTTCCCTGTGAGGCCAGAGACTTACTCGTTTCTTTTTAAAAATGCAAGAGGTGGAGTGAAAGTTCGTGTCTTTGTAGATTAACTCTGGCCTTTCTTACTCATTTGTAGACTATCCCACCTCCCAAACTAGTAGCCAAAGCTACCTTGATCAAGGAGAGGGAATGCTGTACTTTATTCGTAAGGCAAACAAATGTTTATGGCCTCTTTTCTTATAAGTACTGTACGCTAATCGATTGCGCTGCTAGAGCCACTATGGCCTCTTTTCTTTCAAAAGTTTCTCTCTTTCTGGAAGTAGTGAATTCACTGACCAATTTATCTTTGGGCTCTGGCCTGCGGTTTTTGAAACTTTCCAAGATCAACTGAGCGATGATATGGTTTGGCATTTTAAACTGCGAATATAGTATAAAGTTGGATGATTTTGAGAGCAATTCATGCTCGAATGAAGTCTTTATCCCACTGAGTTATGGTCTCCAACCCAACCCCTTTAAAAAACTTTGTTGGATGATTAGAGGCAGGCTTTCCAATTCCACTCATGACAATTGAGGGATTCATTTGCACTCCAAGATATATTTATTTTCTTGACCACCAAGGAAATATAATGTTTTAAAGAAGTAAGGCAATTCATATTAAATGGAAAGGAACTATCTAAATTGAAACTTAATGGGGTCATATTTTAACATAAAAGTGAAAACTTAAAGTAACCTTCAGAGTTACTAATTAGTTTGATACTAGCTCCACTTTTTCTACCATGTAGATTTCATTTAGTAGAGGAGAGTAAAAGAAGAACATTAATTAAAATTGGAATGATTAATTTTGTTATGTGTCTGTGTAAATTAATTCCAGTGTCAGTATAAATTAACTCCAGTGTTAGTAATTCCATAGACTTCCTTTCCATGGTTTGCTTCAATAATTGAGAATTTATCAGTCATTCTGATATCAGAATTCAAATAAGTATTTATACGTGCTTGTGTGTATGGGGCGGGTAAAGGACATGAAAATGTATAGATATTTAAGAAATGTCACTTTTACTCCAATTTCTTATTTATGTTAGGATAGCCTTCAATTTTAAGCAAAACACCTATTTAGAATGTTTCTCCTTCATCTCCTTCTCTACCTAGGTCCCTTTCCCTTTTCTCACACCACTTATAATTAGAAGCAAGTGAACAGCTTTGCACTTGGCAGAGATTAAAAAACCTTTTTTTTTCTGTTGTACAAGGTGATTTTTGTGCAAACAATTGCTATCTCTTCCATCAAAACAGTGTTCTCTCTAGAGAATAATGCTTGTTAGGTCAGTTTGGTGTGGCAATATTTATAGGGGATACGCTTGAATGACTGAAAATTGTAAGTGGAGATGTTCACATAACATTTGTTTGCTTCTCTTGTCCACCAAAGTAATTCATAACTGTAGATATCTTTTTATGTGTTGACTGCCTCGTTCTACAACACTGACAGGTGTTGGTGACTGCATATTTTTTCCTAATTCCTTGAACATATTCACAGAAAGAATAAAGTTTAGTTTGGGTTTCTATTGTTATTCTCTGGATGCAAAAAGAATTCCTAGCTCCCAAAATGGGTAATTTTCTTGATTACTCATGATCTATCATGTAGTTCCTCTGTTTGTTTTAATTTCTTAATATGGAGTAATATTTTACAAGATTTCCAAAATACTTAGATCCTCATCTATATTAGAAGTCAGTGTGTGTGTGTGTGTGTGTGTGTGTGTGTGTGTGTGTATGTGTGTGTAAAGGAGAAGGCCGCATGCTAGGCTTTGCGGGACACACTACCCTGATGTTGTAGTATGAAATAGCTATCTATAAACAACACATGAGCAAGTGAGTGTGGCTGCATTTACATAAACCTTTAATATATAAAGAGGTATTGTGCTGGTTTGGAACTGGGTATAGTTTGCCTACCCTGCTCTGTGATAATTACTGTGGCTTTATCTGTCTTCTGTAACCCATCGTCTTCCACATCACCCTCCTGGCCTCTTCCTTCTACCTGGTGATAGTCGCCTGCTTTCTTCTTCTTCATTTTTCCTCAAGTTATGCTCTCCACCTTTGCATGCTTTCTTATCTGCTATCTCTCTGCTCTTCCTTGAAGATTCCTTTGTAAGATGTGAAAATGACCTGGTGACAGCCTCTTTCCCCACTGATAACCAGGGTTTATTCAGTTGTTCTGACTGTCCAGACTGGGCTGCTCCTTTCTCCTTTACCATTTCAGGAAAGTCCCTCCTGAAATTTCATTCCCAGCAGAAAACGGTGACCTTCTCAGAAGAAGGTGGCTTTGCTCCTTTAAAGTGGGAGAACCGTCTTTGTGAAGCTGCGACTGACCACTCTATCTGGAAAGGGATGCCTAACTCTCCAAATCTCTTGCAAGTTTTTTGACCTGCCATCGTGAGGTGGCCCCTGTTCCTCCCTCTTCTTCCTTCTGTTCCTCACTTTTCTTTGGGGGTGAGTTTATGTTAAGGAGACTTCTGTGCTTAAAAGAGGGCCTCTTTCTTAAAAGTTTGTACCTGAATTGACCCCATGGGTGACTGTCTAAAGGTAACATGTTTTTTTTCAAAAGCCAAAAACCATTGCTAATATGGTCATAGAGTAAGTCGTTGGTAGACTTGTATGCTCATCGAGCCTCAACAGATCATCTTCGGGTGATGTGCTGCCTCACATCTCAGGGAATCTTGTTCCAAGATAATATTCATACCCCTTTCTTCAAAATACAGGCTTTGGTTTTCCACTCCATTGAAGAACTGCTGAAGAATAAATGTCTTCATATGTTTTGCCAACTTTGCCACAAGCTGCTTTTTGCGTCCAGCTGGCCATAGGTCTTTTTTATTCCCTCCTGCCTGGCCCCCCGTCCCGAGATGCCTGGAAGCCATCATGTTGAATCTCTTTCCATGGAGGTCTGTTTGGCTGGCGTTTCTTCTTGCTTCAGACTGGAATGCCGATTAGCCAGTTTCTTGGAATGATTTTAATCTCTCATCTCTCCAGCCCATCCATTTGAAGTAACTAATAGGACCACAATGTCACTGCATGAGCTCACCCTTTCCTTGCTCAAGAACAACGATAATACTTGTCAGTGATTGCAACAGTGGAGGACAGTGTTGGTGCCAGCGTTCCAGTGACTATTTCAAGGATTAATTTTAGTGTTTCTAGAAAGAAGTAGTTCAAAAGTCAGGAAAAATAAATGAAAATAAATCTTAAACAGATTTCTAATAGAAAAAAAAAACACATAAACATATTGCAAATCACCCATCTAGTTACCATTCGCTCTCTTGTGTCCTTTCCCTTTCTCGTGTCTCCTTGGAAGTCACCACCTTCTGAGGTCTTAGTCAACAGACTTCAGACTCTTCCTGCTGTTTTGCTCCCTTGAGTGCAAACTTTCAGGACCACAGCCTGTGGGCAGCTCCTCTGCTCTGCCTCAGGCTCTGAGTAGAGTAGCTGTGGTTTTGATTGATTTCTCCTCCTGAATCTGCCTTACTTTTCCTTTTCTCCAGTGGAGAGACTCACTGCTTCTGAGAGCTCCTCCCGCCACAGGGGTCAAACTTTTGATGGCTTTTGAGGGGCTGGAGGGAGAGAGCTGTACTTGTAGGAACTGAGTGGTGAAGAGGAGCAGAGAAGCCTAGAGAGAGGGTGGGAGAGAGGAGGAAACACTGGAGAGGGACAAGAAAGGGGACAAAAAGCTGTTGATCAGAGGCTGAGATAATAGTATCACAACTGTTATTTCAGTACTCAAAATAAAGCATGATGCATTTGATTACCAGGATTTAGAAAACTGGACTTGTAGTCACTAATGATGTAAGAATTGCTATTAATATTTATGAAGGGAGTTTTTATATTTAATATTTAGCATCAGGCACCATGCTAGGTGCTCTGAAAACGCCATGGTCTTTCACAATAGGTCCTTGTTTGATGGTCAGTGGCTATCAGAAACTCCAGACTTACCTACTACTTACTTACCTAACCTCCTGTTAGCTTTCTCTTCAGTTAAAGAGATGGGTATATTTCTAGTAGGCAAATGGCCCCCCATTCTCACCCTAATACCTGAAATTTGAGAACATTCCATACATTAGTTTCCCTTACTGCTCTAATAAATTATCACACATTTATTGGCTTAAAATGATACAGATTTATGATTTTACTGATTTTGAAGTCAGAAGCCCCAAATGGATCTTACTGGGCTGAAATCAAGGTGTTGTTAGGGCTGAGTTACTTCTGGAGGCCTAGGGAAGATGCTGTTTTCTTGCCTTTTTAAGCTACCAGAAGTTTCCCTGCTCACATTCCTAGGCTTGTGGCCCCTTTCTGTATTCAAAGGCACTTGCATCTGTCTCACATGGCATCACTATGAGACTGACTTGTCTTCTTCCCTCTTCTACATTTAAAAGACCCTTGAATTACACTGGACCCACCTGGCTAACCCACTATAATGCCCATACTTTAAGGAATTAACAACTTTAATTGACCAGCTTTAAATCCTATACCTGAAGTCTAGCTGATCTTCTTTTTGTATTTCTTTCAGGGCCCTCCATGGTTTTAGGTTTTATTTGTCTTCTCTGTTTTGGCTCAATGTCTCTAATTCCTCTTCATTTTTCAAAGTTAAGTTCAAGACATAACCTTTCATGAAGCGCTGGCTACTCTGGTCAACATGCTGGCCTTTCCCCACAGCTTTGATCATCTTTGGCATATGGTGTTCAACACATTTATCAGGGATTATACATTATTTTCTGGGTATTTTCTGTACGTCTTAGCCTTCCAAGTCATATGCTTCTTGAGACTAAGGATATTTTTGTGCCTATCCTAACATGATGCATTGTTGTAAATAATAAATGTTTGTTGATTGACTGGCTAAAAACAATTCTGTAAAAATAACTGAGACACATGCTGGTAGTAGAGGTTTCCTCGTTGTATAATAACTATAGAAAATCTAGCACAAGGCTGGGTGTGGTGGCTCACACCTGTAATCCCAGAACTTTGGGAGGCTGAGGTGAGTGGATCACCTGAGGTCAGGAGTTCCAGACCAACCTGGCCAACATGGTGAAGCCCAATCTCTACTAAAAATACAAAAATTAGTCAGGCGTGGTGGTGGGTGCCTGTAATCCCAGCTACCTGGGAGACTGAGGCAAGAGAATCGCTTGAACCCGGGAGGTGGAGGTTGCAGTGAGCCAAGATCGCTCCACTGCACTCCAGCCTGGGTGATAGAGTGAGACTCCATTTCAAAAAAAAAAAAAAAAAAATCTAGCACACTGACTACTTTCAGTTACCTGGATTTCAAGACCCTTCATTTCTATACCTCTTTTTTCATCTTGGTCTCCCAGCCCCATCCCCACCCTGCCCATGTACATCTAGAACTATTAAGTAGTTCAAAAGACCTTATGATGACATGCCAGCTGGCCTTTAGCTTCTAAATGTTCTCATATTACAAAATATATTATTCCTATCCTGTTGTTCTCTTTGCACATCTAAAACCTCTCCAGCTTTGAACAAGTAATCCAATTTGAATAATTCATATTATATTATGAAAGACGTAAGGCAATTTTAACCATTCTGATTTTTTATTTTCTAACAAAGATCTTATTTAAAAAAATTAAACTAAGGAATTTATGTGATTTATGAAAACATCCGCTGCCTTCTCCTCTTGCGCTTTCTGCTAATAAGAGTCTCTTGGCACTTCCCATTGAACAGTTTACAGCTCTGCTTTATTGAGAAATGGAACACACACTTGTTCACTTGTTTTAGTGGCCATACTATGATATGGAAAAGCAGACTTGAGAAACACATCCTCCAGTCTCAACTCGGAGTGACTTTCTGTTGCTTTAGTTTGCATTTCATATCTCATATACTTTCTTCGGCAGTTTCTTTCCTATAAGTGTGAATACACACACACATACACATGCATGTAAATATATATATATATATATATATATATATATATATATTTATGTGTGTGTGTGTATATATATTCATTTTTGGTCAGTCAACAAACATTATTAACAACAATGCATCATATTGGAATGTGTGTATATATATATATGTATGTATACATACATAGCACACACATGCATACACACACACACACAAATTGATGTGATTTTGTTGAGTGGAGATGGGTGAGGTTGGAAAAGGGAGAGGAACGTTAGGTGACATTATCTTCCTATCTCTGATTTCCTTCTCTGCATACGTGGTTGAGGAGTGCTATAGTTTAAATGTGTCCCCTCCAAAATTCAGATGTTGAAACTTAATGGCCAAAGTGATGACCTTAAGAGAGACTTTTTTTTTTTTTTTTTTTTTTTTTTGAGATGGAGTCTTGCTTTGTCACCCAGGCTAGAGTACAGTGGCACGATCTCGGCTCACTGCAGGCTCTGCCTCACAGGTTCAGGCCATTCTCCTGCCTCAACCTCCCGAGTAGCTGGGACTACAGGTGCCCGTCACCACACCCAGCTAATTTTTATTTTTTTGTGTGTTTTTAGTAGAGATGGGGTTTCACTGTGTTAGCCAGGATGGTCTTGATCTCCTGACTTCATGATCTGACTGTCTCGGCCTCCCAGAGTGCTGGGATTACAGGCGTGAGCCACTGCACCCGGCCAAGAGGGACCTTTAAGAGGTGGTTAAGTCATCAGGGCTCCTCCCCTCTTGAATGGAATGAAAAGCCTTGTACAAGAGGCTTCGTGCCATGTTCAGCCTGCCCCTTAGCCTTCCACTGTGTGAGGACACAGCATTCCTTCCTTCCAAGTGCTGCAGCTCTCACAAGACAATCAAACAAGCCCGCACCTTGATCATGATCTTCCTAGCCTCCGGAACGGTGAGAAAATCAATTTCTGTTTTTTTTTATAAATTATCTACTCTGTGGTATTTCGTTATAGCAGCACAAACAGATTAAGACAAGGAGGTAAAAGAAGAGGAGTGGGAAGTAGGTTTGGTAAAATGCCATCACACATCTGGACTATTGAGACACATCCATGGCAACATGAATGACAGAAACCTGATTATGGGAGAGAACTGACCAAAGTTTGGGAACTCCAGCATAGCTGAGAGAGTGTTCTTCTGTTCTTCTGAAGTAGCTCCAAGTGACTCCAAAGCCACACACATTTGGTTTTAGCCTTGAGTCTGCTACTGTATCAGTGGAGTGATCTTGGACAGATGTCTCAGAGTGCCTGGGCTCTATCGTCGTCACTTGTAAAATGGGGCTGATAGTACTTGCCTTGAAGGATTAGAGAGAGCACACGTTAAATGCCTGTTACTGCTTGATATTAAGTAAGTGGGAGACATTGTTTCTGTGACATAGTCATGTGATGGTAGATTCCCAGAATAACTTTATGTGCAAAGGGATCTGCTTCAAAGGGGATGGGGCAATTGACTGTGAAAATTACTATAGAAGCCCAATTGTGGTGCTTGGATGAATCCCCCATAGACTAAAGGGACAGCTTGGGTTTGAGTTCACTGGATGAGGGGCTGTGTGCTTTACTTGACTAGACCTAATCTGCACCTGAGTTGACCTCATGGATTGCATTGGCTGCTAGTGAGCTGTGAGTGTTTTCTGAGATCTCGGTGGCCTCTAATCCCATCTCCAGGTGGACAGAGGCGGGCTGAAGCACAGATGTGTTGGCCACTGTTCCTGGCCCTGGGCGGTTAGGCTTCAGCTGGGACACTGGCTGGGGCGAGAACTTAGCAGCTCATGTGGCTGTGGTTGCTTCATGGCTGGACATGCCTTGCCATTAAAAAAGTAAGAGGAGTTGACTGATTTCTGTAATTGTCTTCTTAGGAGGTATTGTGGAAACTTTTACATTTAATAAATACTGTTTAGTGTTAAATAAAGAAACAAATCAAGAGAAATGAGTAATATATTTTCTATACTTATATTCTATATTTTATATTGTGTTTATATATACACAAACAAGTATATATACTCTATAAACATTATATACATATGTGTGTGTGTGTATAAAATATGTCCCTTTGGAAATTATAGTGTGCTGTATTTTGAAAAGTAGACTGTGATTTGATATGTAAAATTAAAAAACTAACTTCTTTTTCATTCCCAGTAACTCAGACAAAGCTTCACAAGCTGGTACTACAAAGACCCAAAGGCGGCAGTAAATTCCTCTTTTGATTTAAATCCCATTAGGGTCCACACTTATGAAACAAATGTTGAAAATCCTATAGCTGACAAAGCAGATGACTTAAGGGGGCTTTATACCAAAGAGGCTTATAGGAGTTATTCACAGAAGAACTTCCAGTTGTAAAAGAGATAAACAAGCTTTGGATCTGAGTGGTGTTTAATCTGAGTGTGCATAAGGGCCAAGAAGGGCTCATATTGCAAAACTTACCAAAGAATCTCAGCACTTTAAAACCTTAGTGGTCCTGGCTTCACTGACCAAAGTTTATTATTCTATTCAGTCAGTCTCTGTCTCTCCCTCTCTTTCTTTCTCTCTCGTTTCTTTCTTTCTAATGGTGAAGTGCAATATGGTATCTGCTTTTGGCACCAAATTACAGTTCTGAACACCTTTATTTACCCATGTATACAGCTAAAAACTTCTTGACAACATATTAGAAACAATTACTCTCTTTTAGATTGGCCCCGTTTCCCAGGCCAAGGTTAAACATTACAATTAGAGAAGTGTATAAGCAATGGATTAAAATGTCAGGAAAAATATCAAACTGGGACAGTTGTTTTACTTCATAAAGTCTTAGCAGAGCTCTCTCCCAGCATGCCTTGTGTCTTTGTAATAGTCTTAATATGGACCATATGTGCAAATAGAAGAACTAAATAAAACTTAATAGATCACCTGAGTCAAGTTATTGAATAAAACATCTGCTCTAAAGCCAAGTTCAAATGTCCTCTTTGTAGAATCAGCATGTGATGATGTAGGGTACATGAAGCAAAGAGGACTTCTTACTTTTGAAATTTTGTAGGTGAAACCCAGCTCCACCAGGAAAGGGAGAAGACGGGTGGGAGATGAGAGACAGAACCATCTGAAAGCCTGTGGATTTCTGACATTTGAGTTGCCTGTATGGTAGAACATTTTGATATAAGGAAAGTTATATAACAGTGTTTAAAATCACTATTAACATTGCTTTATTTTTATTTTTCTGAGACAGGGTCTCATTCTGTTGTTCAGGCTGGAGTGCAGTAGCACAATCACAGCTCACTGCAGCCTCAACTTCCTGGGCTCAGGCGATCCTTCCACTCAGCATTCCAGGTAGCTGGAACTACAGGCATGCACCACCATACCTGGCTAATTTTTCATATATTTTTTTGTAGAGATGCGGTTTCGTCTTGTTGCCCAGGCTTATCTTGAACTCCTAGAACATTGCTTTTAAACATTTTATTTTTGGGGGGCAATGCAAGAACATCCAATTGCAATCCAGTTACAAGTTGGAGTGAAAATAAACATGATGCATGGCATCAAAAAAATGCATTGCAATGTGGAGTTTGGGAGGCCACAGTAGCTTCAAGGTGAGGTTGCTGGCAACATTCTGAGAGAAGGTGGTACTGCTGGAGAAAGTGTGTGCTCTAGAGCCAAGGGTGGACTTTATTGCCGGTCATTTATTCCTTCATTCACTTACTCACAAATTGTTACTCAGCTCCCACTAAAAGTCACAGTCTTTACTGCACACATAGACTTAGTGATAGCTCCAAGCTGTCCTAGATGACATTGGGACTGGGTTGGAAAGGGAAGTCAGCAGACCGTGTCTCCATTATCTAATTTGATGAGACTCCAAGCCACAGCCTTCCATATCTCAAAGGCATTTCTTTGAGATAAGGTATATTTCTCACACCAGGTCAGGTAGAGAACCAACAAGGAATATGTTCTCTCCTCAGGGAGAACTGTATTTTTCACAGGCTTCAAAACTCCTGTGTTGCTTAAGCTAGAAGTATCTCTTATGGTGGGATTTTAGGAACAAATGGTATTTTTGTGGATAAAAGGATATTTTCATTAACCTCTAATATCATTTCAGGAAAACAACTACCGACATGGTTTTAGCAGATACCTTTTTGTTTAAATCTGAAAGAGTGTTAAATTATCTATCCACATATGTTTCTGGATGTTTATAAACTACACATATATACACACAAAAGGAGGATGTGTCCATTAAAAGACACATTTAAAGCAGAAAATTTATCCATACACTCACATCCAAAGCTATTTGTTAAAACTCTTCAGTATATTGCCATTCAACCTATAATTTCTCACCATGCTTTTAAAAAATGTAAATTTATATATTTGCAGGATATATATTTCCACACACGTATATTACATAATGGTAAAATCAATCAAATTCTTTTTGTGATTATGTTATCTGCTTAAATATATGTGAGGCTTGACATGAAAGTAAATATAAATATAAATTGTTATTACCAGTTGGATTGTTCTAGATGTAATGATTATCTTTGATTTTAGGATACTTAGTTTACAGAATGTCCCTTTTGTGAATTAACAATTGTAACAGAAAATGACTGCTCCTAATAGAAATCCTTTTCATAGTCATATGAACAAGTAGGGACACAAGTTCTCATTTAATGAAAAGTAGAGATGAATAATTGCTTGTATCGGTTTTATTTGCTCCACAAAGATCCCATCAAAATTGCAGGTTCTTTATCTCGATTCTCTTGGATTTGGTGTGTTGACCTTTATTCTCACGCATTTGCCTTTTGGTTGCAGGATGGCTGCTGCAACTCCAGTCACAATACACTTGTCCCTCAGTATCCCTGGGGAATCGATTCAGGACCTCTTGTGAATACCAAAATCTACAGATAGTCAAGACCGTGGTATGAAATGGCATGGTATTTGCATACAACTGATGCACACCCTCCTGTATATTTTCCATCATCTCTAGATTACTTACAATACCTAATATAGTGTAAATGCTATATAAATCGTTGTTACCCTGTGTTGGTTGGGAGATAATGACAAGAAAAAAGTCTGTACCTGTTCAGTACACGTGCAATTTTTTCCCCAGTACTTTTGATCTCTGGTTGCTTGAATCCACTGATGCAGAACCCACAGGTACAGAGGGCCAACTATATTTATGTTTAGGGATGAAGAAAGAGCAAGGTGCAGTACCCTTATGAGGGAAATAAAACTTTCTCTAGGAGGTCCCAGTAGAATTCTATCTGCACCTGTTTGATGGTGGGCTTGCCAGAGTTCTGTAGCAAGCTTACCAAGCCTCTTGAGCATTTCCAGCCTCTGAAGAGGAAGGCTGAGGTTAAGGGAATGGATAATTGCTACCCCTGAAAGGTCTGTAACTTCAGTAAATTGTGATAGCTGGTACTGATCTGCTGTCACTGGAAATAGTTGAGATGCATAGACATAAGTAATTTGACCCAATGCTGTCCATTAGAACTATCTGTGATGATGAAAATGTTCAATAATCCGCACTGTTCAATATAGTGGCCACTGGCCATAGGTGACTAATGAGCACTTGAAACGTGCCTATTGTGACTGAAGTGCAGATTTTAAAATTTAGCTTTAGTAAATTTAAATTTAAGTAGTCATATGTTGCAAGGCTAGTGGCTATCATATTAGGCAATATAAGTTTGATCATCTGAGTTATCGAGGAGAGGAAGGTTGACATTTGGGAGGTCAAGTCCTTTTATGATTATTTCATTAAAAAATCAAAATATCAAAATGTTATTTCCTTGTGCATATGTGTTTAGTTTGCGTTTATTTGTTTTTTCTTCACAAAGTCAACCAGAAGAACAATTTCTCTGCCTAAACACAGACTTCTTGAAAATTTTGCATGGAGATTGCTCTTTTATAGTTGTGAAAGTTTGACACTACAGAATTTTTTAAAAAAATTCTAAACACCCCATTTTCTTTCACAGTACTATTTCAGTGGCAGTAGAACAAAATGACTTTTAAAGGGGGTCATCTAACAGTTTACCTCCTTTCTGTCTGCTGTTGTATAAACTGTAAATGCATTTTTCCGTCATGAAATGGTTCAATCTCTGAAATGTGTGAGTTTATTTTGGATTTAATTTTATTTCTGGCAAGTTTCATGAGAAAGAAATATCAGAGGAGATCAGGGAACTTTCAGTATCACGAGTCCTTCCAGGCTCTGATTTCCTCGTACACTTGGGTGTTGGTGAACATTCTGGCAGTGCTCTTTGGCCAAAGCTCTGATGGAATGAACATGGCCAAGCTGGAATAGTACAGATCTCAAATGTGCTAATAGGAAACATCACTGGAGCTTGGAAGTCCAGCATCTTGGGTGGTGTCCCATGGGTTTGGGAGGTGTCATCCTGTGCTAAGTTTTGTCAGGAGATATGACATCAACAAGTCAATTTATCTTCCAGTTAGAATGTTCATTTTACTGCTGGATTCAGCAACATCTTTTGCTTTATGTGATATTCAGAACAAAAGCCATGAAATGCTCTAGTGGGAAATTCTGTACCTTTAAAAGCAACTGTTAAACCAATTCTGGAAAGTTGGGAAGTGTGAGAAGTGCTTACTTTTGGACTGGGCCACAGATCTAGGTGGGTTGTGGATACTGCTGCCTAAGTGTCAGACTCATACTACTCAATGAACCCTGAAGGGTTGGCTCACCAATTAAAACAAGAACTAAGATTTGCATCAGCATCCTGGCTGGAAACAGATGGCATACTCAAAGATCAACTGAAGTGACTTTAAGAGGAGACTATTTACAGATGTGTGGCTAGGATTAAGGGAATTAATAGGAGATAATGAAGCACTGAAGGCCAGCATAAATGGGACATTCTTATGGTCTCTCATTGGCATAGTTTGCCTATGTCCCCAACCAGATGTCATCCTGAACTGTAGTTCCCGTAATCCCCACGATCCCCACGTGTTCTGGGATGGACCCAGTGGGAGATAACAGAATCATGGGGCTGGTTACCTCCATGCTGTTCTCATGATAGTGAGTTAGTTCTCACGAGATCTGATGGTTTTATAGGGAACTTTTCCCTCTTGGCTCTTATTCCTGTCCTTGCTGTCACCATGCGAAGAAGGACCTGTTTGCTTCCCCTGCCACCATGATTGTAAGTTTCCTGAGGCCTCCCCAGACATGCTAAACTGTGAGTCAATTAATCCTCTTTCCTTTATAAATTACCCAGTCCCATGTATGTCTTTATTAGCAGCATGGGAAGGGACTAATCCACTCATCCTGAAAAGGGTTCAGTAGAGCCTTGGTTTTGGAAGAGAGGCCACCAAAGAGGAGCTATGTCCCTGGGTGCAGGAGAAGCATCCAAGTGAATACACCCTGGCCCTGGAGTAGGGGTGGGAGAATAAATAACACCCTTATGTCTTTCTCCAGTTGCTTCTTTGTTTTTCCCATGTCTCCTATTGTCTGGCACCTCTCAGAAGCCTGAGAGCAAGTGAAGGATCCAATCCATAGAGGATGGAGAATGACCCTTGAGGGTCAAGGAGAATAACCCATGCATTACTGTAATTTATCCGGTGCTTCTCTGTGGGTACAGGCTGCTAAATACTTCCGTACACATTAGCTAATTTCATTCCCACTACAATCTCCATTTTACTAATGAGAAGACTGAAGCTCAGGGAAGTTATGCAAATTTCCTCGAATCTAGCTGCTGGTTAATCATCAAGTCAGTAGCCTGAACTGTCCTCAGACTCCCAGTCCAAGCTCTTACCTTTATGGTATGAGAAGGATGTGGAGATTTATCAGAAGTAGAGGGAATATAGAAACTAACCTTATAGTATCAATTATAGTCATAGTAATGGGAAGAATACCCCTGCCTGACATTTCAGAGACATTATCTCACTTGAATCTCACAATGTTTTTGGGAGTTAAAAAGGTTAGGTATTGTTAACTTTACCTTACAGATGAAAAACAGCAAAGGTTCAGGCCAAATGACTTGCTACAAAACAGTATCTCAGGGCTGGCATTTGAATATAGGTTTTTTTTTTTTTTTTATTCTGAATCCATCAGTCAGTCAAGTATACCACATTGCTAATTAGAAAATGCTGGCAGCAGGACAGTTTAATTAAATTAAGCCAAAACCCCAAACCAAATGGAAAACAAAAGCCATGTTTATGTAGATATTCTGGTGGAGTACTAATATCTGTTTTACCTTATGGATCGCTATTTTTAATTTTGTCCATTTTGAAAAGCCTACCAACAATGACGGTCCATTGTAAAAGAAGTGAATAAATAATAGATGACTCAAAAATAAGAGGAAGGAAAATGTTTGAATAAATGGGTAGCAATTTCTTAAAAAAGTTAATTAAAAATTTATATAATATACCAAATACCAGAATTAATTCCAGATACAGAGTTAAATGTAAATGCTTAATAGATGGAGAGACACCCAAAAGATAATGTGAAGGAAACAGCCGACATTGTTTGGTCTGTGTTTCCTGGACACCAGTTGCAGTGTAGGGGCTCAGAAAGAGTTTTCTTTTCTTCTGGTAGATACCCAATAATGGAATTGCTGGGTTGAATGGTAGTTCTAGTTTTAGTTCTTTGACGAATCTCCAAACTGCTTTCCACAGGGGCTGAACTAATTTACATTCCCAACAACAGTGTATAAACATTCCCTTTTCTTTGCATCATCGCCAACATTGGTTATTTTTTGACTTTTTAATAATAGCTATTCTGACCTTGGAATACTACATAGCCATACAAATGAATGAAATCCTGTCCTTTGTAGCAACATGGATGCAGCTGGAAGCCATTATCCTAAGTGAATTAATGCAGAAACAGAAAATCAAATACCACATGTTATCACTTATAAATGGGAACTAAATAATGGGTACATATGGACATAAAGGTGGAAACAGTAGAGACTGGGGTCTTCAAAAGCCAGGAGGGAGGAAGGGGATCAAGGGTTGAAAAAGTACCGATTGGGTACTATGTCCACTATTTGGGCGATGTGTCCGCTAGAAACCCAAACCTCAGCATTATGCAACATAGCCATGTAACAAACCTGAATAGGTATCCCCTGAATCTAAAATCAAAGAAAAATAGAGAGTGTTTGTCCATCTAACACTTGCCACAGCTTTAGCTGGAGGTTACTATTGGCTTCACAGATGAGAAAACCAAGGTGCAGAATCCTGTCTAGAGCCCCATGGCAGACAGTGTTGTAGCCCAGTAGGAGCCTTCACTGTTCTGACTCCAGACTCCACATCGCTAACCACCCTGTGCTCTTAGAATAATTTCCATCCTGACTGTTAGAATACAGTGAAGGAAGAAATTAGCACTTTGTTTTATAGACTTGTTAGATTTCCATAAGGTGAATAGTGTAGCTGAAAGCAAATAATAAAAGACACCGGGAAAATATTTGCATTGAATATGACAGTCAAAGGGTTAAACTTTGTAACAAAGGTTTTAACCAATGCATAAGAAACACCATGTTGATAAATGGACAAAAGGATATGAATAAACATTAGAATATGCTTAGTAAACACATTTGAGAAAAATTAAGCTTATTAATAATAAAAGAAATGCAGATTAAAATAATGATGAGATAGCATTTTGCATATTTCAAATGGATAATTTTGGGGCTTTTTGGTTGTTTTTTAGGCTAATACTAGGGAAATTACTAGGCCCTTGGTATGGTGGCAATGGAATTTGAACAGCCACTTTGGAAAAGCAATTTGGCCACAATTTTAAGGAATCATAAAATTTCTACATACTTTGACCCAGCCATCCCACTCCTGGGAATTTGTCCTGAGGCAATTATTAAAAAGACAACGAAAGCCATGTGTAGGAAAAAGTTAACTGCAATAGTATTTATAATAGTAAAAATTGGAAGTCACCTAAAGGTCTCATAACAGGAAGTGATTTGGTAAATTATGGTTCTGTGTATTAGGGTTCTCCAGAGAAACAGAACCAATAGGGTACATGTGTGTGTGTGTGTGTGTGTGTGTGTGTGTGTGTGTTTGTGTGTGAAGAGACTTTTTAAAATTAGGAATTGGCTTATGTGATTTTGGAGGCTGAGAAATCCGGACCCAGCAGAGCTGATGGTGTAGGTTCCTTAGAAGTCCTAGTTTTAAGTCAGGAGAAGACTGATGTCTAAGGTTCAAAGACAGTCAGGTGGAGACAGTAATTCTTTCCTACTCAACCTTGCATTCTATTCATGCCTTCAACAGGTTGGGTGAGGCTTGTGTACCCTGGGGAGGACAACCTGCTTCACTCAATTTTACTGACTCTAATATTAGTCTCATCTAGAAGCACCCTCATAGACATGAGCAATGTTTAACCAAACATCTGGGCACCCTGTGGTCCAGTCAAGTTGACACATAAAATTAACTCTTACAGTCTGTGTAACCAGCAAAGTAATTATAAAAGCCACATAGTAGTATGAAATACTAATGATGTTAATTGAAAAAGGGAAGAAAAATTATATTTATACTATGCTTTTAATTGCAAACATGTCCACATGTAGATTGGTATTAAGAGTAAGTACGGAAAAATAAAAATAACAATAGTGACCATAACAGGATGGGGAGGTTATGGCTCATGTAGACCCGCGAACACATGGGCTTTTTGTGGCACTGGCATGTGATTCAGGGTAAGTGGAGTTCTGGGTGCATGAAGGGGAGTGTTCCAAGATCAGGTTGAATAGAAGTTAGAGGTAAGTAAGGAAAATTGTTTGATGCCATCCTAAAGAGTTTGAACTTTGTTCTTATAGACATTGGAAAGCCATTGAAAATGTTATAAGTAAATTTATATTTGGGGAATTCTGACAGCACTGAAGGCTTCCGAGTGGGAGAGGGGTGCTTAGGAGGACTTTGTAATGGTCTAGGCAGGAAGTGAGAACCTCAACTAGTAATGGCAATGTGGTGATGGAGAGGAGTGGAGTTGCTTGACAGGAATGTCAGAGGGGGGATCCCCGGCATTTGCCAAGTGCTCAGATGTGGACATGTGGGAAAGGAAGGAGGGAAGCAGGACTGCCACTCTTTTGGCTTGGATGGATGTGGTTAAGAGGAATGGGGAGGGAGGCAACATGCCAGGTTCCGTGTTGAGTTTACTGGGAGTCAGGTCATCAAGAGGCATCCTGTGTTTCTTCCAAGAGACAGTTGGAATATAGGTCTTTTCCTTGGGAGAGAGGGAATGGTGGTGGAACTTGAGCATGATTATCTGTGGCCGTAGATGAAATTGGGAGAGTGTGGGATGCCTAGGGAAACTGAATATCAGGAGGAAAGAAGATGACTGAGGGCAGTACCGTGGGGGAAATCTAAGGTTTAAAGATGGAAAGAGGCATTGATGAACAGCTGGGGAAGGAGTAGTTTGAGGTAGATGTGCAGATGGAATGAAGAGAAGGTCTCAAGAAGAGGGTGGAGCCAAAGAGGGCTGCAGATTTAGAAGGCTAAAGTCTTTAGGTGGCTTTGGATAGCCTGTTGTATCTTGGACCATGCAGGTTACAGTGGAGCATGGAGTGGGGACAGAAGTGGAGGAAGGAACCAGGGAACATGGAGTGAGAAGCTAAAGGAAAGTGATGCAGTAGATACATGGCTCTAAAGTACTCAGGACTTTCAGAGGCTTAAACATAGGGTGACCAACTATCCCACTATGCCTGATACTAAGGGCATTCCCTGGATGTGGACCTTTCATTCCCCAAATTAGGAAAGTCTTGGGCATACCAAGACAAGTTGGCCACCCTACTCAAAAGTATGTAAGCTAACATATCTGTTCTCTAAGAGGTTAAAGCTGGATGGGGATACCAGATGTATGTACGTGATGCAGTTAAACAGCAATACAAGGGGGCAAGTCTACACTGATCGGCCAATTCAGTGGGACAGACAGTTTGGGAATGTTTTTGAAAATATTTATGGGTTAAAGCAATTTGGTGAAATTTTGGCAAAAATAAGCTGAATTTTTTTTAAATTTTTTTTTTCACTAAAATATCAAGACAGAATAGCACAATAAAACTGTAGTGAATAAAGCACTGGTATAAACATTGTCAGTTTTAAGCTAAATAGCTTTCTTATTGAGTTTTCTAATTACTGTTTGATTTATTTAGTTTTAATTTTACTCCAAAGGGAATAAAAACCTGTAACAACATTAATTTGCATTAATGCGGAGGTGGAGTGCTATTTGATACGGGCAAACACTGAGTTTACAGAAGTTCAATGCTAATAGCCCCTCCATCCTAGAAAAGACCCAGGTTGTGCAGGGGGGCCGACTGAACTCATAGAATCACCTCCTTGTTTGCCAGGCTGGGCCCTGCCTGCTGCCATCCCTGGGTGTTGGAGTTCCTACCCGTGGTTCAGTTTCCTGGCACAGGCTCCCAATCACATTGCCTATTGGTTCACTGGAGAGCATGGGCCGTTGGAGTCCTGACGTCCAACCCATGTGGGCTTGGGGCCAACTTCTGGGTCTCTGTGACTCATTTTCCTCATCAGTTGTACAGTCCTTTTGTGAAAATTAAAAGCAATGTTTGTGCAGTAAGGATGCCCCTCCATCTGGGGCTCTCTCACCTGGCTGCTTGCCACTTGCTAGTTCTAGACAAGTCACCCAACATTTCCATGCCTCAGTTTTCTCTGTAAATGAGGTTTAAAGTGTCATGGGAGCCTGGGCAACATAGTAAGACTCTGTCTATACAAAAAATAGGAAATTAGATGGGCATGGTGGAGTGTACCTGTGGTCCTAGCTACTTGGGAGGCTAAGGTGGGAGGATCACTCTAGCTGGGGAGATCGAGACTGCAGTGAGCCGCAGCTGTGACACTGCACTCCAGCCTGAGTGACAGAATGAGGCCTTGATTCAAAAAAAAAAAAGAGTCCCCAAAACAAAAGGACAAATGGTGTCATGGAATTTACAGTCGATCACATATATACAGTGCTTAGCTCAGTGTTCCCACATTTTTATTCTTAGTCCCTCTTCAACCATTTACTAGCATATGACCTTAGACAAGTGTCTTCCTTGCTCTTTATTTCCTTATCTACAACAATGACAAAAAAAAAATAAAAATAAAAGGGGCTTGGCCAGGCACAGTGGCTCATGCCTATAAACCCAGTGCTTTGAGAGGTCCAGGTGGGAGGATCATTTGAGGCCAGTAGAACTTATTGAGACTCTGTCTCTATGAAAAATAAAAAAAAATTAGCCAGGTGTGGTGGTGTACACCTGTAGTCCTCCTAGCTACTTGGGAGGCTGAGGTGGGAGGATCACTTGAGCCTAGGAGTTTGAAGCTGCAATGAGCTATGATTGTGCCACTGCATTCCAGCCTGGGCAACAAAGCGAGGCTGATATGGTTTGGCTGTGTCCCCACCCAAATCTCATCTTGAACTGTCGTTCCCATAATCCCCACATTTTGTGGGAGGGACCCAGTGGGAGGTGATTGAATCATGGGGGCGGTTTCCTTCTTGCTGCTGTTCTCGTGATAGTTCTCACAACATCTGATGGTTTTATAAGGGGCTTCCCCGGACTTCTCTCTGCACTTCTCCTTGCTGTTGCCATGTGAAGAAGGACATGTTTGCTGCCCCTTTTGCCATGATTGTAAGTTTCCTGAGGCATCCTCAGCCCTGTGGAACTGTGAGTCAGTTAAATCTCTTTCCTTTACAAAATACCCAGTCTCGCGTCTCGGGTGTATCTTTATTAGCAGTGTGAGAATGGACTAATACAGTGACCCTGTCTGTAAAGAATAAATAAGTAAGTAAATAAGTTAATTAAAAGGGCCTGAACTAGGTAATTTGTAGAGTCTTGCCCAGTTTTTGAACATTGTGTTTTCTGTACCATCAACTGAAGCTTGGGCTGAGGGTTAATATATGTGTATTAGTGTGGTGGCTTGAGAGACTGGCTTCAGGAGAAGATTTCAATTTAGCATATCCTGACCTTTGAAAGTGAGAATTTAGTTGAGGATGAAAGACTTTAAGAGGGTCTACAAAGAAAGGAGTATGGATCAAGATTAGTCTGTCTTTATGCAGATCCATACAGAGGGTTTCTGTTGAGTAAATCAATAAATTGGGCAGAGTGTGGGCTTGTTTGCCTGCATCCCTGCTACTTGTCTTCTGTTTGTTACCATAGCTCCTTCTTCCCCACTCTGCAGTCTGGCCTGTGTCTTTGGACTTTGTCCATCAGTCCACTCCTTCTTTCTTCCCTAAATCCCAGGGCTCCTAACCTGGACTCTGTATATGGAATCTGCTTTCAGACTGAGCTCATGCACTTTCTCTCAAATGCTGGACATCCTGCCTATTTGCTTACCTGTCCTCTGAGACCTGTCTGCACCATCCTGCTTTTGGGTGACATTTCTATCCTCCAGGTAATTGCTGACCCTGGTTTTGGCCTCTATCCTGCCTTGTGCTGTTGCTGGCAAAGCTTCAGCTTGGTTCCATTATTGATTTCTGCAACGTGTGCGGGAAGAGTTACTCTGTGATTACGACTTGTGCAACTTGACAGTATATGGACAGGGGTTGAATGGGCACAAAAAGAAGTAAAACAAGTGAAGATTGTCAGTGATTTCTTTTCTATATTTCTTTTGTTGTCATGCTTTTTTTTTTTTTTTTTTTTTTTGCTCAGGAAACAAAATTGTAGAGAAGTTATTTCAAGTGATAAAAAATTCATGAATCTATACAAACTTATGTTGTGAACTTTTGTATTAGTTCATGTTGAATCATTTCAATCAGCTGCCATATTCCAGTCACTCTCACAGGCCCTCTTTGGTTCATTGAAAAAGAATTAGTACTTTAGTGGAGGATAAAAATAATAACCGGTTAATGAAAGTAAAGGACTATTACAGAGATAGATATGTATAAAGATTTTGGGCTGCACAGCCGAGGAAACACTCAGTTGTCTGGAGTTAGGCTTGGGGAGGATTCCCATCAGAAGTGACCATTAGGCTGAATCTTACAGGTCATTATAGATGGAGAGCACAGTATAGTGAAAGGCTCAGAGGAATGAAATATGTGTTAGAAATTGACTGGTTTGGGGTAGTTGGAGGGTGCGTGAGGAGAAGATTAAGCAAGAAGGGTAGAACTAAGGACCATGTTTAGACCTACCTTGGAATGCCATGAGAAGCAGATTGTCTGGTGGTGATAGGAAATTCTTACAAAATCAGAATGAATTGACTTTAAGTGACTTTTTACCATGAGGAACTTGGGAAATAATGATTGTTCATTTCACATTGAGTATCTCTGTATTATTTGAAGCTTTTGGAGACCTTCTTTATAGGACTAGTAATTCTGGCTCCTCTTTGTAAATTACCAATTATACACTGACCTTCTCCAACCAGCCCTGCGTTTGAGCTGGGTCTCATGTTTTCTGTAGCATCCTCCCTGTCTACAGGTGGAGCCACCTGCTCCTCTCTCACCCTCCATCTCTCTCCATTTTCTGATCCCAAGTGAGATTAATGAATCTTGTTTACTTCACAGCCAGGGAAAAGGAGAGGCTTTGAATGAATAATTTCTGACTGAATTTCTTCTTGATGCTGTTTTCTCTCCAGAAAGGCACTATCATTAATTAAAGCAAAGTAAACAAAGCAAATCCTAAGCAGCTGAGCTTCATATTTTAAAAGACCCATAAACCTCATCAGCATAAAATAAATTAAATTTGGAGCTTACCAAGTGCACACTTTCATTTTGATGGAGTGTTCTATGCTCTGGATAGAATCGTCTGAAGTCATCCAAAGCTCAGACAGGGCTCCCTGTAGATCCTGGACAAAAATGGGCTCTGTCCCCAGTTGGCTGCTCCAGCAAGGAGGCTAATGGAAAGTAAAGGACACTGGTAGCCAATTCCAGCAGCCTTGAATGTGGACCTCTGGGCCATGGTTGTATAGTGATTTTATCTACTTATCTATTTAAAAGTACTTGAGATGTGTACATTTCACTGTGTAAATTATACCCCAATAAAATTCTAAGTAAACAAAAACAGTTATCTGCTTATTTAAGAAATCTTCCTTCTCCTTTGCTTTTTTTTAAAAAAATATATGTATATATAAAATGAGAGTTCTAAAGTGCCTTTTTCAGGAGAGAATTTTGAAAATTAAAAGGACAGTGACAGTAATAACATCATTTGCAGCTCTGGGACAGTCACTGTTTTGTATTAGTTTTCTCTTTTGAAAGTGGCATACCACGTTCTTGGTTTTGTTTATGGGTTTTATTTCTGGTTTATTTCCTCCTCATATGAGAAGCATATTTAAGAAATACTTTGTAAAAACCTGTATAGTTTTTTTTATTTTTTTACTTTTTAAGAGCTTGATAACTCGAGGATTACTCACATGTGTTTTTAAAAGGTTAAAACCTAAGACCCTAATCTACCAACTCTAATTTGTAGCATCTCCATCATTTTTCTGCTCTTTTCTCTGAGACATGGTCATTTAGCTGCTGGTCATCATGGTGGTAGTATATTCTTCTTCCTGTGAGTTCTTATCTATGCAGCTTTCTCATCCCACTGTTTTGGAAAGGAAAACCATCAGAACACCCAAAACAATGATGCTGGATGTTGGAGGTGAGAAGCAGACTGTCAGTATCAAGCTCTGAATCGGGAGGAGAAACCTTCCAATGAGTCTGAGCGTCCACTTCTCCTCCACAGCTGTAGATGCACGTGCCCCCGGGCATGTTGAGGGGGACCACGTGGCAAGCATCATAGTTGCTGTTAGCTATTTTAAAAAGCTGTCTTTGTAGTTCATTCTTCTGCTGCCTAGGAGTCTGCCAGTGGAATCACAAGGCCAAGTATTGACAGCTTCACCTTCCGAGAGCCCTTCTTCTTAAAGCCGAGTGTCTGGCTATCAAGCCAGGAAGGCTTGGGTCACTGAGGGGGACATCCTCTTCTGCAGGAAATATGAGGTTTTGCTGAACTCCTCCTGGTATTCAGTGATTTCCAGACCACGTTCTGCAGAGGTGATTCTGCTGTCTCACAAACGATTTTGATTTTGATTTTGATTATATTTTTAAAGTATCTTTTCATTAGTTGGAAACCATAATACAAGGCAACACAAATCGTTTACTGTGTTATGCATTACATTTGAACAGGTTGGTTGGTAAACCACCAGTACATTAATTGGAGATCATGGGTAAGAATTTAATTCTTTTATTTACTTTATTCTGATTTTATCATAACATTTCTCTGCCATATCTGTGTACATATTTGAACTTATGATAAAACATATTCCCGATTAGATGCTAACACTGTTTGTTTTTGGAGTCAAGCCTACACCTGTCTATACATACCCTTTTCATGGGAACTCCCCATGGTGGTAGTTTGAGTGCTCAGTTGAGTGTAGGAACGCCCAGGTGCACCTGCTTGGTCACTGCTCTGCTTATGGTCAAGGGGAATTGTGAGAATAAAGAAACATGCTGCAACCTAGTGTATTTTAAGTAAGCATTTAAAACTTTCAGGCAGAACTACCCTAAACAGCACCAAAAGATAAATGAATAAATGATACATTCAAGAAAATGTATTGCAAGACATTTGACTAACAAAGGTTGTGTTCTCTTAATATGCAATGTGCTTTCACAATCAATATGAAAAAGACAAGCAATCCAGTAGAAAAATGGGCAAAAGACTCAAATAGAGTCACAGAAAGTACCGATTTTCAATAAACATGCATAAAAGTGTTCAGCCTCATTCAGTTAATAAACTGTAAAATATAACAATAGTTAGAGTTCCCCTGCCCACCACTCCCCTCTGCTGCAGACCCAACTATCGTATCAGGCAAGTAGCAGTTAAAAAGTAGGATAAAGCCTATGCTGATGGATGAGGGATAACAGGTGCTTTCCCACATTGTTGTTATTTGTGGGAGTGTTAATTTTCTAAATATCCATATGTGATTAGTAAAATTGTATCATGATTTATCACAACACTATTGAGCCTAAGGAAAGGAGAGAGAGAGAAAGGGGGGATATGCTGTTAGGGAAAAATTTTGGATATATAGTAAAAATAGAAAGTAAGCTGTAAAATAGTACATATGGTATGATCACATTTATATATATTTGTGTGTGTGTGTGTGTGTGTGTATCTATATAAAAATGAAAGAAGAGTCTTCCTATGCTTACAAATGCATTGAAATTTCTGCAGTGAGATGTAAAACAAAAACAAAAGCAAAATAAAACAAATCAACAACAGAAAACCCTACTGATGGTGGTTGACTCTGGGGTGGCACATTGATATTCAGGGCATAAAGATCAATCTTTTGTATTTCATTATATGTTCTTCTATATCACTTTAATTTTATTTTTTACAGTGAACAGGTAGATAGTTAGTGAAAAGAAAACTAACTAATAAAACAGTGCTCGATTCTTTCTCAATCATTCTCTAATAATGTCCTAATCTTCCCTCATATCTGATTCTAGAATCCTGTTTTTTCAAATCCAAATACTTGTAGATTTGTTTTTAATTGATGAAGCCTTCAATATCCTCAGGATCTACTTCTTAAGAAGTGAGTATATTTTGGCTGACTTGCCTTGACAGCTCACTGGACCCTCAGCAGCAGGGAAGGGCAGGGTGGAAGAATACCATGCTTGCTCCGGATGGGGGATCCTCTGCTCCAGGCTCTCGGTCAAGAGCAGTGGTTAGGAAAATACCCCCAAGTAAGATGACTTGAGTTTAGATCTTTGCTCTACCACTTGCTAGAGTTATGCTGTTGGGCAAGCTACTTTCTCAGCCTCTGTTCCACACTGTAAAACAGGACTACTGATGTTAACCACACAAAATGGTATGAATGAAAAGTTATGCTACCTAACAAACACTACTTAGAAGGGAATCTGGAACACAGTCCTGATTATATCAGATGTTGTCATCCTTTCATTTATGTTTGTTTATAGACATGCCCACCTCTGCTCCATGTTTCGGTTTCCTTAACTGTAATTAAAGAGAGCTGAATGGGATAACAGGGAAGGTCTTCTTCATGTTCAAAGTGTAATGATGTAATATTTGTATTTCTGATGCACTCTGAATTAAATTCTACATAGTTAAAGATTATGTAGAGTTGTTTGTGGTATTTGATTGTGAATTTACTGCTTCATGTGTTTTTAATCAAGGGTCCTTGGGTAGCTTAAATGAAGACAACATATTGTATGATTTGTGGGTTCTTTTCTCATTGACAGAAATTATATACATCTGTACCAAGTCAATGTCACATATCTATTGTGCTGAAGACTGAGAATAGAAGGAAGATATAATGTTTACCTTTGAGAGGCACAGGGATATATGACTTAAAGAATTTTGGGAAAGGGACTGATCATAAAATGGACTGTTTTGGTCAACATGTTATTGACTGAGAAACTGCTTGGAAGAATTGTGAGCAATTTGCTATTCTTGCAAGGAACCCTAGAGTTTAGAATATGGAAACTACCCTTCCCCGAATCAATGCTTGTTCTAGCTTTCTGAAGTCTAGGTTTTGCCTTTGTATTTGACTCATATACTCTGAATTTAATTTTCCTAATTGGAAAAAGCCAACCTTGGATGCAGATGAGTGATGTAGACAGATGCATCCTTGAAAGAAATGACACTCAAAATGGCTGGAGAGCCTGGTGCGGTTGAATGAGGGTTATGGTTGGATGGTGCATTGGATGTGGAGGGCAAGGGGGTGGGCTGTCCTCTGTGTGCTGGGCCCTATGCTCTGCCTGTTTATCTAACTTAATTCTCATGAATTATCTTGGAAGCTGGGCATTTTGCCAGTGACAAATGGAGGCTTAGAGGGTTTAATTTCCCCACCTGAAGCTTTAAGGTAGTAAGTCACAGAGCCTGGATTGAAGTCCAGGCCTGACCTGTTCCTCAACTCCTCCATTTTTCTCGCTACCTCTGGTCTCCTTGGTTAACTTTGTTTTATTTCATGAATCACAGAGTATATTTTTTAACCCCTTCCTCTAGCATCATTAATTTTTGTTGGTTACAAAAGGGGTTCAATTTGAGAGTAAGTTTGAGGAACTAGCTTGGGGTCACGGGATGGGGATGGGGTGAGAGGGTGCACTTCAGGTGGGTCAGCCGGGACGTGTGGGACAGGAGAATGGCTGGAATCTGGGGGTGGGAGCTCCTGCCTTCTGATTTTGTCTCTTCTACCTGCCTTGCTGTGCTTTGAGTTCAGTAACGAATCCTCAATTTTCTCACATGTGAAATGGGGACAATATTACTTAATTATTAACTACCTATTATTACCTAATGGGAGTATCTGTGCACCTCCCAACCGCATTCTAAACCTTCAGATAGCAGGGATAAGCACAAGGCCCAGTCTTTGTCAAAGAAACCTTTTGTTATATCTTTGTGCCCTACTCCTATGAGCATTTGTAGAGGGATACCTTAACATGGAAATAACAATCTAAAATAGGACATCAGAGAGGACACTTCTCCAAATCCAGCTGCCCTTTCAGCTCTAGATAGAACACAGAGTCCTACTTCACACTTGCCTTCATTTCTTAGTGTCATTCTCATGGGAATTTCCTGTTCCTGCTGTATGGGAACCTGGGTTGTGTTTCCTTTGACAGAATAGGGAAAAATAAAGACAGTGTGCAGCACGTGGCAGCTGTAACATCTCTCTGTGATGAATTTCTACTTACTCTTGGTGAACTTCAAAAAGTTGTTCTTTGAAAGGGAATTATAAATTTCTCCAGAAGAAACTTTTAGATGCCTGATTCAAGGGCGTTGAGGAAAATTGTATTTTAAACATGACTTAGGAAAAAATAAGCAGAATCCTCAAACAGGTGTTTTCTCTTTGTCCTATCCCCTCCCTCCAAAAATGCAAATTCAGAGAAAAAGAGACCATAATAAAGACCTAACTTTACAAACAAACTGAGTAGGTCTGGAATTGTTATACATTCAACCAGTTTGATACCACCTGTCTTTGTGCAACTGTAAAGTTAAAACTGATTTTAGAAGAATGACTTTGAGATCAACTAAGATTCTGATTTACTGGAGAAAGATGCAATTACTTTCAGAGTTGTGTCCAGCCTTAAGATGAGTAAGAAATTCAGTCTAGTACATACAATTTTCTTAAAATTCTGATTAATTGGAATTTGCGAATATATTGTCCCAAACATTTCACTGCAGGCTACTGTTGGAAGGGATGTGTATAGCTGTGTTGTGATGCTTTCTTTCCCAGAAACTTTCTTTTCTGACAACCTCATTTATCCAGAACACAGCCAGAGTCTGGCAATAGTGGGAAGGAAAGTCCTCTGGAACTCAGACAGCTGCCACAAAGCCCATGCATCACATTCTGTAGAAGAGATAGAGAGCTCACACATGTACATTAAAAAGAGAATGTGGTGCTTTTTTGGCTAATGGCAGAGTATATACATTTCTCAATATCCTGGAGAGCATTTCTCCATTTTAGCCCAGTAACAAAATTTATGTTCAAATGGGTAAAAAATATGACCAATAAACAGCTAAATTTTACTCGTGTAGTCTGTTTAAGAAAACCACAAGCATGCAAATAAAGATTTTTCATTCATCACTGTCAATTTAAGACTTGGCATTGGGAGAGATCAGCTTTGCATTTAGACTACTGTCCCCAGAACAGTTACCGTTCAAAGTGCTGAATGAACAAGTAAGTGAAGGACAGAAGGGATATAGGCATATTAGATCATGTGGGACGCCCCATTTCTCAGCAACCTGCACAAAATAGGTGTTAACTGTAATTTTGAATCAAGTAAATGCTCCTTTGCTCCACTCTGATTTGTGCTCAACTTAATTCCCCTAAACCAGCCTCTCCTATTTGTTTACACATTTCTTTGTATAATCTCTTTTATATATCATCATTTCACTGTCCCCAAGTTGCTCTCCTTTTCTCACTTTTGGGGACAGAATACAACATTGCCACAGTAAATATTTCTTCGTTGTAAGGCAGCTTTATTTGGAAAGGGGCTTTAGAAACTAGTAGTCGATGCAGTTTTTAGCACTGACTGTCTGCAGCCACAGAAAGCTTGATTAAATTTTAATTAAAGTATACTTAATTAAATCCTATTGGCTCAAAATAAATGGAAAAAGTGATTAACCGTCCTTGACTGTTTTTGCCAAGCTTTCACCAAGCTTTCCCTAAGCTTTTAGGTGTCTCCCCTGGAGGGGACCGCTGCTGCTGGCAGATACCAGAGCTTGCCTGGAAGGATGGAGCTTTTTTCCTGAACTGCCAAAGTTCACTGCTGGCTTCTAGCACCATATTGGCACATCACATTCACTCATTTTCCTATGTTCTCAATAAAATATCTGCACGTAAAGAATTTATAAGACAAAAAGCTACATTCTTTGAATTTTATCTTTACTTGTGTAGCAAAAGATGCTGAGAAAAGTGACTTGAAGTCTTCTGACTTTTTCCTTCTAGGTTGTTTTTTTTTTTTTTTTTTTTTTTTTTTTTGAGACAAAACTCCAGCCTGGGAGCTTTGTCTCCCAGGCTGGAGTGCAGTGGCACGATCTCAGCTCACTGCAAGCTCCGCCTCCCCGGTTCAGGCCATTCTGCTGCCTGCCTCACTCTCCCCAGTAGCTGGGACTACAGGTGCCTGCCACCATGCCCAGCTAATTCTTTTGTATTTTTAATAGAGACGGGGTTTCACTGTGTTAGCCACGATGGTCTCGATCTCCTGACCTCGTGATCCACCTGCCTCGGCCTCCCAAAGTGCTGGGATTACAGGCGCGAGCCGCCATGCCCGGCCTTGCCTTCTAGGTTTTTGTGTCACCTCCTTGCTTCCTGTTTGGAATGGATCCTCCCCCTCCTTTACATATTTTACTTTTTTTTTTTTTTTTAAGTTCAAGTAGTCGCTGTCTGATACTAAACCATCTCAGAGGTCATGTCAAGAGAAAGAAAGGTTAATAAACAAAAATTTAGGGAAGCGGGCTTTATAAAAAGTAATGACCTTGCTCTTGGGAGATATTTTGTGGTTTGAAAAAAAGTGATTATGGTGAAGATTTTCAACATGTATGTTCATTTTCCTTGGTAATAACCTTTCCTTGATAGAGCTATCATGGTAGCCTGCTATCAATGTGATCCTAAGTGCTTGAATTTTGAATGCTCTGGAAGATCAGAATTTCTGCCCTTAAGCAATTGACAAATAAAAATGAACCTGAGTAGGCATGGAGGGACTATTATACTTAGCATTAAAAATAAACTTATCTAGGAGAGAAAAAAGAATAGCATTCCACTTACATTTGAAGTAAGGGCATCTCAAGGATGATGAAGGATCACTATTTTTCAAAGCCAGAGGATTCCAGGCTAGGTTGCAGTAATTAATAGGATGTAATATATGAAATGGACAAAACATGATCAATGTTTAATTTCCAAGTCCTAATTCAAAGTTGTGTTCCTGGACAATTCGGTGGCTGTCTTCCATGTGGTGATTCAGGGATCCAGGCTTCTTCCCCACTGTGGTTCCACTGCCCCTGTGGCCTCATTGACTGCACCTAGTTGGCACAAGTGGAAAGATAGCATGAGGAGGCACAGCTACTTCCTTAAAGATTTTGCTGATAAGAGGCAGATGTTCTTTCTGCTCACATTCCATTGGCTAGAACTCAGTCATCATTTCATACCTAATTACAAAGTAGGTGGAGAAATTGTGGCCCAGATGAGTGCCCACAAAAAAGAGAAGCAGACTCTGGTGACCAGCCAGCATCCCAGCCACAGAAACTATGTAGGTGAGGGTTTGCAAGTGGTTGACCCACAACCCACATTTGCCTTGCTGGTATAGTTCCTTTGGCCAGCACAGTGCTTATAGAATTTTAAAACTGTAGCAAGCCCCAAAAGATCAGGACATTTTGCATAAGATGTGGCCCTCTCAGGTGTGGCCTTTTTTGAAACCTTTGACAGTCTGACAGTGTTAATCCCCCTTTTTTATTTGCCACTCTAGCCTAGAATTGAACAGCAACTCTACCTTCAAAGGGAGCATGCACTTCTTTTGTTTGCCACAGTTCTGGCCACTTCCTGTCACCCCCCACTCTTACTCTCCAGCCATGAAAGCCAAGTATCATTTGCCATTTATCATCTTACACCAGGGCTCCTCTCTAATTTTCATTAACTGTGAGACTCCAGGATTGGAAACCAGAGCACTGATAATACCCTTTCTCTCCCTTTTCCTGTCCCTCTCCCTCTTCCCCTTTCTCCTCCTGCCTCCTCCGTCCCTCTCTCATTATACCACAGGAGTTAAGGGACACATGTTGCTTTGAAACTGAGGATGAATAAATAATAGTTTTGTTCGTTAAGAAATATTTCAATGAGTTTATAGAATTACAAATGCTACTGGAAGGAAAGAAGACAAAGAGGAAGGCAGGGAGGGAGGGCAGAAAGGAAAGAGGAGAATAAAGGAAACAGTGAAGGGAATGCCTTCTATGCTTTTGAGAAAAGCTCCTAGATCTCTGCATAAAAATGTGGCTGCCTTTTGCATGAATATGTTTCATAATCCCTATTCTGTTTGATCTAAAATTTATAATTGCAAATGGGATCTTTATCCTCTAAAACCAAAGGGCAGGGATATATGTTTCTTTTTGAGACAATTGTTACTTGGATTCTATACATATCCAAGGTAAACCAGATGGGAAGTGGTAAAAGATGCAAGATAAAGTGGTGATCTAAGAAAAAAATGTTTCCCTTCTGATTGAGAAGGCTGTTCATAGTGATTGATGAAGTTACTGCACTAGCTATGCACTGAGTTTCCAGGTAGTGACTGGGCACTTGCTCTTCTATTTTGCAACGAAGTATCAGAGAAAGCTAGGATCTGGAGGCAACCAGAAATGGACTCATTCATTGACCTGGTAGGAAGAGTCAATGAAGCCATCTCCTTTACAACCCAGAGGCCTGGGAAAAGCAAACTGATTATTTGTGGTGATTAAAAGAGAAAAACAAATCAGGAACTGGAGCTTGCAGTTGCTTTGGATCCAGTTATTGCTTGAGTTGTAAAATGGAGGATAAATTCAGGGAAAGCAGTGTCTCCAGCTAAGGGCTGTCACTGAGTTAATCCTCTCATCCTGTGTGTAGGGGTCTCAATGGCAACACAGTGTTAGCCTTTTTCCATTTACCGAGCCGTGTTGTCAGAGCCCCATTGCAGTAAGTGGTTGGGCATCACTGTTGTCATGGGCATCACTGTGCTCAAGGCATCTGAGGTTCTAAAGGTGAAGGCAGTGGTTTCAATCCTTGCTAGGGAGGCATTTGAAAACACGGATTCTAAACTGAAATCTCAAGCCTGTTGTGTGAGAATTACAGGGTGGCAGGCAGAAGAATCTGAATTTTTGTCAAGTGATCATTACACAGACAACTTGGTATGGGTCTGACCGTCTGCATCTGAGAACCGCCAGCTGAGTGACTGCCTACAGATAAATAGGTAAGAAGGAGCAGAGCAACGATTCAAACCCAGCTGGCTCTTTTACCTCAGATTGAGGTCGTCCTACTAGATCCAACCCATGCTACTAATGTTGGATAACAAAGAAAGCAAGAGAAGAAACTCATATTTGTTGAGGGCCTGTTGTGCTAAGGTGCTTTTTGCATGTTTTATTTCATCCTGTGCTAATACTGTGTGGTGAGTATTTTCAGTTCCCATTTTACAGATCAAGGTACTGAGGCTAAGAGAGGTTCAGTCCCATACTTATGGCCTCATGGTTTTATTTTATGGAAGGGTAGAATAAGATTGAAATCCAGGTCCTTAGTAGGGTGCTTTGCCCCTACACCAATGTTATGCAAGTATTTGTCTAGATTTTTGCATTCTCGTTCTTACTCTAAATGAAGACTTGTGTAAAACTTGACTTCAAATTTTATCCTTATTGATGAAATTAATAATTATATTAGTAGTAGGGAAAGCAAAATTGAACAGAAGAGGAGGCTTCCATTTTATGCTTATAGAGACCCAAGCTATTGGTCTACGAAGCCATAATCAAAACTTAGTCATCTCCCACCTTGCTTATCAAAGTGTAGTCCCAGGAGAGCAGAATTTGCATCACCTGGGAGCCTGATAGAAATGTAAGCTATTAAGCGTCACCCCAGACCTACTGACCCAGAATCTGCATTCTAACAAAATCCCTCGGTGATTCCTATACACATAAAGTTTGAGAAGCATTGTTCTACCCAACAGCTGTTGGAAGACAGATACCTTACAGAGAAATAAATAGGCTCTTGGTGTTGTCCCTGCCAATGCAAATATATGAAGTGCTGGTTGACAGAGCATGAGCCTTGGCTTCAGCCCAGCAGATGGTTTGTAGATAGAACTACGGGTACCAATACATAAAATAAAATGTTTGAGTTGGTCGCTTTCGTGGAGTTGTTAGTATATTTATTTAACTTATGATGTCACGGTTAAAGAGCTAGAATTGGGTCTGTTTAGCTTAGAACATAAAAACATACAGCAAATCCTTCTTATGTATGGGTGCTTATCCAATGTGTTTTGATCATGAAGAGGTTTCTTGTTCAAGTTCAGTGGGGAGAATTTATAAACTGAATTTAAGGGTCTTGTCAGGCCATAGAGTCTATTTCACTTAAATGAGTTTCTTACTTTCTTATACATTGTTTATTGTTTCTCTGTCATTCATATCCCTTTCCTGATAACTCTTGGGCAGAATATTTCAATATTCAATGAACATTGAAAAGCTAAAAATAAAAATTAACCATTAGTCTTGATAGTTGCTAGGATCTTTGGGGTTTTTTTTTTTTGTACTTATACTAGGGTTTTGTTTGTTTTTTCCTTAAGCAATAATTATTGATTTGTTTTTATGAGGAATGTTCCCAGAGTGTGGCTTCAGATGAATCCGAGCAACAAAAATTACCTTGGCAAGTGATTTTGTGTATACTTATATTTTTTGGTCTGAGTAAGAAAAATCTACATTTCACCCAAAGCACACAGGATCTATTTCTGCATCAGCCAGATAATGAGACAGTAATTGGTGTGTAAGCCGTTCATTCTCCAAGTTTTCTCACGGGGCATAATTTGTCTCTTATTTGTCAGGGATGGGTTCTACGAAACAACACTCCTATTCATGATGGGCAGAGCAAATGTACGAAAACATTATCATAGCTGGGATTAATGGTCCACTATGGATTTATGTCAAGAATGTTAATGATTTGTTTATGAATAAGTGGGCCTGTCGCATGGTGAAACAGTAGCCTGCAGAACTGCTGAATGGACAGTTTGCTTGCAGAGGATTCTTGCAGGAAATAAATACTCTTGCCAGGCCTTTTGCATCTCTTAAGTAGCTACTGTGAATTGACTCTAAGATTTGAAATGGTGGCATTGACCTCCCCAAATCCTGTGATCCCTGCTGCTGATCTTGTAACTCTACATTTTGTTGACATAATATGGAGAAAGAATATCTTTTTAGGGTTGAATATAATTTGGGTTTTGTGTGTGTGTGTGTAAAAGGTGGTGAGAAAATAATAATTTAATTAAATCTCCCGCTGAGCAAAGTGCCCACGACCTCCACCCACCAGATTGTGTGTTCTTTTTGAAGTGTATTTTAATTTGTGGAAGATGTGAATTTGCGGCAGGTTTTAATTGGTAGATAAAAGTGTTAATTATTGCCAAGTAGAGTCTAGGAAATGAAAAATAAATCAAGATTACTTAGTGATTCATACATGTACACATATACAGATGGAAAGATACACAGGTAGATAGCTGTAAAAAATATAGTATGTGTGTGTTTGTGTGTGTATGTAGTATGTGTGTGTATGTAGTATGTATGTGTGATTGTGTGTGTGTAGCATGTGTGCATGTGTCTGTGTAGGTTGGCTGTATAAATGTTTAGGATGCAATTTAATGATGTGTATTCTAGCTACTTTTTAAACATTTATGTTTTCAGGAAGGATGATGTTGACTTTCTCTTGAGAAGAGATTTAAAGTTAAATGTTATTCTATTTATGTAGAAAAACATTACCTTCTTCTTTTCACTTTGGGATAGAATTAGCTAAGTCAAGTTTTTCTTGAATTTCATCCAAAAGGTCTTAATAACGTAAATACCAAAGTCATTTTTTTGTAAAGTTCTAGTTCTCATTGTAATCTGAGAAGTTTCACACCATAAATCTGACCTAGAGAATAGTAGCATTAGGCTCCTGGATAATCAGGAAAAAATATATATTCGTTTAATAACAATGACCTCTGCATGCATTCACTGAAGACCACCCGTACCACCCATAATGATTCATTCACTTGATCTTTATAGCAGTCCTCACTGTTCTGAGGTTACAAAGCCACAGGTTGAGCCCCGCATCAGGACCATTTGGGTCCAGATCTCATGATCATTCCGTTGTACAGTATACAGCAGGATCAAAGCCTGTGTGACCTCACCCGTCGTGTTTTCTCCTCTTGTCTAAATTGCCCTCATGATTCTCTAGGTAGGTGGACAAACTAATCAAATACTATTGAAACAAAATGGTGGGCACAGATGGCCTTGCAGGGATCAGAGAACTCCTTGACAAGATGTGAAAATCTTGTATGAATTTTGTGCTTTTTGGGTTTTATCTGATTCTTCAAGAGGTCAGTGATCCCTGCAAAGATCATTTTACCATGTTTCAAACTATTAACTTAGTATATGTCTAATCATACTAGAGTGGATTAAGATGTGTTTTTTCACCATTATCATCATCATTTTTTGTATGTAGTACACATAATTCTGAAGTTGAGAAACTAATGTTCCTAAGTACTCATTTAAAAGTCACTCTCATTTCTTGCTTGTCACGCTCTCTATAAACTATAGTTTCCTCCCCTGATCAGCAGCTCTAGCAATAAACAACAGATAAATAGACTTGACCTCCTCTTGCCATTTTAAAGTTCATTAGCTGTAGAAGGGACTGAGTTCAGGCATGGTGTGTATTGATCAGGGTTCTTCCAGCATTAAGAGAGAAACAAGTTTAGTTTGCCAAATTTTCAGCTCTATTAAATTTCATTTTAATACTGTAATAAACCTCAGTAAGGTTTATTACATTAGACCTATGGGTCTAATAGGTCTAAATAGGTCTAATGGTCTAAACATTAGACCATTACAATAAGGTCCAGTTATCATTAAGCAAACAGTTGGATTTGGCATAGAGTTGTCAGCAGAGACTCATTAAAATGAAATCTGAAGGTAATATGTTGAACATCTACCATGCACAAGGCATTAGTCTCCATGCTTGGAGAAGGGAAGATGTGCAAAGCCTTGGCCAAATGCTTAAGGAGCTGGGTATGTCCACCTGTGTGTAGATGGTGATCATGACTCACCTGTGTGCAGACTACTTCATATTCTGCTGCTCACATTTCCGTCCCTTGAATTTTGATACAATAAACATTTCAAGGTAAGAACACTTGACTCTAAATGCTAGATTACAGTAGTATAGCATATTGTTGCTGGTAGAGAAGGTATATGAAATTATATCATTTATTTTTCTTATACAGTAAGTCTTCACTTAACATTGTCAATGGATTCTTGGAAACTGTGACTTTAAGTGAAATGATGTATAGTAAAACCATTTTTTTTCTCATCAATGTTATAAAGAAAAGTTGTTAAAGAAAACAATGCTGCTTGAGGACCTGCTGTATGTTTCGCTTAAAGTTGCAGTTTTCAAGAGCCTATTGATGACATTAGGTGAAGACTTACTATACTTTATTAATATATTTTGGCTTAAGGATTTCCTTCCCCCATCCCCTTTGTAGATATAACTCTAATAATATTGACTGCCAATGAGAGCTGAACACTGATCCTATTACTTTGTAGCCCTACCGTCTATATCAGGAATGTTTTACTTGGAGTCTATCAACTTCAAGGACACTGGCTCTCAAGTACTGGTATTCACTAGAATCACCAGGCGTTTTGTAAAAAGTGGAGATGTCTTTCTCCTACTGAATGATCTTCTTTTGTAACCGGTACCCCAAAGGACTCTGATACTGAATTGGCTGGCTATGTATATGGACTTCAAAGAGACATGAGCAGAAACCCCTGAAACTGTTTTCTAAATCTGAATTGTGCTTATTTTCTGAGGAGAGGATCCATGGTTTTGTTTAGATTTCTAAAGAGGCCTGAAATCCAAAAAGAATTTATGAATCACTGTTCTTAGGATGGAATGAAGGACATTAATGGTAACCATATATCTGTTATTCTGAGCTCTGGAGATAAATGGATTAATTCACAGACAGTGTGATGAAATCCTATTGTAATTGGAACACTATTAAAGTAAACCATTTCCGCTTACAAGCTTATAAAAAGTACTGCTTTTGAAATGCCATTTTATGTACTTTGTCAGTATTACTTAAAAGTGATAATAATAGTTGATGACCAGGTGACAGGAAGATTTAGCTTATATTATATATATGCAGAAGTACATTATTTATGCCTTACCTGAGGCTGGTATGGTGGAATCTGAAAGTATCTTGTGAACAGTACATCAGGCAACTGGAGTACTCTTTCAGTTAGCCATCCCAGTACAATGCTCCTGGAAGTTTTCAGCTCATGCCAAACCCCTTACCTGCCATTCATTCTATAGGAATGGAATGGTAAGCAGGCATTGATAACTCAGGTCAGACATGGTGCAAGTATAAATAAAATAATGATGTTATCAAAGTAATTGACTTGAATTCCAAGAAAAATTCTTTAAGACTCAATGAGAGGAGTGAATAAAAGGCAAATCGATGCCCGCCCTGGATTCATAGCTTCTTCAGTTCCCTAAAACTTCTTGATAATGAGGACATTTTGCAGAGTAGCGATAAGAACCTCATATTCTTCAGACGTGTTTTGTTACACTTCCAGACGGTCAAATTAGTGGGTAGTTTTTCTTTAGGGATTACGTGTGCTTTTCTCTTTAAGAAATGTTTGACAATTGATTCCCAGAATTGTGAGAGTTTTCTCTGTGAGTGAAGAAATACTTTAAAAAAATATTTTAAAAACACAATTTAAATACTAGCTTCACTTCTATTTCTTTTCACATAATAGGTGGCAGGAGGAAAGCCTAGGCCTAAAAAATATTGTGGGAGCCATAGGAATGTGGCTTTGGCTGGTTGAGACATGAAGAATTTTTATCTTCACAGCCAGAAAGAAAAAAAATGCCATGGAAGCCAAAGTGAATATGGTTTATTATAAGGAAAATGCGAATAAAAACTTTAGTGAGATACTACCCGACACCTATTGGGAAGCCTACTAATAAGAACCAGAAGTAAGTATTGGTGGTAAGAATGTAGAGGAATTGGAAACCTGATGCACTGTTGGTGGGAATGTAAAATGATGCAACTGCTGTGGAAAGCAGCGTGGCAGTTCCTCAAAAAACTAAAAATAGGGTTACCATATGATCCGGCAATTTCACATCTGGATATGTACACGAAAGAATCGAAAGCTGGATCTCAAAGAAATACTTGTATACCCGTGTTCATAGCAGTATTATTTACAATAGCCAAAGCATGGAAGCAACCCAGGTGTCCATTGACAGGTGAAAGGATAAGCAAAATGTGGTAAATCCATACAGTGGACTACCCTTCAGCCTTAAACAGGAAGGGAATTCTGACACATGCCACGACATGGATGAACCTTGAGGGCATTATGCTAAGGGAAATAAAGAAGACAGTCACAAAAGAACAAGTATGTGTCCACTTTTCTGAAGTTCTTACAGTGGTCAAAAGCCTAAAGATAGAAAGCGGAATGATGGTGTTAGGAGTTAGGGAGAGGGAGAAAACGGGAGTTTTTGTTTAATAAGCATAGCGTTTCAGTTTGGGAAGATGAACAGTTCTGGAGATGGTTGGTGGTAATAGTTACACAACAATTTGAATGTACTTAATACCACTGAACTGTACACTGAAAAATGGTGAAGATATTAAATTTTAAGTTATTTGTATTTTACCATAATAAAAGAAATAGAAAAAGGGAAGATGATTTAGAGGTTTTCACACAGTTTTAAAAAATGGCTTTCCTAGTTTTGGTTTGAACATGGTGGTATTTTCATAGTGAGAGGCTTCATGGTATCGAAGCATATCAGAAAGAGAGCAAAACCCAATTCAGACTCTCCTGTTAATGCGTTGGTGTCCATTCTGCATTGTGTTCTCCATACATACATACATGGGCACCCACATGCCTTCACACAGCAGGGAACAGGTGAGGCATTCCCCTTTGTGACCTGCTCATTTGACTTAGGATGTATCATTTCATGTAATTCCATGATAATATGCTTAGCTTTCTATTTGCCTGTTTAATGACTGGGAAGGAATTGAAGAGATTATTAAACGTTTCTGTGAAAATCATGTCATTCTAGTGGTGGAGGTAAATTAAATCATGAAAAACAAGAGCAACATGGTTGAAAGCCCTAGATGGAAGAAGATGGAGGTGCTGGGTAGACAGGTAGCGTAGTGGGAGCTCAGTGGTTGGGAGGAAGAGACATTTTCCTTTTCTCCGACAAGCTGCCAGTGTAGTGGGGGTGGCAGATACAGTTGCTCACAATTATGCTACCGTGGGATATATGATACATGGAGATTTGACCAGCATCTCAACAGCTAACTCAACAGGCAGAGGAGGGTTCCTTTATAGTGGCTAAATGGCATGGGGCCCGTATTAATGTTACTTCAGCCACATACTGTTTTTTCAGTGCCTTTTTGGTCAAAGCAAAACAAACTATTGGGATGCACTCCCCCCAAGCAATTCTCTGTATACATTCACTTGATTGGCTCCTCTGAAGAATAGAGAGGCAAAGCGATGTGCCTACCTGAGAACCTGAGAAGGAATTCTAGTATTAATGGCAAAAACCACAATTACTTTTGCACCAACCAAATAACTCCTCAGATGGCCATGGCCTCCCTTCCTGTTGGACCTAGGATGAGTCGGGGGAGTGCAGCAGCGGAGTCATCACTTAGTTCAATAGCCTCACAAACGAACCAAATTGCCTTCTTCAAGTTCTCTTAGTGCCGGAACCTGTGCTTCTTTCAGAACAAGGAGAAGAAGGCATGAGTTTCAAGTTGACCTACTGAAAGTCTTGATGTGAAATACAATTATTAGCAATTGTTAAAATTATTAAAAGTATCTGTATATGCACACACACATATATGTAGAAACTTTTTGTTATTTGATTTCAAAATTAAATTTCTTTGCTATATGTGTTTCATTATACAGACAAGCTCTGACTTGCAGAATTCTCAAATATTCTTGAAAACTGTTGGGATAGATTGGGTTATATATATGTGTGTGTGTATATATATATGTGTGTGTGTGTGTGTATGTGTATATATATATATATATATATATATAAATTAGATATTTCCCATTTGTCTTGAAGACATATATATTCCATGGAACATTAAGCAGCTTCCTTTAAATGCAATCATGGAGATAGTTTATAGATTTCATAAATCCAATGCTTCCTAGTTTAAGGAAATATCCTCTAATTCACCTCAGTTTTATTTTATGTGTGTTCTTATTATTTGAAAAAAGATAGTTTTGTTCTTTTGCTGTAGCCACCACAATAAGGCACATTTATTAAAAGTTGGCCACGGGCCAGATACTGCTCTAGGTACTAGAACAATGGTACCCATCCAACTGTGGTGGAGAATGAGAGAGTTCTTGCTCTCTGGGTGATGAGAGAGCCCTTCCCATGGTGGAAGGCATACAATAAATATACCAACAAAAATTAAAATCAAATACCACGTAATATAATATAGTATAACAACATAACATCAGTTGGTACTAGTATTGGGTAGAAGATAAAAAGAAAGCAACGTGATACTTGCTGGGGGCAGTTTCAGCCCAGGAGAAGGAAGACCTTTCTGAGAAGGTGCTCATTGAAATATGGATGATGATAAGGAGGTTGTCTCAGGCATATTTGGGGTGGGGGTTACATTGCAGGTAGAAGGATCAGCACTGGCAAGGGTGTCAGTTTGGGAACAAGCTTGGCCACAGTATCTAGAACATTGTGAGGAAACAGAACAGAGGAGGAAAATGAGGTTAGAAAAGTCAGGAGTTAGACCTTGTTAGCCATGGTACGGAGTTTGGGATATTATCCCATGAGTGATGGGAAGCTGGTAGTGGATCTTAAAACAGAGTCGACATTATATAATCTGATCTTTCAGAAAGAACATCTCTGACTGTTGTTTTGGAGGACAGATTGTAGTCAACAAGAGTGGATGCAAGGAGGCCAGTTATGAGGCTATTGCACTTGGTTTAGAGACGAGATTATGGCTATAGCATGGGAGAAAGTAAGCAGTGGTTGCATTTGCAATATGTTTTGAATATAGACCCAGTAGGACTTATCAGTAGGTAAGGTGTAAACTCTCAGAGAGAGGAATCAAGGGCGTCTCCTAGAATTTTAGCTGAAACAAATAGCTGAATGGTGGTACCATTTACTGAGATGGGAAGGATTCCAGGGAAGAGATGGATGACATGGTTTTTGGAGAAAGAATGTGTATTCCATATGGGACATATCAATTTCAAGATCCTGATTCAGGTATCTAGTTAAAGACATGAAGAAGGCAAGTGTATACAGGAACCTGGATCACAGAGGATAGGTCTCATCTAGGCATATGTGTTTGAGAGTTATTGGAATATAGCTGGAATTTAAAGCCATAGATCAGGAGAGAGTGTGGGCAGAGGACAGAGCTCCTTCTGTACCAGAGACCTTGAAATGTGGACTATCGTATCAACTGCTTCTGAGGGTAGATGTTGAGAACAGATAATTGCCTTACAGTTGGTGAATGTTTGAAAGGTATTTATGTTACATACATAAATTCCAATTAAATTATGAAGTCTGTGCAAAAACCTCACGTGTTTTGTTTTGTATCTTTCTAGTACAACGGGAAAGACAATAAATTTCGGGAAGATTTTTCTATATAGTTTCCAGAAAAATATTTGTTTGAAAAGCTAAGACTGATTTCTCAAAGTGCCAATATTTTACAGCCTCCTGTTACTTTAAGCCTGAAAGCTATCAGCGGTTTTGTAATTAGTTGGATTTGCATCAAGAACTCAAAAAAGTTTTATTTGAGTTGTTCATTTTGCTACCACTACTTTAAAACTTTAGGTTTTGAGCCGGAATACTAATGTTAAATTGGTTGAGTTTTTCAGAGCATTGTCTTTGATGAATGCATTTGAATGAAATGCATTTGAAATGGTTGTAACATAGTCATAAAAGGAAAATTATGATGACCCAATAAATATCAACATTCCATTGCTTGAAGAATTTAAAAACATATACAGCCTCGGTAAGGTATTGGTGTCGTCATTCACCATGCTGTGAATCTCAGAAATAAAAGCAAGAGGGATTATATTGCTTTGACCTCAGTTAGGGTTTAGTAAGAAATTTTTACTTTATCCTGGTACCAATTTGTAATTGTTTACCACCCAATGTAGAACACTAAACATGCGTTATTTCTATAATATAATTATGCTGCATTTGAAGCGTATGATAAAAATTTTGTTTTTATCTGCACCTTAAAAAAAGAAATATGTGATTCATAATATGCGATTACATAAGATAGGTATAGAATAAACCTGAATTACTATTTTTAAGTGGTGCTATGTATAATGTATCTTCTCTTTTTGAGTTTATTAGAGTTAGATTAATATGATGATAATGCCCAGTGGTACTTCACTGGATAGAAGGTGTGATTTCCAGACTATGCTGTAACACAAAAAATACTGTCAAATTTTTTTTCTTCTCTTTAGGAATTTTATTACATTTTTTTCTTGCAAAGGTTTTATGTACCATCAAGGGTTATGAACTTTGATTTGGGTTATATCAATTAAGTTGCCACTATTACTTATATAATTCAAATTTGTGTGCCTTCATTTCTCAGTTATGGAAAGTGGCTTGTTAGTATCTCATAGTATTATTTGTTATTTCACCTTTGTATCCTAATGTGTTTTTTGTTGACTATTTTGATAGTATGTTATCTGGGGCATAAAAGGGCATGCTTGTTACAGTTTAATTGAAAATTTTGCCCTTTGTCAGTATACAGTGATAAATATGTTTGCCTTGTGTTCTACAGTTGATACTGTCTTACTTTTTTGTCTATATGCTTGTCCATTTATTTTTAGCTCATTGGTATACTAGTGTATCAATGCTACTTACTTACTTTAATGTTCTAATAGTAAGCCTTTAATAAAAGACAGATCTTTGTCTGCCCTAGGAAATGCATGTAACATACGTTCTTTCTAATCCTTACAAAAACATTCAGAGGTAAATATTATTAGTTCCAGTATTATGGATAAAAGAAGTGAGACCCAAAGCATAAATATGATGTGCACAGGATCAAGTAATTAATAATGATGGAGCTGGGGTTTTAAGCCAGGTCTGTCTGACCACAAAGTCTGCCCTGCATTCCCTGCAGGCAGTTTCATAAGCGATATGACACTGCATTACATGTAGCCCAGTCTGAGAAGCTTTAACAAGATAATTTGACTGATTTACATGCATTGTTGTAACTGATGTACTTAGAAACATTTTTATCATCTTATTTTGAGCTTTGTTGTTTTTATGATTTCTTATACTGCATGTTTTAATGAATTGTTTTTAATTTTGTTTTCTCCATTGATTTGGAAAGTATAGATAACTTTTAGTCATTAAAGCCATAGATTCTTTGATTATCTTTGAAAAATATTTTTGAAAAGGGATAACTTTTAGTCTTTGAAGGCATAGATTCTTTGATTATCTTTGAAAAATATGTTTGAAAAGGCTAACCTATATTTCTTTTATCAAGGTTAACAATGAAACTGTATGTTTTTTACTGCCTCTGAGTATAAAATAGAATATAATGAATTTCTTTTTCCTTCTCCCTCACTATTTTACAGTCTTTGAAAATGTAACTGAAGGGTTTTATAACCAGGTTATTATTACTGAGTTATGATTTTTAGATTCCATATAGTGTCTTTCAAGAAACAGTTTTGACTTTTACTTTTAGTGTTGTATACATATATTAGTAACTCTTTATATTCACCTCGATGTTTAACTGGTTTAGTGGTCAGTTCTCCTATATCACACTTTTACAATTCTTGGATTCTTAGTGTTGGTACTTCTCTCAGTTTGCATCGTTTAATACATTTATTAGAAAAGAATGAAATGTGGGTTCTATATATTCTGAGCATTTGCAGTCTATAAAAATGATGTGTTGGATGGATTCTTTGTTGTTTTGATTAAGACTCTGTAATGCTCTGAAAATGTAAAAAGACATAATCTCAGGGCTGTTCATTACAACACTGTATTAGCAAAAGCCTGGGAATATCTTACAACCCATAAGAAGGGGACTGATTTAGTAAACCATGAAACACTTTTTGTCTGTATGCTTGTCCATGTATATATGCTTGTCTATATGCTTGTCCATGTTCTAGGTATTGTGCAGTTATGAAAAAAATAATTATCTCTAGGACATATCACTAAGCTAAAAATTAACAAAGTAGGGAAGATTGTGTACAGTATCTATCACTGAGCTAAAAATTAACAAAGTAGGGAACATCGTGCACAGTATCCTAGTGTTTAAGGAAAAAATGACACAATATGAATGGAAAAATATGAATATATGTATGTATATGTATGTGTAATATGTGTATATGTGTTTATACATGTATGTATGCATGTTATGTATGTATATGTATATACATGTGTGTTTATATGTATGTGTGTATGTGCATGTGTGTGTGTGTATATATACTTCATTTATCTATGTATATGAAGGATAAACCATATGTATATGAAGAATAAAAAATGAGGTTTCAATGGGGGAAGGAAGGGACAGGGCAGAAGGGTAGAGGGGACTGGTATAGAAACTAGAATTTTCTAAATATAGCAAAATTTTGTGAAACCATGTAAATGTTTTCCATAATTAAAATTAAAGCAAAATACAATATATAATCTCTAAAACCTGAAATCAAGATTTAAACGATGCAGATAAATTTGTATTAATTTAATGATTCAACCTCATGGACAAGAATTATTTCAAGTAACTGTAAAACATTCACTGACTGTCATTAGTAAGATATAAACTAAAAACAAAGAAAAAATCCGCAAAGATATATTAAACTGCTTCGTAGTAATCATTTGCTTACAGTAATTTTTTTATAGCAATGAGATTGGCATTGTTATTTTGAGCTTTTTTCGGGTGTGTGTATGGGTATATATCTATACTATATACATGTACATTTGCATATGTATATATTTGTAATATAGGAATGTTAATTGTTTTATTCTAAAATATCCTATCAGGCAGTATTCTATCCTCTATTACTTATTTGCTTTATCCTGTGTGTACACACACTCACTCACATACATTAACCGATATGTATTGCATTCTGTTATATGTATTTCATATACATTATGAAATTTTTAAAAATAGGGATTATGTTCATTTTATTAAGGAACCTAGAGTTAATATGAAGCTCAGGATTAAAAGGACATTCTGTAATTCTAAATTTGATCTGGAAATATTTTTGTATTTAGTGTAATCTTATTGTATTTTCAATTTACATTCTCCTTAATTTAAAAATTCTGTTTCTTAGAGGTAATATCATCTTATGTGCTATTGAATTTGAAAATGATTTTTATTTTTTTTTAAGTTCTTGTAGTAATGATATGTGAAAGCTTGCCTCCACAGTAAGTCTTTAGAATGACATTGTCTTTCTCTTATTCTAGAATATTTTTCAAAGGCTCTGTGTTGGTTTCTTCTCTTTTTAAAAGAGAATTGCCTAAAATTCATAAGGATTGAGATAGTAATAAATCTTAGGTCTTCTGTTGCTTCAATCCAATTAGTTAATGGGGTTTTTTAACTGTGCATTTTTTTCTCTTCTGACTTTGAGATTAACTAGCCATCTAGAAATTATTTTTTGAAAACTCAGAAGGTTCAATATATCCTTGGAATAACTATGGGTCAATTCTAAACCCAGAACAACAAATTAAATTTAATTCCCTCCCAGAATTTTCATTAGGCTTTCTGAACCATAACTTGGTGGCAAGGGACTGGAGATTATTCTTGTTATACATGGGGTAATAAATTCTCTTTGACAATATCCCCCATTCTGCAGCTTCAATACCTCTTTGCATTATTGCTTGCCCTCTTGGGAAGCCATTTTGAAAATAACATATGGCTTTCCCCTTCATTTTGTGAAGCCAGTGTTTAATTTGGCTGGGAGCAAATTTTACTTGACATCAATTTTACTTGTTTTTCTTTCCGGATAAATTACTTTGAAAGGTCTTTTTTTTTTTTCCCAATAAGGCTACGATATAATTTTTATTAAGTACATACTATTAAGTATATATTATTTATTAATTATGTGTCATTTAAGTTCTTCACACACACATACTCTCTCACACACTCACACACACGACATAACAAATAGTAACAATAACAATAAAAATACAGCCCTCTTCTGTAATATCTTAGGGACTTGACTCACAAGAACAACAATATTGTCCTTTGTCTTTACATGTGGTCTGTGTGTGGTAGACTAACAATGCTTGAAAATTTGTTGCTACTTCTTCCATTTGGAGATGGAGTTTAACTCCACTCCTCTTGAATTTGGGTTGGCTTTAGTGACACGACTAACAGGATGTGGCAGAAGTGATTTTCTGAGACTGATGTTAGCTCAGAACAAGCCTTAGAGCAGCATCAGCTTCTTCCCAGACCTTTCGGAACCCAGCTCTCTGGAAGCTCTGAGCCACCATGAACAAAGTCTGACTATCCCAAGACCACTGGAAAAGGCATGGACAAGGGGTCTAGCCAAGAATCTCACTTGAACTCAGTCTTCAACCCATCCCTGCCAAGAGATTCAACTGTGAATGAAGTCATCTTAACTGGCCTGTCCACCAGCTGAATATCACCGGTTGATCCTGGTCAATACCTTGTGCAGTGAAAGAATCACCCAGCTGAGCCCTGCCCATATTCCTGATCCATTAAATCACAAGATAGAGTAAAATAAGGATGCTGCTTTAAGCCACTGAATGTTGGAGTAATTTATTATACAATAAGAGATAACCAAAATAGCATATCTATACTAATCTCTGAAGTGCCATTTGGATATGATGACTGAAACAGCACATTAAAGAAGCAGCATGGAATTAGGAGCTTGGACATTTATGTTCCGGTATTGTTCCTAATAACCTGTGTGGCTGAGAGCAAATTACCTTGTTTCTCTCAACTTTTTTTTTGGTTATAAAAGAGAATTGGCCTAGTAATAATAATAAGAATAAACCTCAATGCAATAAAACTAAACATTTATTGAACGCCATTGTGTCAGGTGCTGAAGTAAGACTTTTAATCCATTATCTAATTTAAACACCACATCATCCTTGTAAATTATAGGTATCACTATGATTATTACCAATTTAAAGATGGAAAAACAGGCTTGGAGATAGCAGGAACCTTCTCCTGTATGTTCCATAAGATACTTTTGTTGTTAACCTTCAGTCTTTGATTATTGGGTGTCTATGATTCTTCAAATTATTGCTTGTGAATTAGGATTTCCTTTTTGTGATAGCTCAATAATAATTTCTTTTTTATTGTTCCAAAATAAATTTTATAGTTATGAAGTAGGACAAAGTCAGTTACATAAAGAGATCACAAAGGTCTACAGTACAATTTATCCGGATACTCTTGATATGTTGGGACAGTAGAAGCAACCAGAAATGTCAAAAGGTTCTTCTTTTGGTCCCCAGTCAGGTTGTAAGGAAGTCATACTAGAAAGTGTAGGTGCACCTTACAAATGGGAACATACTAGTGACAACAGTTGACACATATTTTAAAGAAACAGATCTTGGCAGAGAGGATAAAAAAGGTACTCCTAGGACAACTGTCAAACCGTGTTGTGTATTGAAAGAGCTAGTCTTCCTCTTAATTACTGGCAAAAAGTAAATTGCCCTACATTTTCTGTATTTTTTTGGTTTGGCTTTCTTTTTTATACCCCCTATTTTCTTCTAATAATTTTTCTTTCCCTTTATACTTATATAGTGTGTGTTCATTATCACTTAAAAAAGAAGGAAGGAAGGAAGGAATAAAATAAATTAGGAAAACCACTAATATTAATTGGGTGCCTTTAATTTGTGCTTGCTATTTCAGGTTTAAATTTTTAAGCATTTAACATGTAAATATTTTAGATTGATTTGGTTTTCCCAAGCCACCTGGGTAGTAAAAGTGAAATTGGATTTGAATCCATTTTCTAAACCTGTTTGTGATACACAATATTCCTCACTATCTCTCATGAGCCTGCTCTTTAGTTGATGAGATTTATTTTACTTTAATTTGACTAACCAATTTTTAAAAAAATCTTAATCCAATTTAAGAGTGCTGATTCACATATTGCATAGCATTCCCTGGTGCTTTGAACCTGTTAATTTTTGTTGAAGTATTAAGAATGTCTAAATATAATCTCATGAATGAACTTGTGAGTGGATTGAAAAATACCCCTAATTCTTTTAGGGCTTAGTTGCAGGGTGTGTATTAGCTGCTGAACTCAAATTTATTCATGACGAAGATCTCTTTGAGGCACTGATGGATGTATCACTTCATGGTATCTATTGGGAAGCATTTTGTATATGGAATTGTGCTCTGTGCCATGCCAAGGGAGCCCTGAGAGAGGACCCTGGTTATATGAGCATTTCATTCCTTTCTCTTGAGAGAGGGTGTTGGCATCCTTAGAAGCTCCCTCTTTCCAGAGCACTGGGCCACGTGGCTGACTTGCTGGCTGCCTTCATTTGATACCTGTGAACACTTTCCTTTAGCCCACTTGTTCTCCATCGGTGGCGATTTGCCCTCCTCCCAAAAGACACATGACATTTTCTAAAGACAGCTGGGAGATTCAGCTGTCATCTAATGGGTAATGGCCAAGGATGCTGCTACACACCCAATACATCCAGGACGGTCCCTCAACAAAGAATTATGTGGCCCAAATTTCAGTAGTACTGAGGCTGAGAAACCCAACTCTGGTTTCCCAATCTTTTGTTTTCATTGTTGCTCCCCTAAAGATCCTTTTAGACATTTTTTCCCTAGTAACATACTCCTCAATGAAATGTTAATGTGCTTCATTATAATGGTTTATATACTGTTGTTTTATCTGTGGTTTACACATAAGAAAAATAATCGGTTATTTTAGCTATCAAGAACCAGTTTTTGCCTCTATGGGGGTGATGTGGTCCCTGTTGAGAGTGCATGTACCAGTGGATCTCCTTGGGAAGTGAGAGGCTTGTAAATAACCCAGCCCACAACAAATTGTTGAATGAGACAGAAAAAACAAACAAACAAAAAACAATAGAAAAAGAAAAAACCCAAGAAGAGCCGATATACCTAGGAAATTAGTAATGATGCTTGGAAGCAAAATGTCTGCCCAATATAGTATCAGCAGTCAACTATGAGCTGTAGATAGACCGATAAAACAGATTCTCAGTCTTTCTCCTGCCTCTCAACAGGCAGGCCCCCTGCCCTGGACTCTTCTTCTGCAGAAACAATCTATAGACAGGGACTTAATGTTCACATCCTCTCTCTCTGTGCCCGTCTCCTCTGTAGTTGATCAGTGGGTGACCATCTCTGTTTCCCCTAGTTCCTTCCAGGAGTCTTCAAGGATGCCTGTTCCATGTCTGGCTCATGCCAAATGCCAGGAATTCCATTGGGATAGACAGACTGGGTCCTGCCCCTCCTGCAGCCTGGGGTATAGCTCGGGGCTGGTTCAACTCTATCATTTGCATAATACAGTTGCCAGTGTTTTGATACCTTATGCCATCTCCACAATTTTTGTATAGCTGTATGGTAACTGAAATATTTACTCTCTCTTTTTATTAAATTGACACATCTTGTTAGGTAATACATTTATTTAAAAGGGAATATTTATGCCGTTGCCGTAGAGGGGAACCAACGTCACTTGCCATAACCAGAAGGAAACAATAAAAATGAATACAGTGGAAAAAAAGTTCATGAGCTGTTATTGCTTTCTGAGGGCTCTGAGCCTGGAGTCAGTAATCACTCAGCTTAAAAGGAAGATAAGTGTGTAAGAAAGGTGGTGAAAGTATACTGGCATCAAACTGAGGCTTTCTCACTGATACCGATATTAGCAATTTGAAAGATAATTCAAACGGGAATAACTTTCTCATTATTTAAGGGAGATGAATACTATATAATTCTGTATCTGTGGGCTAGATTAAATCATCTCATGCACCCCATGAGGCACTCCCACATTTTGGGAAACACTGGTAAGCTAAGTCCAGTTAACTCTCTGCCCCGCCCTTGCCTGCCCCTCGACTGTTCTGCGTTATGGATTATTATCAACAGTCAACTATGAGCCATTTGAGGCTTCTTTTTTTGGTTGTTGATGGAGTTTCACTCTTGTCGCCCAGGCTAGAGTGCAGTGGTGCAATCTCAGCTGACTGCAACCTCCGCCTCCCAGGTTCAAGCCATTCTCCTGCCTCTGCCTCCTGAGTAGCTGGGATTACAGGCGTCTGCTACTATGCCCAGCTATTTATTTTGTGTTTTTAGTAGAGATGGGGTTTCACCATGTTGGCCAGGCTGGTCTTGAACTCCTGTCTTCGGGTGATCCACCTGCCTTGGCCTCCCAAAGTGCTGGGATTACAGGCATGAGCCACTGCAGCCAGCCACCATTTGAGGTTTCTTATTTCTCTTTGGGCTCCTAGTGCCAAGCACCATGCTTGACACAGCCACAGTGTTTCTCTGCCACTTGCGTGATCTAATGGACCTGGGGCTGTGCATTGACCTCACATTGGCCCAGGTAGTGTGTAAATTGATTCTGCGTGACTTAGGGTTGGGTGCAGCTCCATGTGTGCATGCTTGGTGAGCAGAGGATTCAGTGGATTTCAGCCTCTACCTGCCCTTGACTGAAAGGCACTCTTTTGCAAGAACAATCTATACAACCACACCCAGCTGCTGTGTATGACGGTAAATGAGATGTGGTTAATAGACACGAAGAGAACTTTCACTTCACGAGTTCTTCTCATGATTTAAGGGTAACCTAAGAAGTTCAATTTTTTTCAGGCGTGCCTTTGATGTATTTATTCTCTTTGATCTGAGGAGCACTTAAGGAGCCGTTACCAGTAATTGTCATTGAGAAAAATTTAATACAGAAGAAAAACAGACTTTATATAGATATTTAAAAAGATGCTTACTAAAGACCAAGGAGATTTAAGGAGCAGCTAGTTCACATAATCATCTTATGCTGTAGAGTAAGGATCTAAAAATCAATATTTCTTTAACAGAACTGTGCTCTGAGTGGTGTTACCTTCCTTCTCTCTCTCTCTTTTTTTTTTTTTTTTGAGGTGGAGTTTCGCTCTTGTTGCCCAGGCTGGAGTGCAGTGGTACGATCTCAGCTCACTGCAACCTCCGCCTCCTGGGTTCAAGTGATTCTCCTGCTTCAGCCTCCCAAGTAGCTGGGATTACAGGCACCCGCCACCATGCCTGGCTAATTTTTTGTATTTTTAGTAGAGACAGGGTTTCACTATGTTGGCCAGGCTGGTCTCAAAGTCCTGACCTCAGGTGATCCACCCGCCTCAGCCTCCCAAAGTGCTGGGATTACAGGCGTGAGCTACCACTCCTGGCCTAACAGACACAATCTCTTCTGTTTCTTTTTTGGTTCTTTTTCTTCCTTCCACCAGTCACTCTCTTCCCCTTTCTTCCCCTTTCCTTCTCTCTTTTCTCTTTCTCTGCCTTTTCCTTTTTTAATTTTTTTTTCAGGGGAGAAGCAAATGCATCCCAAAGTCTTAAAAATCATGCAAATATTTGTCATGACACTGTTAGACCATAGCTGACCACCAAGAAATGAATGGAAGCCAGTTGGACAAGGTCAAAGCAGGATAGGTCAGAGTCAACTCTTTTAATGCCCCTGTTTTAAAGATGAAGAAACCTGGAGAGAATGAATGTCTTACCTCAGCCACACTGCTTTTTTTGTTTTGATGATGTGTATTTGTAATGTATAATTTGTGTCATGGATCAGAATTGATGAGGGTAACTATGGGTTTAAAAGTCAATAGGAATAAGTAGGGATAAGAATGTGAAGGGTAAACATATTCTCAGTGACACAGTGGTACCAGTCTGTATGTAATTCAGCAAATATTTTTGAGTCATTTCAGCGGATGATGAGGCTAAAGCCAGATTAGCATGGGTTTATGAGAGAGGGGCAAAAGGGATACTGGAGAAGAGGGTGAAGCAACTTTAAAACTGAGGTTTTCTATAGAGGGGATGGGAGAAATGGGAAAATAGCTGTGGTGGAGGAGAGATTAGGAGGTGTGGATTCGAAAGAGGATTTTTGTTTTGTTTTTAGCCAGGGGAAATTATAGCTTGTTTTATGCTCATGGAAATGATCCTGGAGAGAGGAAAACATAAATGAAATAAGGGAGTGATATGGTTTGGCCGTGTCCCCATCCAAATCTCATCTTGAATTCCCAGGTATTGTGGGAGGGACCAGTGGAAGGTAATTAAATCATCGTGGCTGGTCTTTCCTATGCTATTCTCGTGGTAGTGAGTAAGTCTCACATGATCTGATGGTTGTTATAAGGGGGGGGTTTCCTGCACAAGCTCTCTTTGCCTGCCGCCGTTCATGTAAGATGTGACTTGCACCTTCTTGCCTTCTGCCATGATTATGAGACCTCCCCAGCCATGTGGAACTGTAAGTCCAATTAAACCTCTTTCTTTTGTAAATTGCCCAGTCTCGGGTATGTCTTTATCAGCAGTGTGAAAATGGACTAATACAGTAAATTGGTACCAGGAGTGGGGTGCTGCTGAAAAGATACCCAAAAATGAGGAAGTGACTTTGGAACTGGGTAACAGGCAGAGGTTGGAACAGTTTGAAGGGCTCAGAAGAAGACAGGAAAATGTGGGAAAGTTTGGAACTTCCTAGAGGTTTGCTGAATGGCTTTGACAAAAATGCGGATAGTGATACGAACAATAAGGTCCAGGCTGAGATGGTCTCAGATGGAGATGAGGAACTTGTTGGGAACTGGAGCAAAGGTGACGCTTGCTATGTTTTAGTAAAGAGACTAGCAGCATTTTGCCCCTGCCCTAGAGATTTGTGGAACTTTGAACTTGAGAGAGATGATTTAGGGTATCTGGCAGAAGAATTTCTAAGCAGCAAAGCATTCAAGAGTTGACTTGGGTGCTGTTAAAGGCATTCAGCTTTAAAAGGGAAACAGAGCATAAAAGTTTGGAAAATTTGCAGCCTGACAATGCAATAGAAAAGGAAGTCCCATTTTCTGAGGAGAAATCCAAGCTGGCTGCAGAAATTTGCATAAGTAATGAGGAGCCAAAAGTTAGTCCCCAAGACAATGGGGAAAATGTCTCCAGGGCATGTCAGAGGTCTTCATCTCAGCCCCTTCCATCACAGGCCCAGAGGTCTAGGAGGAAAACATGTTGTTGTGGCTTGGGCCCAGGGTCACTGTGCTGTATGCAGCCTAGGGACTTGGTGCCCTGTGTCCTAGCCACTCCAGCTGTGACTGAAAGGGGCCAACATAGAGCTTGGGCTGTGGCTTCGGAGGGTGAAAGCCTCAAGCTTTAGCAGCTTCCACTCTGTGTTGAGCCTGCTAGTACACCAAAGTTTGCTATAGGAGCAGGGCTCTTATGGAGAACCTCTGCTAGGGCAGTGCAGAGAAGAAATGTGTGGTCAAAACCCCCACACAAAGTCCCTACTGGGGTGTCACCTAATGGAGCTCTGAGAAGAGGGCCACCATCCTCCAGACTCCAGAATGGTAGATCCACCGACAGCTTGTATCGTGCACCTGGAAAAGCAGCAGACACTCAATGCCAGCCCACTAAAGCAGGTAGGAGGGAGGCTGTGCCCTGCAAAGCCACAGGGGTGGAGCTGCCCAAGACCATAGGAACTCACCTTTTGCATCAGCATGACCTGGATGTGAGACATGGAGTCAAAGGAGGTCATTTTGGAGCTTTAAGATTTGACTACCCTGCTGGATTTCAGACTTGCATGGGGCATGTAGTCCCTTTGTTTTGGCCAATGTCTCCCATTTGGAATGGCTGTATGTATCAAATGCCTGTACCCTATTGTGTCTAGGAAGTAACTAACTTGCTTTTGATTTTACAGGCTCGTAGGCAGAAGGGACCTGACTTGTCTTGGATGAGACTTTGGACTATGGACTTTTGAGTTAGTGCTGAAATCAGTTAAGACTTTGGAGGACTGTTGGGAAGACATGATTGGTTTTGAAATGTGAGGACATGAGATTTGGGAGGGACCAGGGGTAGAATGATATGATTTGGCTATGTCCCCACCCAAAATCTCATCTTCAATTCCCACGTGTTGTGGGAGGGACCCAGTGGGAGGTAATTGAATCATGGGGGCAGTCTTTCCTGTGCTATTCTTGTGATAGTGAGTAAGTCTCATGAGATATGATGGTTATTATGAGGGGGAGTTTTCCTGCACAAGCTCTCTTTGCAGGATGCAAAGCTCTCTTTACATGAATGCCTGCTGCCATTCATGTAAGATGTGACTTACTCCTCTTTACCTTCCCCCATGATTGTGAGGCCTCCCCAGCCATGTATAACTGTAAGCCCAATTAAAACTCTTTTTTTCTGTAGATTGTCCAGTCTTGGGTATGTCTTTATCAGCAGCATGAAAACAGACTAATACAGGGGGAAAGACTTGCTGGAGCAGCATCCCTAAGTAGACAGGAGGGGATGGGATCAGTGTGCACATGGACCAATTGGCCATCCATAGGAGTATAGCGAGGGCATCTAGAGAAACATGAGGCAAGATGGAGTCTTGGCGGACAGATGCTGAGGGATGTGAGCTTAGAAAAGCTCTCTTCTGTGTGCATAAGTGTTTTCAGAGATAGGATGTGTGTTAGTTTCCTAGGCCTGCTATAGCAAAGTATCACAAACTGGGAGGCTGTATTAGGGTTCTCTGGGAAAACAGAACCAATAGAATATATATATATGGGATATATATAGGATATATATAGGATATATATGTAGGATATATATATATGGAGGATATATATATGTAGCATATATATAGGATATATAGTATACATATAGTATATATAGTGTATATATATGGGATATATATAGTATATATATAGTATATATATGGGATTTTATATATATAGGATATATATATGGGATACATATGTAGGATATATATGGGATACATATATAGGATACATATATGGGATACAATATGGGATATATACGGGATATATATACGGGATATATATATACGGGATATATATATACGGGATATATATATACGGGATATATATATATATACGGGATATATATATACGGGATATATATATATACGGGATATATATATACGGGATATATATATATACGGGATATATATATACGGGATATATATATATACGGGATATATATATACGGGATATATATATATACGGGATATATATATACGGGATATATATATATACGGGATATATATATACGGGATATATATATATACGGGATATATATATACGGGATATATATATATACGGGATATATATATACGGGATATATATATATATACGGGATATATATATACGGGATATATATATATACGGTATATATATATACGGGATATATATATACGGGCTATATATATACGGGCTATATATATATACGGGCTATATATATACGGGATAGATATATACGGGATAGATATATACGGGATAGATATATATGGGATATATATGTGTGATATATATATGGGATATATATATGGGATATATATACATGGGATATATATACATGGGATATATATATGGGATATATATATGGGATATATACATATGGGATATATACATATGGGATATATATACATGGGATATATATATGGGATATATATATGGGATATACATATGGGATATATACATATGGGATATATACATATGGGATATATACATATGGGATATACATATGGGATATACATATGGGATATACATATGGGATATACATATGGGATATATATATGGGATATACATATGGGATATATATATGGGATATATATATGGGATATATATATGGGATATATACATACATATGGGATATATATATGGGATATATACATACATATGGGATATATATATGGGATATATATAGGGGATATATATAGGGGATATATATAGGGGATATATATAGGGGATATATATATATATATATATATATATATATATAGAAAGAGAGAGAGTGAGGAGAGAGAGAAGGAGAGAGATTTATTATAAGGAATTGGCTTTGCAGTGATGGAGGCTGTGATATTAGAGATCTACAGTTGGCAAGCTGGAGACACAGGATAGCCAGTGATGTGGTTCCAGTCTGGGTCCAAAACCCTGGGAAGCAGAAATGATGGTAGGAGTTCTAGTCCAAAAGCCAGCGGTCTCAAAACCCAAGAAGAGCTGATGGTTCAGTGTGAGTCCAAAATCAGCAAAAGACTGATGTACCCACTCCAAGAGATTAGGAAGGAGGAATTTCCTCTTACTTGATGGAGAGTCAGCCCATTGGTTTTATTTAGGCCTTCAACTAATTGGATGAATCCCACCTACATTAGGAGAAGCAATCTGCTTTACTCAGTCTACCAATTCAAATGTGAGTCTCACCCAACACACCCTCATAGACACACTTAGAATAATGTTTGACCAAATACCTGGGCCCCATGGCCCAATTAAGGTGACACATTAAGTTAACTATCATGAGGGCTTAAAACAACAGAAATTGATTCTTTCACAGTTTGGGAGGCTGGAAGTCCCATATCCAGGTGTCAGCAGGGTTGGTTCCTAACGAAGAATCTGTTCCATACCTCTCCCTGGCTTCAGGGGGTTGCTGAAAACTTGGCTTGCATAATAGACACTTGCCTCCAGCCTCTGCGTCCATCTTCACATGGTGTACTCCCATGCGTCTCTGTGTTCAAATTTCTCTCTTCTCATAAAGACAGAAGTCATTGGGTTAGGGCCCATCCTTGCCCAGTATAACTTCACCTTAACTTGATTACATGTGCAAAGACCCTATTTCCAAATAAGGTCGCATCCATGAGTTCCATGGTTAGAACATCAAACACATTGGAAAACATAGTTCAACCTATAGCGGGAAGCAAAGCCCTCAGCTGAGAATGAGAATGGGGAAGAGGAGAAGGTATTAAACATTCATGTAAATGAGTGCATTAAGGGACTACAGTGAGAATGCTGAGCAGCCTGAACTGCCCACTTGGGGGTTAAGGCATGAAGTGTACGTTAACAGCCAGCTTGGTCATGTGGATTTCCCCAGACCTGGGCATAGATCCACAACTTGATCAGAAAGTGAGTTTTACATGGTTGATTTTCAAGAGAGCTGATGAAGTAGTCAATCAAAGTGTAGTGTATGAAAGGGAACTGTCATGATGATTGACCTTGGAAATTAAGCTGGGTAAGAAAGACCAAGGGACGTGAGAGGGCGAGTCACAGGGAACAGATGGCAGATGAATGGGCTGAGGTCCCTGTCTGGTTGAAGATGGTGGGAATCCGTGGCCTTCAGCTGAAAAACTAAAAGCTCATGGTCAGGGAGTTAGATGCTTAAAATGGAGCTGTGGACAAGTGACCTCTAAGTACCTAAGATTTTAAGTAAATTTCCTAAAATCACTCAACTGTTGTTCTAGGGAGGCTTTTTTTTAATACTTTAAAAAATATGTTTTATTTTGTAAGAGCAGTTTTAGGTTCTCAGCAAAATTGAGGTGGAAGGCATAGAAAGTTCCATATACTCTCTACCTCTTTCCTTCAAAACACACAGCCTCCCCCTTGATCAATGTCTCTCACCAGAGGACCAGAGGGGCACATTTGTTATGTTTCATGAACCTGCACTGATACATCATTAACACCCAGAGTCCATAGTTTACATTAGGGTTCACTCTTGCTGTTGTACTTCTATGAGTTTGGGCACATTTGTTTTGATAGGTATCCACCATTATTGTATCACACTCAGTAGTTACATTGCCCTAAAAATCCTTTGTGTTCTTCCTATTCATTCCTCCCTCCCTTCAAACCCCTGGCAACCACTAATCTTTATACTGTCTCCATAGTTTTGCTTTTTCCAGAATGTCTTATAATTGGAATCATACAGTATGTGGCCTTCTCAGATTGGCTTCACTCAGTAATATACATTTCACTTAGTAATATACATTTAAGTTTCTCTTTATTACTTTTAACTGTGCCATTCAATCTTATTGCTGGAGGCAATTCAGAGGGTTATTAATTTTCATTACAAAAAAGTAATCTGTTCATACTGGTGATGCTTTCTTAAGTCTTCATCACTTAAGTGAGAGACATCTCTGATAATGATAATGTCTACAAAGAGAAATAAAGCAGCATGTCATTTCTAGCTTTTCTATTGCAGTTAAATGGTTCAGAACTTCTAAATGTAAAATTAAGATGCTAAGGATATTGTAGTTATAAATTTGGATCTTTTGATTATCAGTAGAAAAGCCTTAGAGGAATATTTGGAGAAAAGGCTGATCAGTGTAATTTCCTGACTTCACTGTCATCTTGTATTATGTATAAGGTGGTAGTGAATCTGATTTCAAAAGATATTTGCTGATGGATAGCTTTGATCTTGCCGTTGATTCTCGTAAGATTCTCGTTGACATCTCATAGCCTGCAGAATATAGTATAGTTTTTTATGACCTGAGCTATATCTTTTTTTTTTTTCCAGCATCAACTTCTGCTGTTCACCTTTTTGGATTGTATATTTCAACCAAAGTAGACTCTTGCTGGTTCTCAAATACAACGTCTGCTTTCTGCCCCTGGGCTCTTTCTCCCTTCGGGGCCTCATCTGTTAGCATCCTGTTATCTCACCTGACCTTCAAGGCCGTGCTTAGAGGATTCCTCACTAATAAGGCTTCCCTTTAGTCCTGAGATTCTCCAACATTATCCCATATCAGAATTAGCTGGAGGGTGAAGGTGTGGGTTGCCCCTCCACACCTGTGGGCGTTTCTCGTTAGGTGGAACGAGAGACTTGGAAAAGAAAGAGACACAGAGACAAAGTGTAGAGAAAGAAAAATGAGCCGCGGGGAGAGTTCTCTTTTCTTTGTGAAGGGCAGGGTGCCCTGGAATGGGTTCGCCCCGAGAGAGGGGCCCGTGCCTTGGAAAGCGTCGCTGTTCTGGCGGCGTCCAGTGAAACAGCAGTTGAACACGGGTCAGTCGGTCCTGAGAGATGGGCGAGCGCCGTTCCGAAGGGACAGGCAATGGCCTCCCTTGCCCTCAGCGGATCGAAAGGGAGTCGGGTTCAGATCCCCGAATCCGGAGTGGCGGAGATGGGCGTAGTGGAGTTGATGGCATACGAAGACGCCAATCCTGAGTGTCAATCAGCCGTTAAGTCATTAAAAGGAAAGGTTCCCGCAGGCTCAGATGTAATCTCAGAGTATTTAAAAGCCTGTGATGGAATTGGAGGGGCAACCCACCCCTTCAGAGGGCTTGCTAGGTGGCAGGAGACCTGGCCTCATCCCCAGAGATTCTGATCCAGCAGGTCTGTGGTGGATCATGGAAACCTCCATTTCCAGTAAGTTCTCAGATGATGCTGATGCTGTGAATCCAGACTTTGAGAACTACCATGCTGAAGGTTTGAAATCTTTTTCTTAGTTACATTGACATTTTGAGACTTTTTTTTTCCTTCCTAAAGCTTCATTCTGTCACTGGAAGCATAATGTTAGCACATACTTATTAAGCGATAATTATTTATCAAATAATGTCTTCTATGCGCATACAGATATGCACTTTAGATGGATTACTAATTCCCAACTAACTGCAATATTTATAACACTTAAAATTATGTAGGACATAATTTAATCTTTGATGAGTCGACCAATATCTCTGTTCTGTGCATTGCCTAAGGTGTACCTTATAAACATCAATCACTTCTGGTACTCTAGAAAAAATTAGGTCACTTGAACTTTCTGCAAAGACTCATCAAGCAGAGGTTTAAAAGATGAAGGAGACTTCAGATTTGGGACCTGTATACGAAGTGCATGTGGTTGTAATTATTGGCATTTATTCGAACTACAGGAGATTTAGCCAGTCCCTTTGACTTGGCTCTTGTGTTGGTGCAGATTTGGTCTTGTGCTGGGTGGGGGATATGTCCAATGAGGGACTCAGTTGAGGACAAAAGGGACAAGGTGAGTCTGGGCAGATGGGCCTGTTTCTGAGCAGAGGTCCGTGTGGCCAAGGAGAGTCCAGCCTCTTTTTTGCTTCGTGCTGCTCAGTTCAGGGCTAAATCCAGGACAAACAAATGACCTACACGCAGCTGCCTTTGCTTAAATCAGCTCAGCAGACTGTGTTCTCAAACAGCTAGATAAAATCTGGCATTTACTTTGTATCTGGCGACCTTTGCTTTGAGGAGAGCTGCTTTTTTTTGTTGTTGTTGTTGGGAATCTTGCATGATTGGGTTTTATTATAATCTTGCATTAAAGGGCATATGCAATTTCCAATAGGTTAGTAATGAAAATGGTTCAGTCTTACTAAATGGACGCTATGAGCTCTTTTTAAATGGTATGAAAATTTGAGGGCATCTTTTACTTAAAACTTACTTTTGAGTAGTTTTTTTTCCTCCAAATTCTCTCTTTCTTTTTGGTGTTCCTGTTCATCACTCCATTTTAAGAGTGGGCTTTAGTGTTTTGAATGGGAAGCATTTTCCTAATGTGGTATAAGATTAGGAGCCAGAGGAACCCAGACATCCACTAACATCTTTAGAAGGGAATATACATGGAAGGGCTCTGTTTTCTGTAGGCTGGGTGGGCTGGGGGCTGATGGGAGCCATGGAGGTCCCTAGCCTGCAGGCTCTGTCTGCGAGGACTGGCCATTCTTTGGCCTCTGCTTGTGGGAAACCCAGGACTTTCACAGCTTCTCTGTATGAATGGGGAGGGGCACAGAGCCTCAGTATGAGGAGACACAGAATTGAGATCATGAGGGGTAAGATTTGTTGATGGTCTTGGGACCAAGAGGGGAGTGAAATTTGCACCTTCTCTTTTTAAACATTTGCAAACCAGAGGGGTGAGTAGTGAAAGAGTTAGTGGTTAAAGGGATCACATGCAATTTCTTTGGACTGAGTTTTCACATCTGACCTTTCCAGAGAGGATCTGGCTTTGGGTTGGGGCCTCACCCTGGGGTCAGCTCTGCTCTTCACATGGTCTCCATGTGTCCTCCGTCCTTCCTTCTCTTGACTTGTGCCCGGTGCATAGGGACGGTCCCACTTCCTTCTTCACATCTTTTTCTGATTCCTCCAGACCACAAGAGACACTTTCCGCCTCTGAAATGTCAGAGGATGTGTAGTCTCGATCACATAGTCTAGCTCTGTACAGAATTTGACACTTAATGGCAAAGGTTAATTTCAATATGGGTCATTTAAAATGCCTTTATAAATAATAAAATATATTTAATTGGATATAATTAGTAAACATTCAGAAGAAATGGACTTTTTTTTTATTGTGGCTTATTATAGAAAATGACCATAAAATTTATGGCACAGTGGCCAGGAGGATTAGAGTCACTGAGAAAGACTACAATCAAGATTAATGTTGGGACAATAAGATAATCACCAACAAAAGAATTATTACCTGTATTTTCTTTTTCTTAAAAAAAACTAATTGAAGAAAATAAGCTAAAATTTCTATATACACCTTTTTGATTAAGATGCCTTTTGACATGAGCTTACGGGGAGGTTTTTGTTAGACAACTGCTAACGCCTGCCAGGAGGGACACACCCAGGAGATGCCTGTCCTGAGCAGCTCACAGCACTGGCCTTCCCCACTGGGAAGTTTTGGTTCTGTTGTGGTCCCTCTCCTGAGGATAGAGAGCTCTGATGGGGAAATTGCAATTTAAATTCATGTTCGCCTCAAGTATGAAAGCTTCTATTTCTTTTCCTCAGCTTCTGATAAAATAAAAATATAGCAATAAGGGGATTTGATTAAAATAACTGGCTGACTATTTTTATTAAGTAGATGTACAGTTTAAGAAAGAGAAGGGAGTAAAAACTGCAGCCCCAGTCTCTGACTTGGGCCTGTAAGCTGCTGCTGGGGCTGACAGACACTCTGGAAAGAGGGGAAGGTTTGTCGGTGGGGAGACCCTGGAGGACAAGTGGCCCAGTTTGGGGCATTTTGATTTTGAGCTGCACACCTGTGGGCTCAGTTATTGAGCCTCTTTGTTCCTCAGTTTTGACCACTGTAAATGGGTTTAACCGTAGTTCCTACCTCAGAGCATTGTCGTGAGCATTTCCTGAGTCATTATACCTGACATAGCTCTGGAGGCGCAGCTCAATAGATGCTAGCCAAGAGAATGACTGACAATGATGATGATGATGATGATGATGATGAAAGATGCCAGGGGTTCAACTGGATAGTTGTTCCCCTAGTCTGTCTGATCAACATTTTTTCATATGAATCCTTTCCTTATCAGAAGTCTAAAACAACAATCTGTAGAATTCACCCATGAATAAATAAGTCACTCATGAAAATAAGTCACTTGGTGAGATGAGAGTGATGAAAGGCAGACATGTTGAAATCAGTGCAAATAAGGAGGGGGAGAAAAGAGATGTGATGAAGAATTGAGAGAATGAGAAAAGCAAAAGACAACGAAAAAAGAAAATAACAATAACAATTAATTATGTAGGAATAATTCACGTAACAATTATGGCTAACTTTGAAGCTCTTGCCTGATGTTGGGACCTGGGCTACCTGTTCTACTTATTTTACCCAGTTAATCCTTATGTAGCCCTGTGAAGTGCATGTATTATATATAATCGTCCCCATCTACAGATGAACAAACTGGGGCTTGGGAGGCGATATGGTTGGCTGTGTCCCTACTCAAATCTCATCTTGAATTGTAACTCCTACCATTCCCACGTGTTGTGAGAGGGGCTTGGTAGGAGGTAATTGAATCATGGGGGTGGGTCTTTACCATGCTATTCTTGTGGTAGTTAATAAGTCTCATGAGATCTGATGGCTTTCTAAAGGGGAATTTCCCTTCACAAGTTCTCTTCTCTTGTCTGCTGCCATGTGAGATGTACCTTTCACATTCTGCCATGATTGTGAGGCCTCCACAGCCACATGGACCTGTGAGTTCATTAAACCTCTTTCTTCTGTAAATTGCCCAGTCTTGGGTATGTCTATCAGCATGTGGAAATAGACTAATACAGGAAGTTAAGTTCACTTCCCAGGTCATGCATCTAGTAAGAGGTGGAACCAGGATTCAAATTCAGGCAACCCTTGCTGTTGTGGAAGAAATAGAGCTTCTTAAATTCTTTCTTCACCTACTGCTGGATTCTTTCTGGCCCACAGTAGATTTTTTGGCTTCCCTTTGTTAACTACATGGTGAAGGAGAAAGCATATGATGATGTCTGTCGTACAAATGAAATATTTGGGAGCATAGGGCTTATACAATGCCGTCTTCTTTTTCATGATAAGGTTGAAAAACAATATTAATGGCAACAGACAACATAGTAGATGTAGACATCCATCAAGAATTGTTGAAATCAGGCATGACTAATCTGCAGACTGTATGTTATAGGAAAAGATCTTGTATTTTTAAGTATCATCAGCATTGACTAGGGTTTTCAAAATTTGTAAGAATGTAAGGTTTTGAACTTGGAGGCCTGGTTCCCTAATAGAAACAATGTACAGCACAGGCTATATGGGGAATGCGTGCTGAATCCAGGGATTGAAAATCATATGCCCCCTGGGCAAAGTCAGCTGGGCATGTGACTATGAGCTGAGGCAAGCAGGGGAGCTCTGAGCCAAAAGGAACCAATTAATGGAGGCTTGCATGTGGACTTAGGGTTTGTTTACCGAGACCATTCACGGGTGGGAAGTCAAGTTTCCATATCCTTCTTGTTTATAATTCAATTTGCTAATCTTTTTTTGTTTTGTTTTGTTTTTTTTTTTTTAATTTTTGAAGGTTGTAGGAACTTTGGACTAAACTGTAGAAATCTAAATTTCATGAGCGTGTTGAATGCAGCTAAGGAAATATAAAGTTGTTCTACATTTACATGCTAAATATGCACCTGTTTCAAATTTGTAGCTTTGATAGATGTTACTTTTTGGAATAAGTGCAGGGAGCCTGTGTTGTACTTGAGGCAGATTATGGGAGGCAGCAGCCGTGGGGATGGTGAAGTCCATCACAGATCATTTGGACTGTAAAAAAACCTTTTCTAGTAACTGCGAATCTTAGTGTTGCGTAGTCTATGTTTAGGTTGATATTTAAATGTGGCGAATGGATGCAATGATAAGAAAGGGTCTTCTTTGTTTTACAGCAAAAGAGAGTTTGTTTAAAACCAGTGGTCCTCAAAAAGGGATTAGCATGGCATGGGCTGGGTGTGTAGGAGAATCACTTATTTTCTTCTCTCCCCCATCCCTCTTTGTATTGTCTTCCAGGATAGGGTGGGGCAGTTTGCCTGCCACTTGCATTTGAAAATGTTTTCACTTCATTCAGTTCTGGTCTGAACAATTCTTTTAGAGCAGCCTGTGTATTTTATTTATTATGATAAAGTATGTATTCAGTGTCTTCCTGATTCTTGGAAATACAAAAATGTTGTTCAGGGAGACTTGCAGTACTTTTTGTTTACAAGCTAATTGACTCATAAACAACAGCAGCCTTGCTTAAAATTTAAAAAATTGTATTTGACAAGCAAAGTATGACCTTGTGACTTTAATTAATGAATCAGTCACTTAAGAATTTCTTGTTTACTCAGTGTTTGCTCGGGTTTCTTGGTATTTGAACATAGTCAGAAACAGGGAACAGAGCTTGATTCAGACTGTGGTATGAGAATCTGTAGTGGACTTGCCGTGTGTGTGATTTAGTAGCTTTGTGTTGTGTCTGTGTCATGTTCTGATTATTTATTGCTTTATTACAAATCACTCCCAGAATTAGTTGCTCAAAAAAACAAGAACTTTTTTTCTGTTTGTAAATCTACAATTTGGACAGGGCTATGTGGGCCAGCAGGAACGGCTCAACTGGCACTAAAGGATCCACTTCAAGATGGCTTATTCCCATGGCTGGCAAGCTGGCAACTGGGCTGCCCTGTTTTCTCTCCATATACACCTCTCCTTGGGGATGTTTGAGCTTCCTCACAGCATGGCTGGATGCCAAGGCTTAGTGTTCAGCAAGTGGAAGCTGCCAGACTCTTAAGGGTTGAACTGAAAGGGACATAGACATCTCCTCTTGAGGTAGGAGTATCAAAGAAGTTGCAATCATTATTAATCTACAAGAGGCCAAATTGGACGGTTTACCTTTGCCTCTATGAGTTGTTCACTTTCATACCTTTTAGCATTTATCATAGTGTTTTATTTAAACCTGTACTCTCTTTCTTTTTTTTTTTTTTTTCTTCATGCATTTTCAGTGGGAGGAAGCTTGGTTCTGGGGTTGGGGAGGGGCAAAAAAAATCTCTGTACCATACAGCATAAATAGGTACACAGTATATCTGTGGTACTGACATTTTATGGGTTGGGGGAGGTAATGGGGACAGTCTAAAAAGGCCCATTGGGGGGTGATAATGTAAAAAATACTTGGGAAACATTGCTTTACTTCCAAGCCCAGATCTGTAGTCCTCTCTTCCATAATGCCTATCCCAGCCCAATCCCAGCAGTCAGAATTAATTGTTCACTTTACATTTACAACCATTTCATGTAATTCTGCATTGTATTTATGTTGGTTGTATAATGCTTCTTTCTCTTTCTACATTACCTGACCGTGAGCTCCGTAGGTACCTCTATCATCTACCCGTGGAATGTCCATAAACTACTTATTGAATTGAATTGAGATGGACTAAGGGAAAGTAAAGTTTTGTCTTTATCCCTCAGGCCTACCAAATTGCACACACAGCAAGTCCACTACAGATTCTTACACCACAGTCTGAATCAAGCTCTGTTCCCTGTTTCTGGCTATGTTTAAATACCAAGAAACCTGAGCAAACACTGAGTAAACAAGAAATTCTTAAGTTTGAGGTCTCCTGAGATAAGGAATTATGTGCAAGTAGCCTTTTGTGCATGCAGAAACACTGATGGAGGTCAGGGAAGTGGAGCAGGGAAGGGGAAGAGGCCAGTGAAGGTGCTCTCTCCTAGTTAGCTCTCAGGAGTGAGGTAAGTGGAGCTTAGTCCTGTGTGGAAATTCTCAGAAATGGAAACAACCACCCCTCCCCATCCCAACTCAGAGTTAAGCCACTTGCAGGGCCAGGGAGCTGAGGTGTTTATACTTTAACTCTGCTACTCATTGATTGAGAACTGGGGCTTCCAGGGGGTGTTAATTCCACTGCACTTTTCTCCCTTGGCTTTGGAAGAAGCTTCAGGGCACACCGAAGTGGGGAGGCCTGAGGGATAAGGGAAGAGCACTGATACTACCAGCTCTAGGCTTCCTTAGCACACGGTCTAAGAAATGTGATGACTGGCCTTTTATTTTGAAACAGGAAACTCTTATTTTCTCAATGTCAGTGTCCCTGGTTCAAGTTCAGCTCCATGAAGGCAGGAAACATGCCTGTCTTATTCAACACTGCATACTCAGTAGAGCGCATGACTCAGTATTAATAAGAAGATTAATGAATAGATGGCTGAATAACCCAGCAGTAGGATTTAAGAGGTAGGTTCTTTATTGTGTTTCAATTCAAAATAGATCAGAGCAGGTAAGACACAAGCTGGTAATGGAACTTGACAGATGTCAAGTGCTGTTTGCCTTCATGACTCTTAGAAAACAAACAGACCAAACACAAAGTAGAATTGTGCCTGGGAGTAGCCCGAACTGCTTATCGAAACCATTGGCATTTTGGTGACCATGCATCCTTGAGTCAATTCAGGTCCACTGAATTTGGACAGACCCCATGCTAGGTCCTACCCATGTAGGTTGATATCTAGTCCTGGGTTGTTTGGAATTATGTTGGGTTTAGGTGGAATGAAAACAAATAATGATTGGCAGTGGCTGGTGAAATATCTATGCTGAGGTGGACTCATGGAGAGCTCACATGGAGAGCTCCTTTCCTTTCTGTTTTGGGCTGAATAGTGTCTTCTGAGCCCCTTCAAAAAGTGCATTGAGGCCAGTGGTTCACGCCTGTAATCTCAGCACTTTGGGAGGCTGAGTTGGGTTGATCACTTGACATCAGGAGTTCGGCACCAGCCTGGCCAACATGGTGAAATCCCATCTCTACTAAAAATACAAAAAATCAGCCGGGCATGGTGGCACGCACTTGTAATCCCTGCTGCTCAGGAGGTTGAGGCAGGAGAATTGCTCGAACCCAGGAGGTGGAGGTTACAGTGAGCTGAGATTACGCCATTGCACTCCTGTCTGGGCAACAAGAGTGAAACTCTTGTCTCAAAACAAACAAAAACAAAAACAAACAAAATATTATGTTGAAGTCCCAATCCCCAGAGCCTCACAATATGATCTTATTTGGATATAAGGCCTTTACAGAGGTAATTAAGAGATTACAATGAGATCATTAGGGTGGGCCCTAATCAATATGACTGCTGTCCTTAGAAAAAAGGAAATTAAGACACAGAGATAGACGTGCACTGAGGAAAGAGGGTGTGAAGAAATGCAGGCCTAAGACAGCAAGTGATTGGGGCAATGCAGCTACAAGCCCAGGAATGCCAAAGGTTGCCAGCAGCACCAGAAGCCAGAAGAGACAAAGAAGCAGCCTCTCCTGGAGCCGTCAAAAAGAGCATGGCACTGTTGGAACCTTGATTTCAGACTTCTAGCCTCTAGAACTGTTAGACAATAACTCTGTTGTTTTAAACCACCTGGTTTTTGGTACTTTCTTATATATGCTTCATTGATCAATATTTCAAACTTGCCTGTGCATTCCCTCCGGTCAGGAATGACATTCCACCCTGAAACTATTTGGAGGAGGGTAGAGAGGTCCTTCTTCAGATGTTTGGACCTTTTAGCTGTTACTCAAAGAAAGTCACTTTCCTCATTGGAATGCTTTGACTTCTTTGCTAGGATCTGGCGGGAAGGAGCCCTTTCTGCTGTTGTAATTTGCTGAGACGAGCCTAGGCCATAACTCCTGTGCACAGCTCCCTATGATACTGCAGGCACAGAGCCCTTTCTGTCCAAGGAAAGTTGTATGATTTCAGTGGAACCAGTGTGGCCACTGTTAATCTTCATGGCTGAAGATTGTCAACATCCTGCAAAAGAGCATGGATATTTGACTCTGGATTTAGACCAGAGCTCATTGCAAGATGGTGTCCAGGTTGAAGCTATGGAGTTGATGGTAACCAGTAGTGGTATATAGTCAAGCAACAGAAGGGAGTGAGGCAAGATGTGAACAGTATGGCTTAGGCATGTGTTTAGTTTGAAGACATTGTTTTTAAATTCCAATGATATTTTTGTCACTCACCTATTCATTAATTTATTAATCAAATATACATTTAGGAGCTACTATGTGCCAGACATTTCGTAGGTAGTGAGGATACAAAGAAGAAACATCATCTAAACAATGTATTCAGGTGTTACAAATGCTATGAAAGTATGAATTATTGCACAAGGTACAGTTCAGGCATAAACAGAGAGAGGGGTTAGTTCTAGGTTGGGAGTTTCAGAAAAGCCTTTCTAGATATGATGATAATGCCCACAGAATATTAGAATTGCTGTCTCCCTAGATGTTGGAGATTAATTTTACTCTTTTTGTTTAACCTTCCTAAAGATAACGTGTAGAACAGATAAATTCTGTCCTCCATAGATGGCTTTGCGACATAATGCTGTCCACTGAGCTTTTATTGAAGTGAACTCTGGCTTGCCAAAGCTCTGGCATGTCACCTTCCTGACCACTTGAAGCCCTGGAATAAAATTATTTTTACTTTCTTCCCAAACTGCCAAGATGATGTTCAATCCTGCATCAACCAAAACATATTCCTGTAAGGAATTATGTCTAGCAAAAGTGAAATGAAAGCAAAACCAAATGTGCATGGACATAAATATGTGTGTGTTTATAACATGTACGTGCTATGTTCCGATGAGCGGGGTATTCACTCTGATACTGTCAAGCTGAGCACTTCCAATTGCAAATCAAGGTGCCCTTGGGCTATACTTGGGGACTGAATGAAGTCCCTTGGGACAAAATGAGAAACAGTCCCTGGATTCTTAAATTCATAACATTTGGTCTGGTTTCTAAATCTTACATTGTTTTGTCTGACTTCTTTCATTCTTTTGAAAGTATGTTTACTCTGTTTTGTTTTTATTCTCTGCTCTGTGTCCTCATTTATTACTTCGGAGGAAGATAAGCACTCAGGGCTGTTTCTCCCTCTGCACTTGGTTTGGGCAGGTTTTCAGAGGTTGCTTTGTGTTTCTTGCAGCACTCCCATGCGTGCGTGCATCAAAGACTGTCATGAAGAGGCGTCTACTTGATCTGTGCCTCATCTTCCATCTAATTACAAATCACTTACATTAAACTTTCCATAAAATGAAAACACATTTTTTTTAAATTGGTAGAAAATAAAAATTATCAAGAAGAGAGCAAAAGAGAAAAGAGAAAAAAATTATATTCAATTCCACAACCTGATAATAGCTGCTGTTAACACTTTTGTATATATGTTTTTACACATTTTTAAATGGTTGTCTATATTTAAATGGCAGAAAATAGGAGGGAAAAGAATAAAAATTTTTGTAAATGCGTGCATGTGCCAGTTACTCTTCTATGTACTTAATGTACATTGTGGGGGGAAATGTTGCAAGATGTTAGAGAATCTGGGCTCTGACGTTCAAATGCCTCAAAATGAATCTGCCCTGCTATTTTTAGAGTATTATTGGAAGGTAAATAACAACATCCTTGTAAAGTACCAGACAGTTGATGAGAAAGATATCTTTCACACTCATGTTGTCTCTCTCTGTCTCTCAAACACACACACATACACACACATATTTATATTAATTTTTCATGAAAGGTATTATTGGCCTTGTATTATTGGCAACCAAAGCTCAGGAAGTACATGCGACTTGGCCAAAGTCAAATGTTTGGATTTTCTGATTATAAAGGTTTCCGTTTCATAGTTCTAAGCGATGATGCAGCAGCTACCTTGTCAGCTCTTGACAGGGGTTCGGAAGTGATCTGGTATGGCATGCTGTCTTCAGAACTGAGCCAGTCACCAGATGTCTGGGGTTGTGAGTCTAGTTTTCTTTGAAGCGTGTGGCTCTGGATGACCTTGGACTCGTTGCTTCACTTCTCTGGGCTTTAGTTTCTTCATCTGTGAAATAAGGGAGTTTGTCTAAGTCATCTGGAACATTGCTTCTATTCTGAATATTCTGCAATTCTGGGTAGTTTTTCCTACAGAGAGTTGCAGGGTTCATGTTTCCACATTTATTTGTCAGGGAGGATAGGGTTAATATATCTGTAAGAGGAGATGTCTGAGAAGGCAGATAGGAAGCTGACCACAACCAGATAGTCAGTATTCATGAAAACGTAATTATCTGAGTTGGAAAGAGACAGCATTTGAGAGAAAGGACCTTAGGACCTTTGGAAATGATAAGTAATGCTAATGCCTATTTCAGAACATTTTATTTGTGTCTGCCAAACATATAGCATTCCTCAATGTATTAATTTTTAACTGATTAAAAATATGAATTTTACTACTAGTTTCTGCCTAGGATGTAGGAAGCTAGAGAAAGCATTGCTTTCATTTTACCAATAAGAAAAATCCATACCTTCTGAGCCTGTTTAAAAACTTAAAAAAGAAAAATGTAGATAATTTATACAATCATAACTTCTCTTGAACCCATCAAATCATGTACTATGATCTGGGATCATATAGTACATCCAACTAGACTGATATATAGAAAACAGGGGCTCCCAAAAGAGGCTACAAATGAATTCTGACTCACTCATGGCAAATCACAGGAAGACCATGGACTGCAATACAAAGGGGTAAGAAAAATCCAGCTAAAATTATTACATTTTTAAAAGTCAATTGTGGGCTAGCATGAGAGTGTAGAACCACTGGGAGCTGGATGCCCAAGGAGAGTTTATACTAACTCACAGGCTAGTATCAAGCAATTGCAGTCAGCCTTTGGAGACAAGGCAAGAGTGAGGAGAGGGACCTTCTCCTAGCCTCAGGAGTACAAAGAAAGCTGAGAGTAGCATAGGAATATTGAGGCAATAATGGATGATTACTTTTAAGCAAACCAGACTCCACCTTAAGGACAAGCTAATGCTAGAGAAATGGAAGCCTGTGGTAGAGCAATAAAACCCAAACTCAACCCAGTTCTAGACTAGATTGACTTGAAACCCCACAATAATTAACTTGGGCAGAAGAATGCAATGTAAAAATGCTATTTACCTTAGACTATATTGGACATGATGCTCGGCATTCAACCAAAATATATGAGACGCACACACACAGAAACAAGGAAAAAAAATTATTGTGAAGAGAAAAAGCTGTTGATAGAACCAGACTCTGAGTAGACTCAGATATGGAATTTAAAATAATGATGATTAATATTTAATATATCAAACACTATTGGAAAAGGTGGAAAGCATGCATGAACATATAGGGAATTTCAGCAAAGAGATAAAAACCATGTAAGAAACAGTCAGATGTAACTGCTGGGGAAAACAGTAACAATAGCAGAAACAATGACAACAAAGTAAAAGGGATGAAGAAGGCCTTTAATGAGCTTATTAGTAGATTCAGCACAGCCAGAGGAAAAATAAGTAAACTTGAATATAGGTCAAGAGAAATTACCCAAACTGAAATCCAAAAAGAAAAAAGAGTGTATAAAGTTAGAACAGACCATACAAGATTTGTGGGATACTATAAAATGGTCTAAAATATATGTAATTGAAAAGCCAGAAGGAGAAGAGAGAATGGGATGGAAGAACTATTGAAGACATAAAGGCTGAAAATTTTCCAAAAATAATGGAAGATATCAAACCACAGATCTATGGATTCAAGATAACACTAAACATGACAAATACTGAAACAAGCTATATAACTGGCTTCATTATATCCAAACAGTTGAAAACTAAAAATAAATAGAAAATCTTAAAAGCAGTCACAAACAAAAGACATATTACAAGGAACAAAATTAAGAATTATAACAGACTTCTTGTCGGAAACTAGAATATAACTTAGTCTACACTGGAATAGTAGCTGCATGATGCTAAAATATGAACACAAGTTAAATCTAAAGTTAGTTCTAAAAAGTATTATTTGAAAATGTACAAGTGATGTTTAACAACAATTAAAATAAAAATTCAAAAATTCAAAGACTACTTTCCATTTTTAAAACTTTTCATTTTAAAATAATGTTAGATTTCAATAGTGACAAAATAGTATAATTTTCAAGCGTCCCCAAATGATTAAATTTTGTATAATCATAGTAGAATAAAAACCAGGAAAGTAATATTGGTAAAATACTATTTTGTAATTTTAGGACCTGATTCATATTTTATCAGTTGTTCCACCAATGCTTTTTTATGAGGTATATGTCAATTTAAGATCATATATTGTATTTAGTAGTCATATCTCTTTAGTATTCTTTAATCTGGTCAGTTCTACTGCCATTCTCTGCCTTTTATAACTGTAACGTTTTTGAAGAGTTCTGGCCTGTTATTCTTGACAGTGTCTCTCAGTTTGGGTTTGTCTGTATTTTCTAATGATCACATTCAGGTTATGCATTTTTTGGCAGGACTACTACAGAAGTGGCGTTGTAACCTTCTCAGTATATTATATTTAGAGACAAGTTATGTCAATATTTCTCATTGTTAGAGATGGTTATTTTGGTCACTTAGTCAAGGTAATGTCTGCCAGGTTTTGCCAAAGTAAAGTTCTCTTTGTAAAATAATTATCTTCTGGAAAGATTCTTTGAGACAATATAAATATCTTCATTCTCATCATATTTAGCCCACTAATTTTAGCCTTAAACAATGATTCATGCCTGAAACATTGCTATAGTGTTTGCAATATGGTAACTTTAGATTTTGATAATTTCTTCTATATTTATAAAAGTATAACTTTACTGTAAGGATGAGTTTCTTCTTTCCTCCCTTCTTTCGTTTCTTCTTTTCTTCTTTCCCTTTCTTTCCTTCCTTCCTTTTCTCTCCCTTCCTTTCCTTTCCTTTCCTTCCCCTTCCACTTCCCCTTCCCCTTCCCCTTCCCCTTCCTTTCTTTTCTTTTCAGTACTGTTCATTGATATTTTTTTTAGTCTAGGGTTATAATCCATTACAACCATTATTTATTGTTACTGAAATTGTCTAATGTTGGCCAAGTTGAGAGCTATTTCAGGTTATTCCCAGCGTTCATCCGACAAGTCCTCATCATTTTATGAGCACTATCTTCATTTCTAGCTCAACAAGATGCCCTGGGATCATCTTTTGCTTTTCTTGCCCCAGTCCTAGAATTAGCCATTTATCCAAGGAGAAGGACATTGACTATTAATTTCATAGGGAGTAATATCAATGCAACAGTTCAGTTTCAAAGTCAGCATGGAGATTAAAATCATGTAGAGTCAAAATTTTACTTGGGAATCTCTTAGGAAGGCACCATGTTAGAGGTCAGAATTTATTTCTTAGTCTGTTCCACTCAGCAAATTTTCCCTCTAGCATTGAGCAATCAGATGAAGCCATTTGAATGAATTAAAGGGCCATATTACTTGAAACTATTTTTTCTCTGAAAAATAATTTTAATGAGGTATACTCGACATATAATAAACCATGCATATGTAAAGTGCACAAGTTGGTAGGTTTGGATATTTGTAAACCTGCATGAGACCATCGCCACAAAGCTTTCTTCATGTACCTCACTCTCCTCTCTTCGTTCCTCACTATCCCCAGGCAACAACTGATCTCCTCTCAGTCACTATCCATTGATCTATTTCCTACAATGCTATATAAATGGAATCATACAGTATGTTCTCTTTTTTTGTTTGTGTTCTCAGGATAATTGTTTTATAATTTATGTTGTAGTGTGCATCTGTAGTTTATTCCTTTTCACTTTGTTGAGGAGCATTCCATTGTGTGGATATACCACAGTTTGTCCATTCGCTTGATGAGAAACATTTAGGTTGTTTCTAATTTTCTGCTCTTAAAAATATAGCTACTGTGAGCATTTGTGTACAAGTCTTTTATAAGGACATCTGCTGTCATTGCTAATTTTTCATTGCTAGACAATAGAAAACAATAGAATTTTGTATATTGATTTTGTGTCCTTCAACTTTGCTAAACTCATCCATTCTAGTAGTTTGCTTTTTTTTAGGTTATCTAAAAGAATTGTTGGATTGTCTACAAAGATAATCAAATTTTCTATGAATAAAGACAATTTTACTTCTTCCTTTCCAATATGGAGTCTTATTATTTCTTTTTATTGCCTTATTGCACTGGTTAAAACCATCAGTGTAACATTGAATATAGTTTTAAGGTCATTGCCTGTTTATTATAACATTGTTGTCAGTTCTGGGTAGGCTTTCATTAACTGGTTTATTAACCCTCATGGATTTTATTTTCTTCCATTTTTGCATGTCTCATGTCTGACAATTTTTTTTTTTATTTTTGAGACTGGGTCTCGCTCTGTCACCCAGGCTGGAGTGCAGTGGCTTGATCATAGCTCACTGCAGCCTGGAACTCCTGGGCTTAGTGATCCTGCCACCTCAGCCTCCCAAGTAGCTGGAACTATGGCTAATTTTTTGTAATTTTAGTAAAGATGGGGTTTCACCATCTTGCCCAGGCTGGTCTTGAACTCCTGAGCTTAAGCGGTCTGCCTGTCTCAGCCTTCCAAAGTGCTGGGTTTACAGGCATGAGCCACCATGCCCGGCCTTGTCTGGTGATTTTTGATTGGATGTTAGGTCATTTAAATTTTACCTTATTGGATACTGGATATTTTTGTATTCCTATATTCTTCAACTTTTTGTTGTTGTTAGATTCTGTTAAATTACTTGGAAGCAATCTGATCCTTTGAATCTTCCTTTTAAGATTTGTAGGTGAGACCAGAGCAACATGTAGTCTAGTGCTAATTTCCCCACTAGTGGCACTAGAACTTCTTTATTTCTCTACTCATTGCTCTGTGACTCATGAGTTTTTTCAGTCTGGCTGATGCGAGCAGGCAATGTAACTGGCCCTGTGTGAGCACCAGCACTCTAACCTCTTATTCTTTCCAGTGGATGTTGTCCAGCCTTGAGTTTCCTTTTATGCATATGCTGATCAGTAGTCAGCTGAATATTTAAGGAGACCCTCTGAAAATTTACAGAATTCTCTCTCTGTGAAGTTCTCTTCTCTTGTTTGTCCCCCCAGGCTTTCATCTCTGTCTCCTTAGCTCAGGGATTCCGCTGCACCCTGCTTGTGTTTCTCCTCCCTGCTCTGCAGCCTGCAAACTGTTTCAAGGCAGGAAGCTGGGCAGGTGTACATCTTACCTCATTTGTTTCACATCTCTCAGGGGCCACTGTCCTTCATTGCTTCATACCCAGGGTCACAAACTGTTGTTTCTTAACTTCTGGTTGTTTTAAGTAGGAGGGTCATCCCTGTTCATGTTAATTCATCCTGATTAAAAGTGGAAGTAAACAATATTGATTGTTAGCATTTTAATTGTATTCAGTGCAACAAGATACTCACACCACAAGGGGCATGTGGGAATAACTCAGAGAAGAGCAGATTTCTAAGTACTTGTTCATGTCCCATCCTCATTGAGTGCAATGACAGACAGACATGTTGACCTGTTTATATTGTGTTATATTATTATTCTATCATTCACTGACTCACACCCTCTTAGTTCAATTTTCATAATTTAAATACAGGTAGGAGTCAATTCAGCTATACTTGAATTTTTTTTTTTTCATGAGTAGGTGAAATTTTTGTTCTGTGCTCCTAGCATTTGGCGTTTTACATCAGGGGTTGCAAATTCAAATGCCTAAAAGGGACAAGCAAGTAATGTATGGGAGTGAATTTGGTAAGGCATACAATGACTATAAAAATAGCAAATGGTGTTTAGTATAAACGAGAAAGTTGGCAGGAGGGCAGGCAGAGACCATGGCCAGTTGCAGAGGAAAGCCCCTAGGTCAATAAGGCAGTTGCAACAGTCAGCTGGAGCTAATTGTTAACCATGAGGGAATGTTCCTTTTGCAGAACTTCTGATTTTTCAAAAGACATGGAAATATAGATTTCAGCTATGTATGTATCTCAATTTTTGAAAACCACTTCAAATTTTAACAACAAAGCAGTCTGTGAATTAAATAAAACTTACCTAGAGGCAGCTTGTAACCCATGTTTAACAATGAATTGTTTAACTGTTCACAGTTAGAAAAATGGAAAAATAACTGTTTACATATAGCAAAATGGTTTAGAAGATGACAGAAACTACTTAACTAGGAACATAACACATTTGTGTGTGTGCGTGTGTGTGTGTATTTCAAGTCAGTGACAAAATCAATGAATTAGTGAGTATACACACACACACACGCACACGCACACACACACACACACACACACACTCTCTCTCTCTCCCTCTGTCTCTCTCCCCACTGAGTAAGTGAGCCCTTCACAAGCCTTGGGGGCTTTTGCATACTCCTTGGGCACGGAGTTATTTTGGTTCCTCTCCCACATAATCACTTGAGAGACTCTGGGAAGGTAAAAAAAAAAATGCTTCCATGATCAAAGCTGCATGAATAAATATGGCTGTGTGAACATGAGTATTTTCAGTTAGCTTAATAATAGCCATTTCTTTAATAGATATAGAGCGCCTTTTAAATTTATAAGGATTTGGATGTAGGCCTTTAAAATTAAACTGAAACTATTTTGAATAAGACAGTGACTAGGATGAATTGTAACAAGAAGATAAATGCCAAATTGGTGTAGGTTTTTCTTTTCTTGAAATGCCAGATTGACATAAACTTCATAAGAAGGTTAATTCTTGAAGAAGAAGGTTTAATTTTGTATATGCCTGCTAGATTTTGGAGATTATTTGACCTATTTTGCATTAAAAAAGGGTCAAAGGAAAAAATAGACAAACTCTTAGCATGAAAAATGTTTATAGGTTATAAGTTGAACTAATATGTAAGAGAAAAATAGTTTAAAAAAGTTTAAATAAAAGGTCATTTTAAGTAAAAGTTTTCTTCTTTCATATCATTACTTTTAATTATATACAAATTAGTTGTTAAATATACAAATTGTTTAACAGAATTTTATTTTGATTTTATGTCATTTATTTCTGTGAAAAATGTTAGAATAAATGCTTAAAAGCAGAAATCTAAGAATTTTCATTAAAAAGAATAAGCAAGATATCTTATTAAACGTCACAAAAAAGTGTCACTATGGTTTCTTTTCTCATAGTTGGAGCCTGAATATACCTTATTTACAATAAGTGGTATAGAATGTGAGAAAACCACAAGTGAGTTCCATTAATCCTTTCGAATCCCCAAAGTAATAAAATGAAGCATGATTATAAATAGAATGTCAAAGCCCTAGTGTTTTCTGTGCACTTGTACAAATTAACATTTATTTGGACTGAAGTTTTCCATTAATCTGATTCACCCAATTGTTCCTTGTGGTTCTCTTAAGATGAACATTTGCCATATTTTTGAAGCTCGATTAGGGCATTACTAAGTCAGTAATTTGCAAGTTAAAACTGACCATTATAGTCTGTCTTCAACATGCAAGGATCAACCGAAGATTAAAATCTTAATGCCTTCCCTCTAAATATGGGTAGTGTTCCAGTTATCTTATAAAAACATTAAGCAGGCTTTGCCTTCCAAAGATGTTTTATATTTTGGATACAAAATCAATACAAAGGTGAGATACAACCAATTTGAATTGGTAAAATATGTAAATTGCCACTTGCTAAACTGTCAGAGATTAATGTCTGAATAGGGGTAGGAAGCAGCGCCAACTGTAAAATTATACAGGGCATGGCGATTACCCCGTCTGCATAATGGGGCTTGATTTAGAGGCTCTATTTTGGGATCACACATAAAACACCCAATGCAGAAAGCCAACCTTTGTTTAATTTGTCCAGGGCAGTGCCCTAGTTTTCTACAACACTATTCACTTCTTTAAAAATGAATAACACATTTTCTTTATGGATCTCTGTGCACCTTTGGTTTGCGAGCAGTAGCTTTTCCAAGCTCCTCTATTAGATTCTTCTTTTGTTGCCTTTTTATAATGCTATTTCTTTTTGCTATTTTAAGGTGCATTGTCTGTGTTGCACTTGCCTGTGCATGCAAAGTACAACTGATACTGTTTTTGACATGGCTAATATAACATTTTAAAGTTGACAGATGAGAAAACAGGACCAGGAAGTACAAGGCCACAGAACTGGGTATGGCATATAGGACTCTGTTATCCAGTAAGAGCATGTGCCACCTAAGTGGGATGCCACTGCAGGTACACTCTTTGGCTGTTTCTTGAGAGGTGGAATTCATTTCATTTGGCAGTACCTCGGAGGGCTTTGTCTTAGATATGGATAACCTGGGGACCGTAATACCTACTTCAGATTATTGGTACTTTATCATTAAGGTTTAGTCTATTCAAATAAGTACAAGATTCACTTTTTTAAAAAAGAGATAACGTTACCATGCATTTCTGCAGTTTTAAAATTCATGACGTCTTTGTAAAATTTTTGTTAATGGCTTCTTTTTATTTTCACAGGTGATTTTTCATTACCATATATTTGTATTGCAAGATTCTCTTAGTTGCAAGGATCAGACACCCAATTCAAGCTTGTTTAAACATAAAATTGAGTCCACTGGTTCATATTCTAGGTGGGTCCCTGGATGGATCTGAGTTAGACACAGCTGGATCCAGGAGTTCAATGATGCGAAGGCTGTCTTTCCATTTCTCAGGAAATTTCTCTGTCTATCTCTGTCTTTCCTTGTCTCAGTGTGGTCTCACTCTCAGGCTGACTTCGATTGGGAAGGAGGCCAGCAGCAGCTCTGGGCTCACATCACCCCAGTCCACAACCCTGCATGCCCATCTCCAGGACATTCTGTTCAGCCAGTCTTGAGTTTCCTCTGAACCAATGCTTTTGGGCAGGGACATGAGACACTCAGATGGTCAGCCTGTGTCATGTTGCATATTCTTTGTGTAAAGGGGGCAATGACATTATTCAGTGTTGGGGGCAAGGAACTGTGACTGACAGCCTCATTCAACAAGGCAGCATGCAGTAGTGGAGAAGCTTCCCCAAGGAAGGGGACAGAAGAGTGTTCCAAAGCAGAAGCAGGTATAACTCTCATGCTTTTAACCACCAAAAATGCACCAGAGCCACTCAGAGTTACATAAAATGTTAATTTTGCCATAGGAAGATGTATTCTTATAGATTAAATAATTCATCAAGCAATCCACATTTTATTTCCCTCTTTAACCATCATCTTTTGACAGTGGGCAAAGAGGACAAAGCCATTGAAGGTACCCGTTTTAAAGGAATCATTTTCTCTGTTTCACCTCAAATATTTTCTTAGTCTCTCTCTAGCTTTGCTATAGAACTTCTCACACAGATTTGCAGTTGTCATTGGACTTAACAGTCTCCATCAACTGTGAGAAACCCTTTCAAGCAGAGACTAATGTTTTATTTCTGTTCCAGCTGTGCCTATCACAGTATTTGGCTGCATATAGGTGTTCAGGGAAGGTGGAATGAATCAGCAGGCAAATGTGTGGCACATGCCTGCCTGGCTGGAGAAGACAAGCTCAGAAGAGTTAGGTAGCTGAGGTTGCACAATATATTGTGTTGAAGTTGGAATTTGAACTCTGTTATCTTCCTGTCTCCAATTTAGCTTTTCTTTTTTCTTTTTCTGTTTATCTGTGTATTTATTTCACTTGGCTCCCCAGCCAAGCAATCAAAGGGGCAGGTGTGCTGGTCCACACCTTTCAGTCTCTGTTTGCTTAGTGACTGAATCAATGGTTGCGGCATTTGGTTTACAACACGGATGGGAAGACCATCTCGGAACTTCCAGGCAGTGTGGTTGTCTCAACCTCCTGAAAGCAGGGCCACTTCTCGTGCCCTCTTCAGAAAATTGCTGTGTGGCAGAAGTTGGATTGATGCTCTGTGCTTTTATGAATGTCTTGTAGAGCCTGAGGAAAATGGCAGACAGGGGAGATACCCCCACTTACTCAAACCTCACATTTGGAGCTTCCCTCTTCCTTCATCCTGTTCCTCTGTTGGCCCCAATTTCTTTCCCAACCAACTTGGCAAACCACCTTCAGATCTCACTCTCAGTGACCTATGTGGCTCCTTCCAGACCACTGTCCCCTGTTGGCAACTCCAAACCCTACACTCTGCATTGGGCTGGAATCTATTAGGAGCAAGGACAGAAACTTCCAGATTACGAAGTTTCTGGAAGAAATACGAAGACTTGCTCTTACTTTTCTTTTTTAAATTCAAGTCAAACACTCTGGAAAACTTAAGGGCAAGTCTCTTTTCCATTAAAAAGAAGTTGCCCTCAGAGCTGGCAACTTTTTATTCTACAAGGTGGCTGTAACAATTGGGGTTCAGCCAGAGAGACAGAACTAGTAGGACATCTATATTTAGAGGTTTATTCAAGGAATTGGCATATGCACTTGTGGGGGTTGGCAAGAAAAGTCCAAAACTGCAAAGGAGACTGTCAGAAAGGGTGGGCTGGAACCGTGGGCTGAAGCTGGCATCCATAGGAGGAATATTTTCTTCTTCAGGGAAGTCTGGGCTGCCTCTTAAGGTCTTTGAACCGACTGAATCAAATTTGCCCTAATTATCTAGCTTACTCTCCCTTACTTCAAATCAACTGATTATGGACTTTAATCACATCTACAAAATACCTTTACAACAACACATAGATTGGTGTTTGAATAACTGGGCATGGTAGCCTAGCCAAGTCAATGCTTTAAATGGACCACCAGAGAGGCCAGATGGAGTCCTAGTGGACTTGTGGAAAAGACACTTTGTCTTGCCACAAATTCCAAAACTTCTACTGCCCTTATATGAGATGAGCTGTTTTGATTCAGGCATGCAACGCACAATAATAACATCATGGAGAATGGGGTATCCATCCCTTCAAGCATTTATCCTTTGTTACAGACCATCCAATTACACTCTTTTAATTAATTTTAAAATGTACAATTAAGTTATTATTGCCTACAATCACCCTGCTGTGCTGTCAAATAGTAGGTCTTATTCATCCTTTCTAACTATGTTTTTTTGTACCCATTAACCATCCCTGCCTTCCCCCACAGCTCCCCCCTACCCTTCACAGCCTCTGGTAACCATCTTTCTACTCTCTATGCTCATGAGTTCAATTGTTTTTATTTTTAGATCCCACAAATAAATGAGAACATGCAATGTTTGTCTTTCTGTGCTTGGCTTATTTCATGTAACATAATGATCTCTACTTTTTAAAGAACTGTTTTTGGCAGTTTTTACTGAGGCGAAGGTACTTGTGTGTGTGTATCATTATCCACTTCTTTCAGTCTTGTGTTTGTTTCATAAACCATACCAGGTCCTTAAGGTCAACTTGGACGAAGCAGTGAGCTGATCTAGTCTATGAATCCTGATTTAGTTTTCTTTTTTTTTTTAATATTTGTGGTTTGTTTTTTAAAATGATGTTACCTTCATTACCTTCCACAAATATTCATTGGACTTCTGAAATGTGCTAGGAACTGTTTTAGGCCCTTGTGATATGTCCTTGAATAAAATAGTTTCTGCTCCTATGGTGCTTTTATATTCTACTGGAAGACAATAAAGTAAACAAAGCAAGTATATAATCTTATAGTGGCGATAAGTAGGGATAAATTATAGGAACAATAAAGCAGGGACAAGGAGTAGGCAGAGATGAGTATATTATGTGTGCAAACTGGCTACACAACTCATAGGGCCCAGTGTAAAATGAAAATTCAGTGTTTCTTATTCAAAAAGCAGAAGAAACGTACCATTGAAGGTACCAAAACATAAAGCTGTTTTAAAATAAATCTTTGTCTGGAATAGTCCTGGTGTTTTTAAAATTATTATTTGCCATTTAATGCTGTTCTAAGTAAAGAAAAATTAAACATTTAGATTCTGAGCATGAATTTACATTGTGCAGTGCCTACTTTAAATGCAAATGTAAGGGTGGGATCATAGAAATTATCCAATTTGCATTTTCTAGTTCATGCTGTATTTTGTTTTTGTCGGAACAGTGAAAACGCTGCACAAAACTAACTTACCTGTTTTTATCTCACTTCTTGATACGTGCACTTTCTCTCACCACTTTGCCTTCATCTTACTGATGAGTAAGGAAGGACTGAAAGGAGAAGGAACTGTGTCTGCCTCACCTTTCCCTTTCCTTCTGTGTTATCATTTCAGTACGTAGGTGGTTGCCTTGTACAGGGAAGTAATACAAGCGGGAAAGGATGTGATAGGATTCCATGATCATTCCTGTTTCTTAGAACAAGGCTAATTTCTTTCTGAACTTGAAGCAAGTTCTGGTTCCAATGCATAGCCTCTTGGGGCTGTGCGTGCCCCTGCTTATTCAAGTCTTAAATACTTACCTTGTACTCACTTTGACTCTTGCTAAATTCCTACATGTTAAGAGTTGAACAGAATTCTGTCTTTATGGGGCATCACTAATGCTCTGTGAAGGTGGGTGGTAAGGATGGGGGATGCACACACTGTATGTTTCTTATCCACTCACATCTGTGCTCCACTGTCCCATCAGACTTTCCTTACAGAATACAAGTTCAAAATAACATTATTAAGACTTTTTTTTTTTTTTTGAGATGGAATCTTGCTCTTATCGCCCAGGCTGGAGTACAGTGGTGTGGTCTCGGCTCACTGCAACCTCCGCCTCCCAGGTTCAAGCGATTCTCCTGCCTCAGCTTCCCAAGTAGCTAGGATTACAGGTGCCTGACATCACGCCCGGCTAATTTTTGTATTTTTAGTAGAGACAGGGTTTCACCATGTTGGCCAGGCTGGTCTCGAACTTGTGACCTCACGTGATCCCCTTTCCTTGGCCTCCCACTTTCAAGATGGGGACATTAAACCAAAGGCATTGAACCAAGTATGGAGTCCTTCTGAGTGTGAGGCCCTCCTAAGCACAGGCTGTAGGCACATGAAGCGAGGCATGAGTCTGTGTTTGTGTGTGTATATGTATGCCGGCTGCTTTATATTTTGATGAGGAAGGGCTGTCTCATGAGGTGACATTTGATCAGGGACCTCAAGGAGGCGAGGAAGCAAGACTTGCAAATACCTACGACAGGAGCAGCGTGATCAGGGGTCCTAAGGCACAAGTGTCTTTGGTTTATTCTCAGAATAGTAAGGAGGACACTGTGCCTGGACCCCTACATGAGAGGATGGGGATGGAGGATGAAATCAGAGAGGTAGTAGGTCCTTGAATCATGTGTGGTCTCAAAGGCCAAGGTAAGAACTTGGAATTTTTCCATGAGGAGATGGGAAGACATGGGAGGGTTTGAGCAGAGGTGGCATGGCACAATTAGATTTTAGAAGGATCTCTCTGGTGACGGTGGGGCAATTCTCTGTATAGGGACAAAGTTGGAAGTGATGGGACCAGGTTGGATGTCATTATCATAGACCAAGGAAAGAGGGGTCTTAGACTGGGTGGTATGGATAGCAGTAATTGAATGTGGTTGGATTCTGAGCATCTTTCACAACAAGAGCCAATGGATGTTGCATATGAAATGGATATTTACCTGGGATCCTGGCCTAAGACAGCAGATAAAAATGGTCTGTCCTAAAGTAGTGAATTTCCTAAGGTTCCACAGCCAGTGCATGAAAGAGCTCAGGAAGGCAGAGAACAGAAGTCTTGTGTACTTTTTCATCTGTTCTCCTTCTACAGTGTCTAGACTTTTCCCAAAATAACCCCTATAACATCCTCTTCCAAACATCTTATGTAGCTGAATCTGCATGGATTCCATTGCCACAATTTCATCTGTATACAGTACGTTGGAAGAGCTTCTCAGAACATAATGTCCTGGGTGAGGTGACTTTACCACTAAGTCATGTTTCTGTGGACTCTGCTTAGGAATTGACTGTCTCCACAGTTTCATCTGAGTGACGTCCTGACAGGACACAGTTCCCCCTCCTCTGTTTTACTAAATATCTCTTGGCCTCCCCTAATAGAACAGAGTCAATAAAACAAGTTGCTACTGGGTTTAATGTACAATTGCAGGACATAAAAGTCCAAGTGATTAAACTACATGTGGCTTATTTTTCTGCTTTTCAGCACTTTCAGACCATGCTGAAGTCTAAATTGAATGTCTTAACACTGAAAAAGGAACCTCTCCCAGCGGTCATCTTCCATGAGCCGGAGGCCATTGAGCTGTGCACGACCACACCGCTGATGAAGACAAGGACTCACAGTGGCTGCAAGGTATGGGGCACGTGGCCAGCAGGGGTTCTCTTGGTGAGATAGCCTCAAAGATGTGTGGGCTTGAGACCTATGTTTCACAATGGTAATCATTTTTAAGAATGAAAATATAAAATGACCAACAAAATAAATTCACAGAGTGATGGTAGACTGAATTCATATCCTGTTTTATTTTTCTAAATGACCTAACACTATCACTTTTGGACACGCATTAAAGACCTAGGGTTTTTTTGTTTTTGTTTTTTTTTGAGACGGAGTCTCGCTCTGTCGCCCAGGCTGGAGTGCAGTGGTGTGATCTCGGCTCACTGCAAGCTCCGCCTCCTGGGTTCACATCATTCTCCTGCCTCAGCCTCCTGAGTAGCTGGGACTACAGGCTACAGGCACCCGCCACCATGCCCGGCTAATTTTTTGTCTTTTTAGGAGAGACGGGGTTTCACCATGTTAGCTAGGATGGTCTCGATCTCCTGACCTCATGATCTGCCCACCTCAGCCTCCCAAAGTGCTGGGATTACAGATGTGAGCCACCAAGCCCGGCCTAAAGACCTAGGTTTTAGTATATATGAATAAAATTGTATTCTCTCTGTGATTTCTGTAGCTCTGTGGAACTTTGGAGTTCACAAGAAAAGTTTTGTTCTTAATGATAATTCTTCCCTTTGTTCTTTCAATCTGAATAAAACATATCTTGAAGAATGAAAAAAACATAAAAAATCAAGTTTTCTAACAGTTATACTCTCCAAATCCTTTAGGGATAATTTTGCAGTTTTTGCTTTGCTTCAGCTCTCAAAATTTATACTAATATTCATGCCTCAGAATCCAGAAAAAGCATTTTCATTTATGCAAACTTTAATGCCAACGTGGAAACAAAACTAGAAATGAAATGTATAATTTTGGTAAGCTTTGGATTTTTTCTCACACGATACTCTCTTTTGCTTGAGTTGATGAATATAGTAATCAATTTAGAGATCACAAAGAAAATATGTTTTATGGATGTTTTATCATCAGAAATTTGTTTTGAGTAGTGGAAATAAAATCAGAGACAAGGAAAGTGCTTTTGTATATGGATTTCTTTCATAGCTTTGTAGATATACTCCTTTCCTTGATGCTTTCCTTATTGCTTTCGAGATATACTCCTTTTCCTTATTGCTTAGTGTGAAGGAATCAGTTCTCGCATAGCTGTGGTCAGGTTGGCGTCTACAGCGATCTTGGGTGATGGTGGTATGCACAAAACCTCATCCACATTCATTCATTCCACACATACTCATTGGGTGCTCACTGTCTGACCGGCATAGTGTCACAGTGTGGGCAAAACCCACCAGCATCTTTGTGGGATTTAACTGCTCACTGAGGGGCATGGGAGGAGAAAATCTAGGTAAACAAGCATGGTTAGTGAGAAATCCAATTTGTGAAGAACCTGCAGGAGAATCTTTCAGGCGAAAGAATAGGGCGTACTAATTCTATGAGGTGGGTGGTCTTGGTGTGTTTGGGAACAACAGGGAATGGGCCAGTGTACCTGAGAACTTGAGAAAGTTGTGATGAGTGGTGGCGCTGGGGGTGGGGGGAAAAGAGTCTTGTGGTCATGGCGAGAAGTTTAGGTTTCATTCTAATTATGATGGGGGAATCATCAGTGGAATAAGGCAAGTGAGCTATGTGACTCATTTTAAAGTGATTTTAAATGGTAATTCTGATAAGGAGAACTTCCAACTTCCCAAGAGCTATTGTCAGTGGCTCTGCCTTAACAGGAGAGAGTGAATCAACAGAACTGGCGTTAGGTACATTACATTTAATGCTTTTGGTGAATTGATGATACAAGGGAATTATAAATTTGAAAGTGATATGAGATCAAATTCGTTATACATTCTTCAGGAGATTTATTAATGCTATTTTGATTTCTGTTCCTATGAGGAAAGATGGTGCCTCAAAGCAAGATGAAATCAGTAGGGACAAGTATATGGAGGAGAATTAAGTGTGATAAAGCCTATAAAGTATGTTTAAAACGGGAAGGGCAAAAACTACACAGTTTTAAAATAAAAATACCTAGCAATCTAACAATCTAATGTAGATATTAAATAAATGTGTGTGTGTTTGTAAGAGAGAGAAAAATATTTGCTAGAATAAAAACCATCATTTTTCTGAAAAGGATTATAGGGTTCATGTCTCATGGACTAATTTTTTCTGTGTGCTGCCTTAGGTTGTACTCATTTATTTTACTTTTAAAAGGACGTTGAAAAAAAAATAGTAGGAAATCAGAAGAGTGTGCCAAAGAGGGCAAGGGTTCCGCTGGCCTCGGTATGTGTGGCTAGCTAGACAAAGGAAATCGACAATGATTTCATTTGGACACCAGGAAGAACTTCTGCATTCAAGGAGAAAAACACATTCCACCGGGCTATATAAAGTTTATGGACTCTCCATCCCTAGAAACCTTGAAGAGGCGATTCCAGGCATAGATAATCATGACCCTGGAGTCAGGAATCTGGGCCAACACCTCTTGAGGGCTTTTCCAGCGTTATTATTCTATCTGAAGGAAGAAAACCTGCAACGTGTAATTCTCCAAATTGTATACTATTGACAGAATACACTTAAGTTTTGACTGGAAACGTACTGGTGTTTTATTCTTTAATTCTCAAAGACAGTGTCACTTTTGTGTTCTGAGTTTTGTTAAAAAAATCTATTTGAACCTTGAAATGTTGGTTTAAAATCCTTTTAGATCTTCCCCAATTTTTTCTGATCATCTTCAAGAACAAAGTCCAGTGTTTCCTCTCTGATTCTTGCTAGTAACTTAGCTCACAAGATGCCAGCTGCAGAAGGAACGCTCTCTCGGGCTCACGCCTCCCAGGAATAATGAACACAATGTAGCCCGGGCCCAGCTGCAGGGCCAGCTCACGGGACCCTCCGCCTTCACACAGTAGTCACTCTTTTTTCCTAATAGCTCTTATAACTTTGGGTTTGGGGAGGGAAAGAGGCAGGAGGAAGCAAAGGAAAGGGGGAGTTGAAAATGGGTTATGGCGAGCACCACTGAGACCCTAGCTCATCTCAGATTTCCCATTTTCTGCTGATCTGTATTCTCCGTGGGTCCTGACGGGATTGCCTTGCTAGGCTATTCATGTTTCGGGCAGCTGGGTCTTTGTGTGTTCTCCTCTATTGCTGCCACTTTTTTTTTTTTTTCTGGAGTAGAGTTATTTAACTGTACAACCCACTGCAGTGCATTAGGACTCTTGTTGGAGCTGTTTGGAGTATCAGACGCTGTGTGTGATTTTGCTGCAGCAATGATGGCTTGTCACACCTTTCTCCTCCTATCTAGCAAGATGGAATCCTAGGTGGCTTCAGCTTGTTAGCAAACATTTATTGAATTAGTAGTCATTGAAAACCTACTGTGTACATGGTATTGTGGAAAAAGGAATAAAAATAGGTATTGTGGGGGATGCAACCTATAGCCAAGTAGAAGGAATAAGACAAGTGCCCAAATAAATAAATCACAAGTACTTCTGAAACTTGTGTGAGTATCAGAATCCCCTGGCAAGCAGACTCCTGGACCTTCTTCCCAGAAATTTTGACTCAGGCACTCAGCTTAGTGGTGGGGAACAGGAGCCTGCACTTTAAATTGTACCATGTAATTGACATGAAGGCAAACCGTGTTTGGAGGTTGAAGTTCTGAGCTGCAGAGTAATGTGACAAGAGCAACCTGAGTGACATGAACAGACCCGTACCCTGGGAGGTGGGGAGTGGGATGGAAAATGGGATTTGGTGGATTTGCTATGGCAGTCCAGAAAGCTGACTTCTAAGGAAGAACTGGGCTCTGGAATTACTGGATCAGATGTGAGCACTGTGTGTGCCACCTTATCCTCCAGCAGGAGCTGCCCTCCTTTCATTGAGACTTGCAGGGCCATTCACTGATGTCCTCAAAGCCTTCACAAAATAGTGATAATAATGATGACCATAGTAATAAAAAAAAATAGCTGGGCGCGGTGGCTCACGCCTGTAATCCCAGCACTTTGGGAGGCCGAGGCGGGCGGATCACGAGGTCAGGAGATCTAGACCATCCTGGCTAACACGTTGAAAACCCATCTCTACTAAAAATACAAAAAATTAGCCGGGCGTGGTGGTGGGCACCTGTCGTCGCAGCTACTCGGGAGGTTGAGGCAGGAGAATGGCATGAACCCGGGAGGTGGAGCTTGCAGTGAGCCGAGATCGTGCCACTGCACTCCAGCCTGGGTGACAGAGCGAGACTCCGTCTCAGAAAAAAAAAAAAAAAGAAATAGAAGTCTTAATAACACAGAACTGACAATAACACAGAACTGACATTAAAGAACAGGTGTTAATTAATGCATTAAGCACTCATCTATGCACTTTTCATGGCATAGAGCCATTTCATCCTCATGGCAACTCAACGGTTTAAGTGCCAGGTGTAGCCCCATTTCACAGATGAACTAGTTGAGGCATAGAGAAGTTCATCTGACTGTCCCAGGGTCCCTCGTTAGTAACTAGCAGAGCCTGGATTTGAACTGCAGCATTCTGACTCCACAGCCTGTGCTCCCCCCCACCGGATTCCACTGCCATTGGGTGGGTTTTGTGTCTATCCACAGGTGCCTCTTGAAACAGGTGGGGCAGTTGTGTCATGTGATTTTGAGCAAGTTGTTTCTTTTCTTCAGGCTTCTGCACCTTTCATAGGTCAGTATCAGGATCTCATGGACTATACAAAATTAAAAAAAAAATGTAAGGGCTAGTTGATTTGGCAGGTGAGTTGTTACACACTCCTTAGTGGATTCTGAGTTCCGTGCCTACCATCCCATCCTGCTCTCTTTCATCCAGACATCCAAGGCTGGAGGATTTACCTTGTTTAATTGGATTGGGATGTTATCTTTTCTTACAGAAACCAGAAAGCATAAGGAAAGTACTAAAAATATCATATGATTTTACCCCAGATATACCACGCAGATTCTCAAATTTGGTTTTCTTAAAAAAAAAAAAAAGGCACTCTACAATGAAAAATCATATGCCTTATAAACATTATATGTGTAGATATATAACCAACACAAAATGCCCACCGAGTTCCTATATGGCCGTGTGGATGCTGTACAATACCCGTTCCACAGTGCTTATACTGTTAAAGCAAAATAGCAGCAATATTGTAACAAACAAACTGACACATAACTGGGGATTTAGCACATAACATATGTCTTTTATTTAAAATGTTTTATAAAGTTTGTAATTGGTGCTAATTTCTGAGCATGAGGATTTCTCTGAGTTACAAAAGGGAAGTAACCCAGAAGAGAAATACCAAGGGGAGGTGTGTGTATAGGAACAGGAAAAGCAGGATCATTAGCAGTTGTTGACATGGGTCTCCTGTTTGGGACTGAATCTGTCTGCCTTGATTGGGAGAGTACATCGCTGTCTTTCCACAACATCCTTTTCGTATGGCTGGTGGGGTCAGCGTCTGAGGTCAGCCCTGAGGGTTGGCTTCAGGGGGTTGCTTCTCCTGGCCCCTGAGGCAACCTTGGATGTCCGAGGTGAACAGGGCTAATTTAGCATGACCTCTTGTCTTTTCTTTTCTTTACTTCTTTCTTTCTCTCTCTCTCTCCTTTTTTTTTTTTTTTGAGTCTCACTCTGTTTCCCAGGCTGGAGTGCAGTGGTGTGATGTCAGCTCACTGCAACCTTTCCACCTCCCAGGTTCAAGCGATTCTCCTGCTTCAGCCTCCTGAGTAGCTTAAATTGCAGGCATCCGCCACCAGGCCCGCCTAATTTTTATAATTTTAGTAGGAGTTTTCACCTTGTTGGCCAGGCTGGTCTCGCACTCCTGACCTCAAGTGATCCACCCGCCTCGGCCTCCCAAAGTGCTGAGATTATAGACCTGAGCCACCACCCAGCCAGAATGAGATATTTCTTTGTGCTCCCCTTCCTTTCTGTTCCCTCCCAGCCTAGATTGAAGGTGTCCATGTCTTGATTCTGCAGCCTATCCGGCAGCGCTTGTTCCTTTGTCCTTTGCCGAGAGTCCCACCAGCCCCTCACCTAGGCCTGTGCTCACCATGTGCTTGGCCCCATGTACCCAAATCTTGTCTCCTCTTGAGTGAGGCACTTGGCCTGGCTTGATGTGAAGCCCAGTCTAAAGCCGCTACGGTCATCTTCCCATTTATGAGGGTAACTGTCAAACAAACCAGTTTCCAAGAAGGAGTTAATGATCTGTAAACCATAACAATTTTTATATTGCCTTTTTTGAGATTCCTTGCCTTCAGGTATAACAGTAGTAGTCCCTTAGCTCTCAGGAAGGAAGAGATTGATTACAGTTTCATAGAAGGGAGGGGAGATGTTTCTGAGCTGAAGACTTTGCAGGTAACCCTTAAATACTATCAGGGGGTGCTTGTATAAAACAGCCAGTCTTAGAAATGAATTCCAGTCATCCAGCTTATCTCATGATAAGGACTCTTGATTTGAATGTAAGTGTATTTGAAATTAGCATCACATGTATCTGATTTCTACACCTAAATCTTTGGGTTCCGTTGATCAATTATGTATTTAACTTGAAATACAGTCATGTTTTCTCATTTTAGACAAAGGGCCATTTTTTACTTCTTAACACAAATGAAAATATTAGTTTTATTATGTGACCACCCTCATCACATGCATCTCTACAGCTCTTTCTTGGTGTTGGCCATTTGGGGCATTTCTTGAATCCTATGCCAATTATACAGACTTTCTTTTGCAAAGTAAGTTTCTGACTTTAATACCAAGACAGAATACAAATAATATTCTATAAAATTTACATAGAATCTAATATAATATATATATATATATATTAGATTCAAGCCTGTGGTTTCCATTGATATTTTCATCTAAATTCAGAGTCATTGATATTTATTTTCTCTTTATTCTTTCTTACACTTTCCTGTAAACAAATCAAAACATTCACTTCTGCTTGTCTCCTCAAATGCAGGAAGCTAAAAGTTTATATGAGCTAACCTTTGTTGTTTCAGAGACAAGCTTTTATTTTTCTGCAATTTTTACTCTTTGTAGACTTGTAAATATTTTTCCTCTCTCTCTCCCTTCCTTCTTCCCTCCCTCCTTCCCTCTCTCCCTCTTTCCCTCCCTCCTTTCCTTCCTTTTTTCCTTTCTCCCCTTTTTTCCTCCTTCGCTTTCTCTCTTCCTCCTTCTTTTCTACTTTTCTTTCATTCTACATCCACAAGAATTTATTGCACACTGTCAGGATTGTACACTTACATATAAACATCTACCTGCCTCTGATATTTAAGGACCAAGGACCTAGCAGAATCAATGGAAAAGGAATATTTTGAAAACCGGAGGAATCTCCTCGTCCCCAGCAGGAACTTAAGCCACGCTCAGCCTTGCTCCTCCCTCTTCACCCTGTCCAGTGCTCATTCTCCTAACCTCCTTGTTCCAGTGGAGTCAGGAGAGAAAGTGGATATGGCTCCAGGGGTAGCTGAAGCCTCCATCTATTGTTTTAGTGTTGATCTTTAAATATATGTTCAAATACACACTCCTTATGCTACTGCTAGTGTACCTAGCGCGGAAGGATATTATACATGTGGTTTTAATGTAAACTTCTTCACCGCAGGTCCAAACTTACAACTTCGAATTCTATACTGTGGTCTTTCCACCAACAGCCGTGGTGGCTTTGGCAAAGCTCTTTATCCTTTGTGACCTCACTTTTGTTATTTATTGACTAAAATCTTTTCATACTAGGAATTAAAACTTCCCAGCTGATACAGGTGTTTCAAGTGAAGATTATAACTTTGCCTGATTTATCTGGTTTGCCACATAGAATTGGCCCTTGCTTAATGCTGTTGAGTTGGATGACAGACTTGTTTATGGGGTCACTCTTATGATTGGTGGGTGCAGTAGAGCTGTTGTCCCATGGAGGGACTCTCTGGAGATCCCTGAAAGCTTCCAACTACTTATTTCCATGTGCCCCATACACTGTGAGGGCTATAGCTGTAAATCGTGGTCCTTTTACTATAGAGAATCAGATTTGACATTAAAGCCCAACTTTTGGGCAAATGACAAATATTATAATTTTCTTACTGACAAAATTAGTCTACTTCTTGATTTTAAAAACTCCTGGGGGATCAGCAAAGATTCATTAGTGAAAAAATGGGAAAACCTACTAAGCGTTTAAATGTATGAAAAAGATAATATACAATTTTTATTCAGCAATACTATGGAAAATATGCAGTCATCAAAAATTTTGTTGTAGAAATTATATTGATATGGAAAATATTTATAATGTATTAAGTATATAAAAAAGTTGATTATAACATGTTATTAGTATCCATTTTTATAAAATAATGTAAAATAAAATAATTATATGTAGATATTTGTAATAGAACGCTGGACAGATATACTAAAATATGAATAGAAGTGATCCCTGGATAATAAAACTAGGGATACACTTTTGATTTTCCTACTTTTTTGCTTATTTGCATTATCTAAATTTTTAATGCTGAATGAGTAATACTTTTTAAATTAGTTTTAAAAAGTAATAATTAAAGAAAAAATTTATTTGGATGTTAAAAGTTTGTCTGGAAAATTTATAGGAAACTCCATTCTAAATGGAACATTTTGTAAAAAGCTGCAAGTCGGTAACTTAGACATTTATTTCTTCTCTGTGCCCAAACAGAATTTCATAAATTTCAGGGAAAGTGACGTTTTTCCATTTAACTTGTGATTTGTCTGGTGTCAGACTTGCCTCATGTGCTCAGCATAGTAATTGTAAACCTACTCAAACACATTTGAAAGAATGACATACTGGTTTGCTGAAGGCTCCTTCCTGGCAAAATTAGTGGCTTAAAACAACAGAAATTTACTCTCTCATAGAGCTAGAGGCTGGAGTCCACAATGAGCATCATGGGACAGAAATCCAGGTGTCAGCAGGGTCATGCTCCCGGAGGCTCTAGGGGGACAATCCATTCTTTGCCCCCTGCATTTTAGTAGGCTGCAGGCATTCCTTGGCTTGTGGGTACATCACTGCAATCTCTGCATGGTGGTCACATTGCCTTCTCTTCTGTCTCTATCAAACCTCCCTCTGCTTTCCTTTCTTATAAGGACACTTGTGATTGGACTTAGTGCCCGTTGGATAATCCAGTAATCTATCTATCTAGGATCCTTCATTTTATCAAATCTACAAAAAGCCTTTTTCTTTGTAAGGTAGCATTTATAGGTTCCAGGGGTTAGGATGTAATGTCTTTGGGTGGCCAGTATTCACCCTACTACAGATGGTTCTCTTATAATTGGGGAATTGTAAAAATGCAAAAATTGTCAAACACACACACACACACACACACACACAAAATGTTCACAGTTCATAATTTTTTTTTAAAAATTTACTTTAAGTTCTGGGATACATGTGCAGAACGTGCAGGTTTGTTACATAGGTATACATGTGCCATGGTGGTTTGCTGTACCTATCAACCTGTCATCTAGGTTTTAAGCCCTGCATGCATTAGGTATTTGTCCTAATTATCTCCCTCCCCTTGCCCCTGACCCCCTGACAGGCCCTGGAGTGTGTTGTTCCTCTCCCTGTGTCCATGTGTTCTCACTGTTTAACTCCCACTTATGAGTGAGAACAAATGGTGTTTGGTTTTCTGTTTGCAGCACTATATACAATAGCCAAGACTTGGAACCAATCCAAATGCCCATCAATGATAGACTGGATAAAGAAAATGTGGCACATACACACCATGGAATACTATGCAGCCACAAAAAAGAATGAGTTCATGTCCTTTGCAAGGGCATGGATGAAGCTAGAAGCCATCATTCTCAGTTCATCAGTTTTTTAGGTTATGTTTATTTTTTCTTAAGCCTAAGAAAATTATTTCCTTGGAATTCAGAAAGCTACTAAAAAATCGAAAAATAAAGAAAATTGCTCTGTAAAGGTAGCATCTTACTCATATGTTGAGCCAAATTCATTTTTTAATCAAAATTTCTGAAAAAGAAGAGATACTTTAACATTTTATATAGAATATAGGTTTTTTTACACAAAACCTGTGGTTTTTTTAACCTGTTCTACACAGGTTTTGTACTACAAATATTCACATTAGTAGTTTGTTATCTTCTAATATAGTGGGCACATGAAACAGTGTTTGTAAAAGATTCACGGTACTGTCACAGGGACAGTGAATAGATACTTTTCTCCTCATTTTGAGTAAAGCTTAGAGCATAAGTTTGAAAACGATGTGGGAAATATGAGTATAATATGCATGTCTGAGAGAAGTACCTTTTTATGCAGTTATTTTCCCCTTATGATTTCCTGTTAAGAGAGTTCATCTTTGAAATAATTTGTTGGTTTAGTTCTGAAAATTTAGTTTAATTATTATCTGAATTTATGGTTTATTTATCTAGAAAAAAGGTTAATTATTCCACATATTTTTCTGGGTTGGTTTTGTGGATAAAATATATTTCCACTATGGTAGACTTCATTTGTTAGCCAACCATAGAAACACTCCACAGAAAACTAATTAAGTTGGTAGAAATTCATTAATAATGTGCCTTATGGTTTCCAGTGGAAATTGTATAACTTCTTAGAGACTCTCCAAAGATTATAATAACTTCAAAACTAAAATCTGGTTTATACAAATATGATACTTAAATATAAGATGTTAACTTTTAAAATGCTGTCTCGAGTTTATATATATATATATATATATATATATATATATACACATACATATATTTAAACTCAGCATTCGTTATGTCATTCTTATTTTCAATGTTCTATTCACCTTTTGCATTAGGGGAATCTGTACTGAGGGAACCAAATGTGAGAACAAGTCTACCTGCTACTCCAAGAGTAGTGTAATTTATTGTTTATTAAATGAAAAAAATATACTTTAGGTACGAAAGCATTAAACAAGATAGACGGTGAGTGTAATCTTATATAAACCTAGACTTTCCTTGTAAGTGATTTTTTTCCCTTGAGTTTTAAATTGTATCAAAGCAATACTTGCAGAGATGAAAACATCAAATAACAGTGAAAAAAACTAAACATAAAATATTTTTAGCTGTCTCTTTCATCCCTTCTGCACACCTCAGTCCTGCTTGAAGAAGTGATCGTAATTATTTATTTTGGCAGTTTCTTCTTGTGTTTACCTTTACATATCCAAACACTACACTTTATCCCATTATGATAGATAATATTTTTTAGCTTTCTGTTTTGGTAGATGTAGATTTAGGCCAATAATGACTATACTCACTCTCTTTCCTCCGTTTTGCTAGTATAGTTACTTCTGAAAGTTTAGTGAACTCAATATCTGTGTGATAACTAAAGGGCCCATCAGTGCAGCATAATTTTTATTTCCTTTATTGTTCAATTTAGAATATATATTTTTAGAATTGTATAGTTTTATATACACCTACACTTAATTTTCCACAAATGCTTTATCAAATTTGGCGTATGACTATCAATATGTTCCCCAGCTACCCGGTTATATGACATAGTGTATTCTTCATCTCCTCCTGGGGATCTCACCCTGAGAGTTCCTTGTCCTCTTGTTCCTGAGTAGACTCTGTCTCTGGGTCAGCTGCGCTCCTTCTGTAAGTTAGGGACTTCTCTCTGTTGCTCTGCTGTGTTGGATGCTCCTCTGTTTTCTTCCCCTTTTTTGCTTTACTCCTGTGTTATGCTGGAGCACGTCTCCCAGAAGTAAACATTGTGTGCCTTTTATATCTGAAAGTTTCTTTATTTTACTCTCAACTTTTCACCTTTTGGCTGGGTATAGAAATGTAGACTGGAATTAATTTCTACTAAGCACTGTGAAGGCACTAACCATTGACTTCTATGATCCCTTGTTACATTTCAGGAACCTGATCCTATTTGATTCAGATATTAATATTCTTTTGTATGTGACTTTCCCCCCTGTATTAGTCCATTTTCACACTGCTATAAGGAACTACCTGAAACTGGGTAATTTGTAAGGAAAAGGGGTTTAATTGACTCACAGTTCCACACAGCTGGGGAGGCCTCCGGAAACTTAAAATCATGGCGGAAGGGGAAGGGGAAGCAAGGCACATTTTACATAGCAGCAGGGGTTGGGGAAGTGCCACACTTATAAACCATCAGGTCTTGTGAGAACTCACTATCACGAGAACAGTATGGGGGAAACGGCCCCCATGATCCAGTCACCTCACACTAGGTCCCTCCCTTGACACATGGTGATTACAATTCAAGATGAGATTTGGATGGGGACACAGCCAAACCGTATCATCCCTCAACACTTTGCAAGCTTTAAAGATCTTTTTGTTTTTGGTCCTCTTTAATTTTATGGTTACGTGCCTTGGTGTGGATGTTCACCCACTTCATCCAGTTAATGGTTGTGGGCCTTTTTAATTTGGAGACTCTTGTTTCTTAACAGTTCAACAAACTTAAGGAAAATCCTGACTTGCCCTCCTAATTTGGGAACCATTTAAGATATAAGGACAGATGATAAATGTAGATTAGGTCAAAATATCAGTTTTTTAAAAAATTTTATTATTATTATACTTTAAGTTTTAGGGTACATGTGCACAATGTGCAGGTTAGTTACATATGTATACATGTGCCATGCTGGTGTGCTGCACCCATTAACTCATCATTTAGCATTAGGTATATCTCCTAAAGCTATCCCTCCCCCCTCCCCCTACCCCACAGCAGTCCCCAGAGTGTGATGTTCCCCTTCCTGTGTCCATGTGTTCTCATTGTTCAATTCCCACCTATAAGTGAGAATATGCGGTGTTTGGTTTTTTGTTCTTGTGATAGTTTACTGAGAATGATGATTTCCAATTTCATCCATGTCCCTACAAAGGACATGAACTCATCATTTTTTATGGCTGCATAGTATTCCATGGTGTATATGTGCCACATTTTCTTAATCCAGTCTATCATTGCTGGACATTTGGGTTGGTTCCAAGTCTTTGCTATTGTGAATAGTGCCACAATAAACATACGTGTGCATGTGTCTTTATAGCAGCATGATTTATAGTCCTTTGGGTATATACCCAGTAATGGGATGGCTGGGTCAAATGGTATTTCTAGTTCTAGATCCCTGAGGAATCGCCATACTGACTTCCACAAGGGGTGAACTAGTTTACAGTCCCACCAACAGTGTAAAAGTGTTCCCATGTCTCCACATCCTCTCCAGCACCTGTTGTTTCCTGACTTTTTAATGATTGCCATTCTAACTGGCGTGAGATGCTATCTCATTGTGGTTTTGATTTGCATTTCTCTGATGGCCAGTGATGATGAGCATTTTTTCATGTGTTTTTTGGCTGCATAAATAAATTTGCTTAGGAAAATGTAGCTTAGGTATGTAGAGTCAGTGGGCTTTCTAAAACTGCCATATCTTGGTTGAAACCCCTGATATGTTACTGTCTTCTCTCTCATTGATTTTTTCCTTTCCATTTACGACTGAATGTTTTCCATTATGATCAATTTAGTAGACTTTGAGAAGGAGAGGCGATACATATTGAAGGACAATTTGCCATCTTTTCCCAGAAATCCTCTCTGGATTGTTAAATCCTCTCTAACTTGCTAATTTTAGCCATTTGAACTTTCCTTTCTTGTATCTTTATTTAAGATGAAGACAGTGACACTTAAGTTACTTTCAAGTTTAAAGAGATATTTATAAAGTACTTCGAACTTTTTTGTGGGAGCAGTACTATATAAATAAAATACTGCCATTCAAATACAGCCCCCGCCCCAGGTTTGAATGTAGAGGTCAATGAACTATAGAGAAAATGGTAACAAATAAGATATGACCAAAAAGTGGCAATAAATAACACGGGGTCATAAAAATTTCATAAAATCCTCTTTTAAATATGAAGGGGGATTTTTTTTTTCATTACATCCCTGGGTGTTTCAGCTCCTGACTATCCAGCTAGTAGAATATAAAAACCACTGTAACAACAGGTGCAGATGTGTTCCTGGGTGTGCCAGTTGTTCATTTCTTTGTTTTTAATGAAAATATACATTCGTTTCTTGGCAAGAGAAATGATGTCTGGGCTTCTGTGCGTACTGAGTGCTCTAAATGAGACATTAGTCAGATTGGCATTTATGAGTCACCAGGCATCTTCAGAAGCCAAATCCAGGAATTATAAAATAATTTACTCAGGAAGTAATGAGGATAAATGAAATTCATCATCCTGGGAGCCAGGAAAGTTACCCTGTAAGCTGAAAATCCCACTGAAATTAGTTCCCCCCCCACATTGATTGATGAATGCATTCTCTTTAAGAGTTGTTTTCGTGACACTTATGAGCAGTGCTAGAATTCTCATGTTTCCACCTAGTATGCCTGCAATAAGTGTTAGAGCAGGAGTGGTGCCATCCACTATTATGGAAACACTTTCCTATTAGTCTATTCATGAGGTGGTGCAAAACAGGTGCTTACTTACCAGACAGCTCATTCAGAGTCCACCTTGCTTGTGGATAAAAGTCCCTTTTCTTCTGTTCTCCCCTCTTTATTCTCCTTCCAGAGATTTCCTAAAGTCTTTTTTACTTCTTGGCCCTTCCTTGCAGCCCCATCCCCAACAATCCTGGTCTATCAGGAACATCTGGTTTGGAGGTAGAAGGAGCTCCAGGGAAAGGGAGCTTCAGGATCCTCAGCATTAATCATCAATAGGAGAAATGGACCTTAGTCTTGAAGATTAAAAAAGAAAGTTTTATGTTGCAAAAACGTGGTGTCTTCATAGTTACTATGCCAACAGAACCCTAATTTTATTTCCGCTTCATAGCAAGGGTCATCTTCTGGAAGAGAAAGAGCAGAGAGGAAGATAAGTCATCCTGCCACATAGATACTAGAGTCAGTCTGAGACAAAGAGAGTCAAAGGAAGGAAATGTGCAGACCTATTAGGGCAATGCAAAAAAAAAAAATAGTTTATTTGTTCATGGTCAGTAAAATCCTCTACTAGGAACCCTACTCATTTTTTCTTTTTAAATTACAGACCCCTTTAAACAAAAGAAACACTACTGATAATTATAAATGTATTAATACATAGGCTAAATCGCTGTAATAGTTACTAATTATTAAATATATATTTTTAGAGATAGGGTTTATTATGACTATTTTAAAACAAATATAAAGTAGAAATGTTGGCATGAGCTACATTAGGAATAAACAATATTGTATGTATATCTTGTTATTATGATGGATTTCTCTTAGTGTAGGCCAGGCTCTTCTTTAACAATAATGGATATAAAACTGAATTTCACATAGCTTTGATAGTTTTAATATTGTTTGGCTGACTTCTTGTCAGATGCAATTGGATCATCAGTTTTCACCCCAGAATAAGGTAGAAAAGATCATATGCCAGGAGAAGGAAATACATCAGCTCTACCATTTTCTTGTGTGTGTGTGTGTGCACTCTTTTAATTACCTTAAATCTGTCATTTATTTGTAGGAATGTCAGCAGGATTTTATTAAAACCAGATTTGTAATCCATAACTTCACTGCAGTGAGCGAATGTGGACTGTAAAGCTCTGAGTGATCCCGCAGGTGAAGTGTCCCATCAACTCCTTTCCCACTATAGGATGCCCACCCTCCCTTAGGATACTTCTAATTCTGTATGTGACACTGATTATATGACAAATGGATTGGTGGAGGATTCCAGTGTCGGCCTATGTATTAAGCATTAGTAACGCTGAATTTATTTCATATTTTTGAAGATAAAAATAACTATAAATAGAAATTTTAATATATTCTGTCCACAACCTAGGTGATTCTATTATGTAGCTTCCGGGGTGGACATAGCATACTTTGGGGATGAGGTCCTGGAGTACCACGCTAAGGACATGGAGGCTGCTTCTTGGCTTTGCAGAAAAGCATGCCAAGCTCATTCATGAATATCTGCTATTGTTTCAGGAGGAGAAAATGATAGACTGGTGTCAGATATCCTGATCAAGATCAAAATCCTCTCTTGGCCCCCATGTGGAGGGTGAGAAAAACTAGACCTATCAGACCAAGTGATATTCTTAGCAAACAGGTGTAGGAGCAGAACTGGTATTTATCTTTCTTCATTCTTGGGCCAATCCTCCAGTGCTGAGACTGTTCCTCCTTATTATATCAAGGGAGAGATAAGGAGAGAACTCATCATCATTTGTGTGGATGTTAAAGACATTAAAATGAAATGTAGCTTGTGTAGCTTTGGCCACGGTCTGAGATTTATTGACAACTAGCAGCCAGTTATGATAGCCAAGATGGTTCATTAGCTAGGGCAGACTCTACATTCGTAGATCAAGATTTCTTTGTAGAAAGGAAAAGTGACTTTCTCAGTGCTGGGATATTCAGATTTAGGAGGCTTTTTTGTTCGTTGTTTGTTTTTTCCTTGTTCAGTAGTTCACAGCTAGAAGAGTTCACATGTTCCTAGAGGATAAAGATGCTAAGATCAGCACTGTGTGAAATATGGAAAATCTTAGATTCTGTGGGTGGGGCAAAATGTATTTTCATTGTATTTGTAGGATAGATTCTTCATCTAGCTCATTAATCTGTAGTCGTTTGTCTTTAGGCTGCAGCATTTGACTCATTCATGATTGTGCCATCACTGTGAAGGAAGTGCCATTTGTGACACTGTATCCCTTTTTCTTTCTTTTAAGTGTAGCTAAAGACAGGTTAAGTGCCCTATCATGGTGAAGCAAAACTAAAAATACATGTATTCCAAGGGAGTGTTTGGTCAAGGGAAGCTCGCTTGCTCGCTCGCTTGCTTTCTTTCTTTCTTTCTTTCTTTCTTTCTTTCTCTTTCTTTCTTTCTTTCTTTCTTTCTTTCTTTCTTTCTTTCTTTCTTTCTTTCTTTCTCTTTCTTTCTTTCTTTCTCTTTCTTTCTTTCTTTCTTTCTTTCTTTCTTTCTTTCTTTCTTTCTTTCTTTCTTTCTTCTATTTTTTTCTATTTATTTCTCTTTTCTTCAGTACCCCTTTTCTCTTACTTCTTTCATCCCCTGTCCATTACCCCTCTGTGCTCTTTTCCCCACCCGCTTTCCATTTTTTTTTCCTCCTTCTACATTCGTATGTCTCATCTGTCCAGCAAAAGCACTGATGGTTCTTTGATTTGATGGGTTTAAGTAACTTGTCTAGCCCCAAACAAATCATTTCGGTCCAGGAAGTGAAATACACTAGCTGGGGATGTTTCTTCTGTGATGGAGCCAGGCATGGGGTCTGTTTGCTCAAACTATGTGGACTCCCAAAGGGAAATCAGATATGTTGGGAATGAAGAAGTGAGGGAATGAACACTGGAGAACCAAAAAATTACTGTCTACAACAAATATGATCCATTTTTTCTGAGGAGGGAGTCCTTATACATATACATTATACACCATGAGACCACAATGTAGAACATTAGACCTTGGGCCACTGGGTATCTTGTTTCTTTTCCAGGCTTGGTTCAGTGATCACCCAAGTCAAATGGGTATTTTACTGAGTACTAGAGGGAACGCAGGGACTTCTCCAAGACGTTCTCGGTACCTATATTGAAGAGCAGGGATTTCAATCAGATTTTGGTGATGGACAGATAGAAGAGGGAAACTGCATGAGTTAAAATTTAGTACAATTTTTATAAGCACTGAGTGTTTTTAGAGCACAGTTTTTACAGCAGATGTGCTAGCTTTTACACCTGGTGATGTGAGTATCACTGCTGTTTTCTTCCCCCTTCTGAGGGTCCAGGAGAGAAGGCAGGGTCTGCTCCCTGATTTGGCAGTGAAGGCTGCATATCAGACAGTGGAACCTGCAAATTTGCTGTTATTTATCGCCTAGGGATCCAGGAACTTGTTTGCCTTTCTCTAGGAATGTGGTTTCTCCATTCTACCAGCTAAGGGTCCAGTGTTTTCTGGGGAACGTAGTGTGAAGGGAATCTATACCCCTTTGTTTTAATTTGGCCCTCTTTGAACATCTGCACAAAGCAAAATCTTCACCTGTTCTACGTAGGGAACTGTCGATGGGTTTATTTGTCATCTGCACAGTCTCTCTTGTGAATATTCCAGTGTCTCAAACAGAACAATGGGGAGTTCATTCAGTCTGCTTTCAATGGCCTTGATGTGTGTATGTTTAAAAATTAGCCAAGCAAAGTGCTTCATTTACAGAAAGCATAACTCTTAGTGCTGGTTTATGGAGCTTAAATTACATGCATAATTGAAGCAGATGCATTTGACATAAATTCACCTATTCTGTGCACTTCTAAGTAGAAGAGTCTGCTTATCTTTATTGTTACTTTATTTATTTTTGTAAGTCTTTCAGCACCTAGAGATTGATTTACTTTACAGTGCATTACCTGCCTTCAGGACTTTGTTCATTTCTTTGCCTTGATTCATGAAATATTTTATTGAAACCATTAGTATCTAATTGGAAACATCAGATTGAATTTAGTGTCCTTGATTTGAAATGTAGTAAGTATTAAACGCTAGTCCTATGGTAAGAGATAAATGTCATCTTTACTGTGAGAAATTAACTTAAATATGTTTTATGGTAAAGAGTGATAAAAGGATAAGTAGGGATGCTCTATTTTCCACACTCAGGACCTCAAGTCCTTTTTGTTAAAACACACATGTCACAATTAAGCTACTTACTCATACAAATGAGTGTAGCGCATTTGACAGAAATCATTCTATTCTCTCTGCTCTTTTGTTCCTGGGATCCTCTCAAATGTATTAAGCAGAGCAGCTATTTATGAGGAATCAGAGAACTGCATTCCTCAATGCGGTTTATTTTACTTGAAACTGATAATGTATGCAGAGATTTTGTGATTAAAGAAAATAGATCATGAACTTGATTTTATTAGTGTTCTTAAATGTATAAAAAATAAAAATAGTCTCTCATCTTCCCTTTGCATTTCTCCCGCATTATGATGAGCAAAGTAAAGCTTAGTAGTAGGAAATACCCCCTTGCCTTAAGGGAGTTGGATTTTTCTGCTGCATAGACTTTAGTTTATGGCTCATTTCTCCAAGAGAAACATGTTTACCATAAAGATACGTGGTAAGTATTGGCATAGAATATATGAACCTGCTACTTAGTGTTCTCCATCAGTGCTGTTGTCCATTACGGCTGTGAATAGTTTTAAGTTAAAGGAGGGCAGAGAATTTCAAGAGAAGATTTGTCTGAATTTTCTCAGGGGATGACATAGCACTAATAATTTCCTTTGTCAATTTGTGTCCCTGAGGTTCTGGATAACTAGTCAATAGATTGAAATCAAAGAGAGAAAGTGCCGTTCCTTAATTGATTTTTAATGGAGGGTAAACAGTTCATTATCCTTAATTCAGTAAAGAGCAGAAGTTATTTTCATATGTAGGTAACTTGTTTAGAGGCATTAATGTATGGCTAAGTTTGAGAGGGGGAAAATTACACTTTTAAAACAATTATCTTTGTCTGGTAACCAGTGAAATACCAGAAAACACTGTTGTACCAGTTACATATTGTTGCATAAGAAATTAACTCAAAATTAATGGCTTAACACAGTAAACATTATCTCTCAGTTTCTGTGGTTCAGTAATCTGAGTTCAGGTTATCTGACCACCTGTGTCTCGGGGTCTCTCCTGAGGTTGTGGTCAAGCTGTTGGCTGGGGCATTGGTCTCATCAGAAGGCTCAACTGAAGGAGACTCCATTTCTAACCTCGTTCAGGTGATTGTTGGTGGGACCCAATTCCTTTCAGGTTGTTGGACTGATGGTTTCAGCTTCTTGCTGCCTGTTGGCCAGAGATTTCTCAGTTCCTTACCACAAAAGCCTTTCCTGGAGCAACTCAAAACGTGGCAGTTGGCTTTCATCTGAGCAAGCAAGTGAGACAGCAAGAGTGAGTGAGCAAGACAGACAACAGAGTTTTTTTGTAACCTAAACTTAGAAGTGGCATCTTAGAAGCAAGTCATAACCAAATCCATCTTATACTCAAGGCAAGAGTAAAAAGGCGTGGATTTTAGGTGGTGAGCCACCCTAACATTGTCAGAAGCCATCTTAGAAACTGCCTACTATGTTTACTGACCATGTTTTCAGACCTCATTCCATTAATTAATCAACAAGCACAAATTGAGCATGTTGCTAATAATCTGAGTTCTGCATGTCACATGATTGCTCTTCTCCCCTCTTAAACATGGCCTGTCCTTAGCTTCAAGTCTTTTTTTCTGCCCCCAGGTTCCTTCTGGACATGACATGTTTTTATGCCGTGCATCACTCCCCATCCACACATCCCTCAGTCCAGCGCTGTTTTGGATAACTGGATGTACTGAACAGTGGTTTTTCTATAGCCTCAGGTTTTACTGTAATTTTATCTGAACCTTTCTATACAATACTTTGCATCAGTGCCACCCAGGGAGAATGCTACTGTTTTCATACAATAGTCTATCTGGGTGTACATTTGCAGACCCCATAGCTCTCACTTCACAGCTATGATGTATCATTGTTTTTCTGTAAGTGTAATTCTGTCTCTATGAATTTGCCTATTCTGGATATGTCATACATATGGAATTATGCAATTTATGGCCTCATGAGTTTGGCTTTTTTCACTTAGCATAATACTTTCAAGGTTTCTCACTTTACTTTTACATGCCATTTCACGAATGCATGCTAGTCACAGGAAGAATTGAAAGACGATAACTTGAAGCATATGCCCCCTGAATGGTGGACAAGAGCATTGTCATCTCTGCGGGGGAACAAACCACGTGAACGATGCAAAACCCAAGAGAAAAGCAAGTGGAGGCTTTGCCAGTCAAGTTCATTTCTAGATTAGCCTCTACTGAGACAAGACCCTTCCACTTCTTCCCTCCATCATTCCCTCCTTCCTTTCTCACATCTTTCCCTCCTCTTCTCTTTCCCATCTCCTCTTATTTTTGCCTTCTCTCTCTTATTTTCTCCTCTTCTTTATTCCCCATCTTCGTTTTTCTTCTTTGTTTCTTCATTCTCTCTTATGTTCCCTTTGTGTGAGGGCAGAACTAAAATAGGTTAGTACATAAAATTTCTATTTGTGGGGATTTATCCCACGGACATAGTAAAAGTAATATACATTAACCTGTGATCAGGTGAAAAGTTCAATATATTGACATAAGAGATCAGCTAAAATAAGTATGGCATATCTCTTGGAAAGAATACTATATAGTCATTAAATCATGCTTAATACTGCCACATGACTCTAAGATTTTAATAAATCAAATAGTATTACATGTACTCTGCATTCATCTTTATGCCAAAAAAAAATAAGGTGATACCCTTGAAGTTAGAACAGTTATTATCATAGTATGGGACCATTCCTGGTGGCTTTTATTTTTCTTTGTACTTTTTTTAGCTTCAACATTTTTCAACAATGTTCACGCTTTAACTTTTGGAATCAGATAACAACAGTGGCCAGGTGTGGTGGCTCATGCCTGTAATCCCAGCACTTTGGGAGGCCAAGGTGGGCGGATCATGAGGTCAGGAGTTCGAGACCAGCCTGGCCCGCATAGTGAAACCCTGTCTCTACTAAAAATACAAAAAAAAAAAAGCCAGGAGTGGTGACAGGCGCCTGTAGCCCCAGCTACTTGGGAGGCCGAGGCAGGAGAATTGCTTGAGCCTGGGAGGCAGAAGTTGCAGTGAGCCAAAATCACACCACACCACTGCACTCCAGCCTGGGTGACAGTGCAAGACTCTGTCTCAAAAAAAAAAAAAAAAAAAAACACAGGTAGTAAACATTGTTATTGAAAGAATGCTAGTGGAATAGTTCAGTCTTTGGCAATGAAGCCAGAGATCGGCCTTTAGTATAAAGGAAGATCATTAGGTGACTGATGGTTCTCAAATGGGATGATTTTGTCCCCACGCAGGGGACATCTGGCAATGTCTGGAGGTACTTTTGGTTGTCACACTAGGGAAGTGATACTAGCTTCTAGTGGACAGAGGCCAGGGCTGCTGCTCAGCATTTTAAAATTTTTACAATGTATCCTTCTCTCCCTAGTTAAGAATTATCCAACTCAGGGAGGTGGGAGGGATAGCATTAGGAGATATACCTAATGCTAAATGATGAGTTAGTGGGTGCAACACACCAACATGGCACATGTATACATATGTAACAAACCTGCACGTTGTGCACATGTACCCTAAAACTTAAAGTATAATAATAATTAAAAAAAGAAAAAAAAAAGAATTGTCCAGCTCAAATGTCAATAATTCTGAGATTGAAAAACCTGCTCATTGGCTGGTTTAAATATTTTAAGTTATCTCATTGGCTCATATCAATGGAAGAGGTCAAATCAGTTGAGTTGTCGATATTGGGCATGAAGAATTAATTTACTTTCAGGTAACCTGTAACAATATGCTGACCTAATTATCGAAGGATTTGAGATGAAATCAAACTTCTGTACTCTTACATCTGCAATTCACATAGTTTTCATCTGGGTTGTGTATCTCAAAGGGAAGAAGCCAGGCAATAAATTTGAGGTTAGTCTGTTGATACTAATTTAGGTCACAGAATTCCGTGGAAGAAATTGGTAAAGGTGATTGCCGTAGGAGGACTACTCAAGTCACAGGGAATGAAGAGAGTTCTGGCTGAGGGAATAGTGCCACCTACTGAATTGTGTTTGTGTTTTCTACAGGTTCTAATTTATGCAGGCTTATGCCTGGAAGTGTTACTTTCCTTTATTGATCTTGCACATCTCCTTAAGTAGTCACTGCCAGAACTTTAAACAATATTTAGTTATTATCGGATCAAGGTGTAATTAGAAACAGCTGTGAACAATTGCATACCATCCAGCTCCTGAAGTAGCAAACTAAATTGTACTTGGCCTTGGATTGATTAATACAGATTGTGTCTAGCAATCAAAATAAATCCGTCTCCAGGTAGAGTGCCAGGAGCCATCTTACCAAGATAACACAGAAAGATTAAAAATGCATGAAATGCACCATTTCCTAATGTCGCCAGGTTAAAAAAAAATTAAAGCACAAAGCATTGGCTACAACAAAATTGTCAACATTTTTATCCTTTTTCAAAATTTCAGCCTTGATCTTTACTTTGTGTATTTATGAAAGCATATTTAGAATTCTCTCATCTTTCGCCTAAGTATTTAAAAAAAATCTCTACAGTGCAGTGCATACATTGTAATATACCTATTTAATAATGACAGCATTTTTAGTTAATTTGAAAAATCATTTGGAATTACATATTGAATTGGGTGGGTCAGATAATTTGTTACCATGGTGAATCTCTTCATTGGAATTAAAGAGTTTGTCTCATAAAATTATATGCCTCTGTGTAATATGTTAATTAATGCTCCTAATCAAACATTTAATTACATAATGAGCCTGGATTAATTTGTAACCTGAATCTAAAAGCTAATTCATATAAAATTCAAAATAGTATGTATGAGAGAGAAACTAAGAATTTCTAGCACTTGAAACTTTGTTTTGAAGTTCTAGCAATCCAAGCCGGTAATAAGCAGAAGGACTTCTGGCCAGTTTCAAGGCCAGAAAAGCCGGCAGTGATAGTGACACCGAAAGCTGGATCTCTCATGTTCTTATGCTGAATCATGTGGTTCGAAAGGCAGTTTTATAATGTCGACTGTTTTCTCTGGGATCGTGATAGCCCATCCTGTAAGTACAAAGGAGCCAGAGCTTGAAGGGGACCCCTTCTTCCTGATGTCACACATGGAACATAGATGGTTGTGGTCCTCAGAAGCTCATTGGAGCCATGACCCCAAGGAGATAGAACAAGGCTTTGTCTATTAATTCTTTATCCCCTGAGATAATAAGTGTATCCTTCCTTTCTTATAGCCAATTTTAAGCCTTCCATCTCCCAGAAGTGAGCAGTCTATATACCTTTAAAAGGAGATGGTTCTACCACGTGCCATCATCTGGAGTCCCTGGAAACAAAGAAGTGAATATTCAAGAAACCAGATGCGAGAACTATAAAGATTGTTACTGTCTACATTGCTCTTTTCTAAGATAGCTTAATCCTGCTCTAGAGAGGGTTTGCTCCCAGACAGAAGGATGATAGTACTAGATCATAACTAATCTTCTGCCCACCCTCATGTCACTGTTGTTTAACAATGACTGATATTGAGATAAATGAATATTTAGCACATCTTTCCACCGAGACGGAGTCTTGTTGCATTTTTCACAAAACAAACGCTTTTAAGAAGTGAACGTTGCTTGGCTGATCTTCATCATTTATTCAAGCTGAAATCTTGGTTTTTAATTTACAAATAGGATTAATTACTGAAATTCGTATCTAGTGTGAATATTTGATGATGACTTTTGGAACAATGGACATTTTGCCTAAGCTATGAAATTAATTATTAATACTTCTAAACTTTAGCCAAAATGGTGATTTTCACATGTGGAGATTCTTTACTCTTTTCACATGACTTTGTTCTCATAGAAAAATGTGGCTGGCCATGGTGGCTCACACTTGTAATCCCAGCACTTCGGGAGGCTGAGATGGGTGGATCACCTGAGGTCAGAAGTTTGACACCTGCCTGGCCAATGTGGTAAAACCCCATCTCTACTAAAAATACAAAAATTAGCCAGGTGTGGTGGCACATGCCTGTAGTCCCAGCTACTTGGGAGGCTGAGGCAGGAGAATAGCTTGAACCCGGGAGGTGGAGGCTGCAGTGAGCTGAGATCGCAACACTGCACTCCAGCCTGGGAGACAGAGTGAGACTCTGTCTCAAAAAAAAAAGAGAAGAAAAGAAAAGAGAAAAGAAAAGAAAAGAAAAGAAAAATGTAGTATTTATTTAAAGTGTTTATGCTCCGATGTTATAGGCTGTATCGTGACCCCTCAGAATTGAAGTCTTAACCCTCAGTACCTCAGAATGTGAGCATATTTGGAAATAGAGTAACTGAAGATATAATTAAGTTAAGATGAGGTCATATTGGAGTAGGGAGCGACCTTGATCCGATATGGTGGGTATCTTTATAAAAAGTGGAAATTTGGGCACAGGCGTGCACCCAGGGAGAATGCCATCATGTGAAGATTGGAGTTACACAGCTACAGGCCAGTAACTGCCAGGAGCTCTGAGAGAGGCCCAGAACAGGTTTTTCCCTAGCCCTGGCCTGCCAACACCTTGAGCTTGGATTTCTAGCCTCCAGAACTGTGAGAAAATAAACTTCATTTCTGGCAGACCCAGGAAATAACCCATCAGACATTGCAGACGTTGCCACTGAGTTTAGCTAACACTGGGGGCATCTGCTTTGTATCAGAGCCGAGCTAGGTGCTGATGACGCAAGATGAATTAAGCCCTCCAGGAACACAGTCTAGTGGGGGAGGTGAACAGACATGGATTGAGAACTTTGACGAGCCTCTAAATTCATAGTCACCAGCTTCAACTAGACCCATGAAACTGCCTGACAAGCCTACGAGTTTCCTCATTAACTTGCTCCGCCACATCCCTCAGTGGCTGTTCAAATCACCACTCAACAAATGATCTTTTCCTATCTCTCATGTGGTAGTTTTAAAAAATAATTTATTTAAAGACTTTTCTATGTTTTCTTTAAAAAAGTAAACTCAGAACTTTCCAGAAAGGCAGAGTTTCCTTTTCTTGCTGTCACTGTCCCCCAGGCATCACTTTGCGCCAAGCTTCTGGTCTCTGAGAAGCGCTGGGACTTGCACGTTCTGCAGTGAAAGTTCTGCCTGCCCTGAGAATGCAAGGACGGGTGTCTGCAGCATTCCAGGTGGGCTGAGGGCTGTCTGGCTCTCCAGACAACTCCTTATCAATGCTCTTTGTGACACAGAGAGTTAGTCAAAGTTGTGATTCACCAGTTTAATTACAACCAAAGTTCAAGTGTATTATGTGTAACAGCTTTTAACGCTGTTCAGTAAAAGCGAGCTGAGATTTATTCTGGTGATAAAGCTGAACAAGTACAGGGTTGCCAATGGCTCTTTAAGAGCTAAGTGTCCTTGAGAAATGTTTCTTTCTTGGTGTGACCGTTTCAGTTTCTGGGTGGAGCTGGTCATAGCTTCTTTGCTATAATTTGTGTGAGCGATGTTGCTGGTAAGTTGCCATGGTTACTTGAACCCACTGGGCAGCAGGACAGATTTTCATTATAACGAATGTGAACACGACTAGAAGCCGTGGGTGCTAGTCTCCGGAGGAGCCACCTCCCTTGTTAGCTCATGCAGTCAGCCCCTGCCCAGTGTACATGAGCAAGAGAAACATCTAGTTTGGTTCTCTCTGCTCATCTTAGGGAAGAAACCATGACTAATATGGGGGGAAAAGGGACAAATAGATTGTTGCTAGAAATGTGCTTCTTGATCATACTTGTGCATAACTACTCTTCTGAGATAGTAATGATAAATGCTTTCTAAGCAATTTGGATTCAGTTTAATATAGTTATCCAGAGCCCAATATGTTATCCAGTTGAGGAGAACTGCCAGGCAATGAAATGAAAATTAAGATACTTATTACCATAGTCACATTTAGGTTTGGGTGTGTAAAAGTAGCTGTGATTGCTGATATGGAATTTGCAATAAATGAGCCTCTCTCTCTCTTTTTTTTTTTTTTTTTGAGATGGAGTCTTGCTCTGTTGCCCAGGCTGGGGTGCAGTGGCGCAATCTCGGCTCACTGCAAGTTCTGCCTCCCGGGTTCATGCCATTCTCCTGCCTCAGCCTCCCGAGTAGCTGGGACTACAGGCGCCCGCCACCATGCCCGGTTAATTTTTTGTATTTTTAGTAGAGATGGGGTTTTAAATGAGTCTCTTAAGGAGGCATCACAGCCTGGTGGGAAACTAGCACAAGTGTGGTAGGCTTTGGAGACAGCGGGGCTTGGGCTCAAGTCCTGATTCTGTATTCACCAAGCTGTACACAGTTGTGTGCCTCAGGGCAAATGGTTCAGTCTCTCTAAGCCTCAATTTATTTATCTCGTTATTTATTTATTTATTAAATTTTTGTGGGTATATAATAGGTGTGTATATGTATGGGGTACATGAGATGTTTTGATACAGGCATGCAATGTGAAATAAGTACATCATGGAGAATGGGGTATCCATCCCCTCGAGCATTTATCCTTTGAGTTGCAAACAATCCAATTGCACTCTGTATTTTAAAATGTACGATTCAGTTAGTATTGACTATAGTCATCCTGTCGTGGTATCAAATTGTGGGTCTTTTTTACTCTTTCTATTTTTTTACCCATTAATTTATTCATCTCTTTATGATAAGAATACCAATTTTACAGGGAATAAATAAGGATTACAGAAAATGAACATAAATGCCCTGAGAAATAATAGACATTCAATGCATGGTGGTTAGCTTGTTTATTTTTTAGATTTTTTTTAGCTTAAAAATAAATTGGAATGAAGAAATCCTCATGGTTCTTTGTATAGCGTTTGTCTAATATTCATTAAATAGCTTAGTTTTTTCAAGTGTTGTTATCTGGTGTAAGTCGACTATATTCAAATTAAAAAAACCTTTGGCTTTGAACAGTTTTGTTTTCGTATCAAAGCAACAAAAGTCATAAATAAGTCCATTTGTACATTTCAACTTGAAACGCTTGGAGTTTTATACAGTTATACCCACATCAGAGAGCCTTTCCCTAATTACTGGAATACAACAGCTAGTTGGAGGGAGAAAAGGCAGTGTCACTATTTGGACCAAGATTTAGAAATATTTTTTCTATTTAGGTTTTTAGAGGAAGTTTAAAGCAAATGCACTTTCTAAATTGGATTATACTTGGAATAAGTGCCTTCTGAGAGGTTGCAAATGTCATCTTTTTTCCTGCCTCCCTGGAAATACCTTTAGCTGTTGAGAGCACTTGAAGTTTGGGGGACTCTGGTACAAAATCCCAATCCATTTACCTTTGCTTGAAGGCTTGTTTAGTAATTTCCCCCTAAAATCTCGTAAGGAAAATGCCCTGGGGGAATGGGAGACACACACAGCCCTGCCATCTCCCTGCACACAAAGGGCTTGTAGCTCCATCAGCAGCATCTGCACAGCTGAAGGAAGCAAATGTTCTTGAGGAAGATGAGCTGCATGGTGGCTGGACAAAGGGAAGCCAAAGAGCAGGTATTTGGCAGTTTTCCCAGCACTGCCTGAGAGAGAGAGACAGACAGACAGATAGGAACACCTACAGACAGGCACTGTCTCTGCATATAGGTGTTTTCCAGTCAAATAGTTCATTATTCTTTTTCGTGATCTAGAACTGTAGCTATCAAGTGGAGAAGAGTGTGCTTTAGTCCCTCTGCAACATTTGGCAATGTCTGGAGACATTTTTGTTCATCACAACTGGGGAAGTATTAATGGCATCTAGTGGGTGGAGGCCGGGGATGCCACTGTACAACCTCTGATTCATGGGAAGGCCGTGCCACAAAGAATGATTTAGCCCAAAATGTCGGTAGTGACAAGGCTTAGAAACCTTGGTCACTTGGTCTAGAGAAAAAGCACCCCTTCAGGCTGTCCTATGTCCTTTTCTCTGATCCCCTCTACTCAGAATATCACCTTCTGATGGCTTGTATGGCAGTTTACACAGCTTGAGTCAAAAACAAGATGTCCTAGCTGGTGGCCGATAAGTTTATAGCCTCTACTGGAAATAAACCGGCAATCTTGCTGATTCACAGGTCTCTTACAATTCAAGTCAATTCTCAGTGTGGCCAGTTTTGGATCCCTGAAAAAAATGTAGTAGGAATAATCATAAGTAGATACAATTATTAGGCCCACTTTGCAGAACAGAAAACAGAGAGGTTATGTCCCAGCCAGCAAGAGAGAGGGGGAGTCCCCAAATTCTTTCCCCTTTCCTCCTGGACACACAGCTTAACAACATTTCCTACTTTGTCCTTGGCATTTGGGTGTCCTAAATGATTGAGATCTGAGCAATGAAATGTGGGCAGAGTGGTGAATTCCTAGTCCAAGCGAGGCCCATTAACTGTGCTGATGGCCTTTTATTCTCTCTCCCCGCTGGCATCCAAATAGACAGGGCTTTGAGGACTTGGGGAATGGCGGAGCCACAGACTGGGAGAAGCCTTGGTTCTTGACTTCCTGCTTGGAGGAGCCTGACCAGAAAGCTTCGCCTTATTAGAGTGTTGCATGAGCAAGTAGTAAACTTAGATTGTGTTAAGCCACTAAAATGTTGAGGTAAGTGTGAAAGAAGTTAGCCTTCTCTGACTAATAAAACAATGAAATAGACAAGTGTACACATGAGGTGACATGGCTTGTGGCTAGCTGACTGGGATTATGTGAAGAAATTCACTTTGATCAAATTTGAGCAAAGGTACGAAGAAATTTACAAAATTGATGATGCTCTGAAAATGCTGCTGTTTTTATTTGTATGTACTCTCTTCTGAATCATGTTTAAGAATCAGAGTATACATTAAATCCCTTTATCAGTATTTTACATGATGGAGGAAAGGTTATTTATCTCACAGGCAGCCATTTTAGTGATTTCGGGTTCCTAAACCATGCATGAAGAGTCATTAATTCACATATTATCTCCTAAAAGCTAAGTGTTGCATGTGAGTCTGGGACTTAGCTGAGAAATGTGTAATACACAGGGTTTTTTTTTTTGCCAGACCATTCCCAGTTGGTTGCACATCTCAGGAGCCAAAGCTTATTACTTTCCAAATGGTAATTTAAACTTGTTAAATTACCTCCAGACCTGTCTTTTTTGTGTAGCACAATGGGAAAAACTCAGTGCCTTGGCTCCAAATGCATTTTTAAGAATTCCTCTTTCTCCAAAAGCCTACCTCCTTTGGGACTGCAGCATCATTATTTCATAGGAAATTTGGGCAGGAGCATCTTTTAATGAAAACTTTTTTGTTTTTGTGTTTTTAAAGAGGCATTTACTGTTGCATCTGGCAAGTGGTGTGGCTCTTTCTGGGAGTGTTGCAAACTCGTGATGTAGTCACATTTTAGGATCTTTGCGGGATGGCTTCAAGGAGAAATTAGGCTGTATAACTATGCAGAGAATTGACCTGGTAAACACATTAGAGGTGGATTATCCTCTATTGCTCTCTAAGTAGCACCTGAGGAATGTACAATCCATAGCTATTCCAGAACCTAAGCAGGAACTTTGTTGCCGAGAAACAGAAGCTTCATATTTGCTCAACATGCTCAATTTTCTTCAATGGAGAAAGCCTTCTGTGGTACACCAGCTGCCTGCATGAAGGCTAGGCTCCCACAAGCATGCATTGCACGTGGGAAAATGTGCATGAAGTGTTCATATCAAGTATGAAAAACATGCAATGTTCCATATTAAAAACTTTAAGGAATGGGAAGATTTTCAGCAAAACCGTGTATCCTCATCTTTTATTTTATTTGTATGAATGTGAAACTCCAATGAATGTACTAGGACACAGGAGGACAAGGAGGGAGGAAGACATTTATGTACTTCAGTGTAGTAAACTCTGTAATCTGAACAGTTTTTTCTTGATGTTTTTGTCATGTTCCAAGCAGCAGATTCTGCAACATGGTCTGACCAAATTGGATTTGGGTTGTTAGTTGCGTCAATAATTAATAGAGAAGAACTTTTAAGTATGTTGAGGAAGAACAGGACTGAAAATAAAAGCAGGTTTTTTTTTTTTTTGGCTACTTGAATTAGTTAGGTGGAATGTTATGCTGCAGTAACAAACATCCCCAAATGTCTGTAACCAAAAACAATAAAGGTTTATTTCTTACTCATACCACATACTCATTGCTGGAGGGCTCTGATTCATGTCATTTCTACTCTGAGACCCAAGCTGATGAAGCCTCTTCCATTTAGAATGTCATAGAATTCAGTAACAGTGGGGAAAACCATGGAGGCCCACACATGGATTCTTCAACACTATAGCAAAAATGAGACACACATCATTTTTGCTCAGTTTTATTGGCCAGAGCAAGTCTTGCAGCGAAAGCTAACTTGAAAGAGTAAAGTCTGATCATCCTGATACCTGGAATAGGACCTCGATATTGGTAAATAGTCATACACATTTCATTGTTGCATACCAACAGACACACACTCACACACGTATAGACATTTAGCCTTAAGTTCAAATATGAAATTGACCAGAGGAAAATAAAGACATCTAATTCGGGACAGTTTTAGAATTGTAGCTCAGAATAGGGAGATACACAGTGAATAAGATTCTTTTGCTGGTTAAGGACTTGTTAGTCAACAGGTAGTAGAAATGCATTCAGGGGTCACTTGTCCACCCAGACTCTGTTACAAACTAGCACAATATAATTTGAACTGAGAATATTTAATTTAGTCTTCTCATTAAAAAATAAATTGAATAGAGTTCAGACTAAATTTTGACTTAAAGTTTTTTTTTTCTTTTTGAACAGCAGGTCAAATATCAGTGAGAAATATGTCCAAGGATGTGAAACATTGTTACTGAATCCCATTTTCAAGGTCTGTTGAGTAGAATAAAGGCAAATATGAAGTGTGAGAAAAAGACTTTAATTTGTGATTAGGGAGAACTGAGGGTGGTACTATCTGATTTTATTGCCACAGATATAATCTCAGTTCTTTCTTGTTTATAACTGTTTACAACATTAAGATAACCTCTTAGTGTTATTTTCATTTTCTCTTTCCTCTAACTTTTTTTTTAGTTTTCTTTACCCAAAATAGGGAAAATGCCAGTTGCCTTGGAGAAGTTGGAAGAGACAACACAGCAATAAAATGGAGTTATCCCAGGTTGTGGGAAGGCAGGACAGATGGATAAAGTATGATGAGGAAAAGAGATTGGCTAATATCCATCTAATGCAGCTACCAACAAAAACAAAACCCCTAACTTCCCTTTTGAAACTCCTTGTTAGGTCAAAAAGAAAATAATAAAATTAACTCAGCATGATGCCTGAAGAGTAAACATTTCATTCTACTTTGTTTTTGCCTCAGGTTTTAATTTATCAAACACATACAGAGAAGGTCTCTCGTGCTGCCTTCCAGTCTCGCCATATTTTAACATATAGCAGAACCTAACAGTGCTCTGACCTGCCAAGACAGCCTTCCCTAAAGCAGGTTCATTACCCAGCATTAGCCTACTTTGTGCACTAAAATATTGAAGAAAATATTTGCAAATAATGTAGCTAATAAGGAACTTGTATCCAGAATATATAAGGAAATCTTACAACTGAATAATAAAAAAAGAACCAACTAATAAATGTGCAAATGATTTAAAAAGACATTTTGCCCAAGAACATATACAAAGGGTCAATAAGCATATGAAAAGATGATGAACATCTTTAGCCATTAGGGAGATGCAAATCAAAACTACCATGAGGTACTCCTTTATACCCACTTGAATGAAAAAGACAGATAATAACAAGTGTTGGTGAGGATGTGTAGAAAGTGAAACCCCCAAACACTGCTGGTGGGAAGGTAAAATGGTATTGGCATTTTGGAAAACACCGTGGTAATTCCTTAAATAGTTAAACTGGAGTTACCGTATCACCCAGCAATCCACTCCTAGGAGTACATATCCAAGACAAATGAAGACATATGCCTGTGCAAAAACATGCACAAATGTTCATAGTAACATTATTCATAATAGCCAGAAAGTACAAAGAACTCAAATATCTATCAACTGATAAATAGATGAACAAAATGCAGTATGTCCATAAAATAGTCTATTATTTGGCAATACAAAGAAATGAAGCGTGGATCCAGGTCACAACATAGATGAACCTTGAAAACATCATGCTAAGTGAATGAAGCTAGTCACAAATGACCACATATTATATGATTCCATTTACCTGAAGTATCCCTGAATAGGTAAATCTGTAGAGACAGGTAGATTAGTGGTTGCCTTAGGCTGGAGTGGGGCCTGGTGGTAGGATGGAGTTGCTGCTAATAGATAACGAGTTTTTTTTTGGAGTGATAGAAATATTTTAAAATTAGATTGTGGTGATGATCACGCAACTCTGGAAGTAAACTAAAAGCAATTGAATTGTATATTCTAAATAAGTGAATTTTATATTATATGAATTTTATTTCAATAAAGCTATTTTGTTAAAAACAAAAAACAGTAAGGTAGATTTCACTCAGCTCCAGTACCGAAACATAATGCCGCCTGGGAGGGTTTGCTAGCTCAGTAGTTTATAATGCTGTACAGCGGGTTCCAGTATCTGTCCAAGGAATGAATGACAGCTCTTTACTGTTCCAATGATCAACTTTTGGAGGCCTTTCCCTGCCTCCATTCCACACCACCTACACTGAGATGCCTCATTTCTTGCTTCTTGCTTCAGGGCATAGGGTTGGCTAAAAGTTCATGATATTTTCTAATAAACTTGTTTGAAATGCTGTATGAAAGTCCTCAATCCTGATATCCACTAATGACGATAGTAGGCCTGCTTCCCTTCAGTGTGTTCCACAAATGCTGGCTACCTGCTTGAACAATGTAAATGACTGGCTGTGTGATGCTGGAACCACCTAGAGCTTTATCAAATCTGCCTGCCTTGGTGTGGTCTTGGTCTCACTGTAGGGGGACACACACTTGCAGGGTCAGGCGCTGTGTCCCTGGGGAAAAGCTGTAAAACCCCAGGGTTTTACAGGGAAGAGAAATGTCCTGTTTGGGATTCCAGGGGCAAATCATTCAGCTATTCCTGGGTTCCCTTATCCTCTCTATGCAATGCCCCTGGACTTTTCCCTACCAGAGCCCCACGGGGATATGCCTGCTAAGGCCGTTAAGCCAAATATTGTATGGACTATATTTAGTTAAACATTTTAGGCACATAATACATTTTTGTTGAATCTATTGTTAATGGTGTAAAAACCATCTTTCTGCCACTTTTTACAAAAGAGACCTGAACTACTGTACATTATAAAACCTTTTTCATTAACTTTTTAGTAGAGAAACTCTTCGCCTCAACCAGGATTTTCTGTAAACTATAAGAAAAGCTATTACTAATTCTCTTAAGATGTTTATGAAAAATTTATTTTTAGTAAAAGTGACAGTCCAGATATTTTCATAGCTCATTCTCTAACTTTATTCAGGCCTCTTCTAGAATGAGACTTTTTTCGCAGACTTCTTCTCTGATCACCCTGTCAAAAGCCACAGGGTCCCTATTACTCCCAATCTCTTTGCTCTCCTTTGATTTTCTTTATAGCCATAATCACTCTCTGTTTTCTATTGTATTATTTCTTTATTGTTTATCTCCCTCATGGAATGTAAACTTTATTAGAAAAGGACCATGTCAGTCTTATTCACTGTTCTGTCCCTAGACCTCGATCAAGTGTATGACTTCTTGTAGGTACTACTCAATAAATATTTATTGAATGAATAAACAAATACCTCCCCCCTCCATACACATACTCCTCTCTCCAAAGTATAATTTGAGAGGAGAGCCCGACAGAATACATAGCAAATGAATAAGCCCATTTTCCAATAGTAGTTAGTCATTACCCAGCTTCTAAAAACCTAGGGTCATGCAGAAAAAAGTGGAGAGAATGTAGGAGTTTGTAAGAGCACTCTTATCCAACTCCCTTTTCTGATTAGGAGACTGAGGTCCCAAGTCACGAAGGGACTTACTCATGGTCAGAACAAAATTGAGTGACAGAGCAAAGACTATAGCTTGGATGAAGTGCTTCCTAGGCACATGGTTCCCATTGTCAGAATGTGTAGAACAAAAGTTTTATTGCAAGGTTTAGCCCTTGCAATGAATTTAGTATGCATGAGGATTATATCATAATTATAAGCCAGATATAAACTAGGGAGTGTTGCTTCTTTGAGGTTCAAAAATTACTGTCTGAGACCCCATCTCCCATGTGGTACTCCCACCAGAGATGAATGTGCAGGTGTATGGACAGGTGGCTCTATATTCTATGTGTTTCTCAGGGTTCTCCAGAGAAACAGAACCAATAGGACTTATAACCAATACAATATATCATTGTGTTAGTCCATTTTGTGTTGCTGTAACATAATACCAGAGACTGGTTAGTTTATAAATAAGAGGTTTATTTAGCTCACAGTTCTTCATGCTGGGAAGTTCAATGCGCATGATGCTGACACCTGTTTGGCTTCTGGTGAAGGCTTTTGTGTAGCATCATATGGTGGGAGGTCAAAGGAGGAGTAGACCCATGCAAAGAGGGACAGGAGGAGGAACCTTGCTTTATAACAACTGCCTCTCCTGGGAACCAACCTGTTACTGTGAGAAGTAATCTAGTCTCACAGGGGCAAGAACTCATTCATCACCTCGAGAATGGAACAAAGCCAATCCTGAGGGATCTACCCCCATGACTCAAACATCTCCCACTAGGCCCACACCCCAGTACCTCCATGTTGGGGACCAAATTTCAACATGAGTTTTGGTGGGGACAAATGATATCCAAACCATGACAATGATTAATCTCATTGGGTGTATACATTATACATATATATTGTATATATCTATATATAATATAGATATTATATATATACACAGTTGACCCTTGAACAGCATGGGTTTGAACATTGTGAGTCTAGTTGTATTTGGAATGTCTTCCACCTCTACCAACCCCTAAGACAGCAAGACCAACCCCTCCTCTTCTTCCTCTGCCTCAGCCTGCTCAGAATGAAGTCAATGAGGATGAGAACCTTTATGTTGGCACACTTTGACTTAATGAATGGTAAATGTATTTTCTCTTCCTTATGATTTTTTAATAGCATTTCTTTCCTTTAGCCTATTTTATTGCAAGAATATAGAATGAAATACGTATACAAAATATGTATTAATCAACTTTTTATGTTATTGGTAAGGCTTCTGGTCAATAGCAGGCTATTAGTAGTTAAGTTTTGGGGGAATCAAAAGTTATATGTGGATTTTTGACTGCATGGGGGCTTGCCATTCCTAACATCTGTGTTGTTCAAGAGTCAGCTGTTGTATAGGCAATACCTTGTAAGAAATATCTTTCTAGAAAAAAAATTTATTATAAGATGTTGGCTCACATGATTATGGAGGCTAAGTCCCACGGTCTGCTGTCTGTGACCTGTAGAACCAGAAGAGTTGGTGGTGTAGTTTGTAGGTCTGGGAGCCAGAGACGTGATGGTATTAAGGCCAGTCCGAGTCTGAAGACTTTAGAACCAGGAGCATCACAGGCAGGAGAATATAGATGTCCCGGCTCAAGCACTAAGGCAGAGGGAGTGGGAATCCAACCTTCCTCTGCATTTTTCTTGCTTTTAGGCCCTCAACAGATTACGTGAGGCCTGACTACATTGAGGAGGGTCATCTACTTTACTCAGTCCACAATTCAAATGATAATGTCTTCCAGAAATAACTTCACACACATCCCCAGAAACAAACGTTTGATCAGGTATTTGGTCAGCCTGCTGCTTAGTCAACTTGACACATAAAATTAACCATCATATCCTGCTTCTTCCAAGTTAGTGTAAGGCCATTGATTTTTTGTGTATATGCTGTGCCTTTGACACCTTGCCTTGTTCCCAAGTAGCCTGTAAAGGTATTATGCTAAACCAAAGGAGAAATTATATCATTCCCTTAAGAGGCAAGAGTGTCTTCCATTACTGATGGCTTTAAATAAAGAACAGATGACATGAGGTAAAGCATTTGAATTATTTTCACCCACTGACTACTATTTTAAGGAAATAACTTTTAAGACATTTAAACTCTTCAGGCATTGTCCATTGTTACTGGAGAAATGAAGGGTATGGTAGAAAGTACACAGACTTCGATGGGGATCTTGGCCTTGATATGTACAAAGTATATAATTTTAGACAAATTAATTGATTTATTTAGTTTCCTGATTGTAAAACAGAAAAGAATACAGGGTATTAATAAATGAGATAATACATGTGAAAGTGGTTTGTTCTAGACTGCTGCATGCAAATAATACCACTATTGTGTGAGCACACATTTTTACAGTAGTTTCATTTCTTTAGAAAGTGACTGCATGAGTTCCTCAAGCTCCCTGGCCAATGGCATTCTTTAGTAGCTGAAACCCTGAAAATGATATTCTCTCTGGAGTGCAAAAGGCAGTTCAGGTACAGACAACAAATTATGTGTAATAACTTAGAAGGCAATTTGAGGAATAGCCTGCCCCAGTTGGAATTTTTTTGAGCAGGTACATTTCAAACAATTGGCTAAAGACCTGAGTTCAGACTCTTACTCTTGAGAGATCGATTTCTTTTCGTAGTTATACTGGTCAAGATCTTAGTTTTTTGTTTTGTTTTGTTTTGTTTTTTTTCTCTTGTTCAAAAAGACAGCACTTCATTGGCAAAGATCCTGCCCTTTTAGGCAGGATTGATATATTTTGCTCTCTGAATGTATTTTACTTAAAGTCCTTTCATGTTTAGTACTTTCCCCCAAGAACAATACATCAGCATTATTTGAGTAGCCAGCAAGCATGTCTGTGGCTTTTGACTCTTTTCTCATTTGTGTGGGATGGATAGCATTTTATCTCCCCTATTCATCATTCCCTTTGCTCTTACAAAACTTTGTTGTGAAGCATCTCAAGACACGGGATCAGCAGGACTGTCTTTTTCCTTCATAGAAGAAAGATTAGGATGTAGCGCTATTAAATGACTCACGTGTAGTCTCAGAGCTGGTTAGTGGCAGAGCCAGGATGTTTTCTTTCCTCATAATACTAAGGGCATTGTCTTGGTATTATTCTGTCATATAGGCACGTGAATAGCAGAAATGAAGAATCCTTTGCCAACCCTAGAGAAGAGGAGAGTAATATACTTATGCTTCTCTAAAATAACCTTGCTTAGTAGCACCAATCCTGAGTGTGGGAACATTTCCAAATAAGCTACCACTTTCCATTTCCTGTCATTATTCTGTGTCTACATTTGGAGGATAAAAAGAGATGGATGGTTTGGATGTATAATAGAATGAAAGCAGAAAAATAATGAACAAATCACTTTCTTTGTGATGCATTCATTCATTTATCGATTTACTCCTCAAGTATTTATTGAGTACTTACTATGTGCTAGGTTCTGTTTTAGTCACCAAAGATATAGGAGTAAAGAAAATCCTAAGTATCCCAGCCTCATGAACCTTCCAATCTATTGAGAGAGACAGAAAGGCAATGCATCATAAATCACCCAGTTACTGTGATTGCAATGAGGATAAATGATTGAAAGAAAAGGACAGGGTACCATGAGCTCCTACAGTAGGACATTTCAGCTGAGTGCAGAAGTCTAGGGAAGTCTCCTGAAAAAGGACTCCTTAGCTAAGACTAAAAACATGGGTAGGAGTGTGGCAGATGGTGGAAGCTTGGGGACATGACAAGCAGGAAGGGTCTAGGTAAAGAGAAGAGTTTGAGCAAAAATCTTGAGGCAGCAAGGATCTTGTCATGTTTGAGAAACAGAGATTTGAAGTGAGAGAGCAAGTGGAAGGGCATAAAGGGGATAGGAAGAGGAGTTGTTGGTGATCTTTGGTCTTGGTCTTAGAAGAGCTTTGGAAATCACACAGACTATTTTGACCTCTTTCACACAGCAATGGAAAATTATTAGAATTATCTTTCTAAGCAGACAGGAGCATTATCGGCCTGGCTACAGAGAAAGGAAGGATGGAGAAGGGCAGGACTGTATGAGAGACCCAGTAGGAGATTTTTGCAATAATCCAGGCAAGCAATAATGTTGTCTTTGTCTGGGAAGGTGGCTGGTAGGGGATACAAGCATGGTACATCTTATCCAGATTGTGAAGGTAGATTTGATTAGAGGTAAGACTGGAGGGAGAGGAAGATTTTGATGATAACTCCCCAGACTGGGGCATGGGAGACTGGTGGTATGGCATGATTCCATACTGATGATGAGATCATTAGAACACATTTTTGTTTGTTTCTTTGTTTTGTTGTTTGGAGGGTTGTGGTACAAGAGTTATATTTTGGGCATACTAACCTTGGTATGTGAGTCATCAAAATAGAGATGTTGATCTTGGCTGTATTGATCCGGAGCTCAGAATAGAGAACTGGACTGAAATGATATGTATCTGAGCTATTCACATATAAATAACATATAAAAGCTTGTGGGAGGACGAGGTCAACAGAGAAAGGACACATGAGAAGCGAAGAGGTCCCAGGAGCAGCCCCAAGGAACAGTTGTTTGGCTTCTTAAGATGTGCATTACAGGAGGTCATCACTGACAAAGTTTAGGGTGGGGACAGCAAAGTTGAAGGCAGTGTTTAGAGATATGGAGGAGAACCTTGCAGAGGAAACTGAAAAAAAGCAACTGGGGTGGAAGGTGAAAAGCCAGAAGAGTGTGATGTTGTGGAAGGCAACTGTATTAGTCTGTTCTCATACAACTAATAAAGACATACCCAAGACTGGGTAATTTATAAAGGAAAGAGGTTTAACTGACTCACAGTTCTGCATGGTTGGGGAGGCCTCACAGTCATGGCAGAAGATGAAGGAAAATCTAAGGCACTTCTTACATGGCAGTGGGCAGGAGCGAGCTTGTGCAGAGGAACTCCCATTTATAAAACCATCAGATCTCATGAGACTTATTCACTACCATGAGAACAGCACGGGAAAGACCCACCCCCATGATTCAGTTACCTCCTGCTGGGTCCCTACCATGACACATGGGAATTATGGGAGCTACAATTCCAGATGAGATTTGGGTGGGGACACAGCCAAACCATATCAGCAACACAAGATATGTGTGGATGCTGCCGAGTGCGTGGGCAGGATGAAGTGCCATGAGGATCATGGGTAACCCAACCTCAAGCTGGATGAAACACTAAAGCATAAAGACTCAGCATCCGATTTTGTCCTAATAACTAAATGGCTCATTACTAAGCTTTGTAGAATTTCTTCTTCTGAATATTTATTAATTTATTTATTTTGAGACAGAGTCTCGCTCTGTCACCCAGGCTGGAGTGCAGTGGTGCAATCTCGGCTCACTGCAAGCTCCACCTCCCAGGTTCACGCCATTCTCCTGCCTCAGCCTCCAGAGTAGCTGGGACTACAGGCACCCACCACCATGCCCAGCTAATTTTTTTTTTGTATTTTTAGTAGAGACGGGGTTTTACCGTGTTAGCCAGGATGGTCGTCTCCATCTCCTGAACTCGTGATCTGCCCACTTCGGCCTCCCAAAGTGCTGGGATCTTCTGAATATTTTTAATGATTAAAATGATTTTTAAAAATATTTCACCTGGAAGCTAGTTGAAAATAGAATGAAACCCATGAAGCAATTAAAAAATGAACTCCACTGACTCACCTCTGGATTTTGGGGCAGTAGAAAACCAATGTAGTAACTTGAAGTCAATACTGTTTCTGTATTGCCAAGTTCAAGGCCTTAACAAATTAAAATATTGAAAGTAGCTTTTCCAGTCTGAGTAGACAATGTGGGGCACACCTGGTGTGTCAGTATTGTAAATTGATATTCATGCAGTTTCCTGATTGACTTTTTTGAGTCTTCAATATGAATGGAGTGGAGTCTAAAAAATGAGACTTAGGTGAAAGATTTTAGAAACACAGGTTAGGAAATAATACTACTTGAGGGATTCAAACCATGTGTTTCCTCTACTTAAATTCTGCTTTAAAATGTGTAGTTTACAGTAAATTTTTATGGTTAGTGCTATAGAACCTTCTTCTTCTTCTTTTGTTTTTCTTCATTTTTTCTTTTTCCTTTATTTCTTTTTCTCTTCTCTTCTTTTTTTTTTTTTTTCTCCAGAGTAGCTGGGACTATAGGTGCATGCCACCATGTCTGACTAATTTCTAATTTTTTGTAGTGACAGGGTCTGGCTGTGTTGCCCAGGCTGGTCTCAAACTCTTGGCTCAAGCAATCCTCCTGCCATGGCCTCCCAAAGTGTTGGGATTACAAGTCTGAGCCACAGTGCCTGGCCCAGAGCCTTCTTTAATTATTATTTAGGTGTTACACACCTCAATGAGGAGTGTACCTAACCTTAACCCTAACCCTGACCCTCAGTGAGGAGTGTAGCTGCTTGTTTTGGTTGATTGGTTGAGCTTGTCACATAAAAGAGCAAGGTAAGATAGGAAATTGAATTCTACATTGGATATGAATTTCAGGTATTCTATTATTCTTGCAAAAAATTAAGATGTTATAGACTCTGACTTTTTCATTGTTCAGTAATAACATGTGAAAAACGATCTGGAGAAAAACAACAAAATTTTATAATTCAAGTGAAATTAGGTCTATCATTGACTAAGAGTCAGGATAGTTGGCTTTTATAGATCCAATAAAAGTGTATGGAAAATCCATTGTGCAAATTTCTAGAGCTTCATAAGACACAGGTCTTTGTTTCAGGGAGCTCATAGTTGAGTGGAAGAAGACAAGTGTATATAAATAATTATAAAACAAGGAGGTGTTGATTTTTATTACAAAGATGTGTTTTAGAAACTCAAGAGGAGGGTAGAATGTTGTGGGAGAGGATGCACAGAGGATATAATAAAGTGAACTGAGTCACAGTCAATGCGAATAGTGAAGGCTTGTAGGAGGAGGGAAGGGTCATTTGGCATGCTTAGCATGAAGTTGCATCTAGTGGAATAGAGGGAGATGAATTTGTCAAGGTAGAGAGTACCCCAATTGTGAAGGACCTGCCTGCCAAGCTAGGGGGCTGTTGAGCAATTTCAAATGATTGACAGGTACTTCTTGTATTACAGGGCATAATCTCTGGCAAGGTTTAGGATGGGGAGTAGGGTTAGAGGCAGGGGACTGGTTAAGATACCATTACAGTGGTCCAGGTGAAGCACAGGAGAAAATTACCAGTAAAAAGACAGCTGCACTTCTTAAATAGAACAGAAGTATCCCTGAAAAAAATATAGATCTGGATTCCAATTTCAATTTTGTAACTATATTAGAGTTCTTCAAAGAAACAGAACCGACTGGATGTATGCATGTGTTGTGTTGTGTGTGTGTGTGTGTGTGTGTGTGTTTGTGTGGAGAGAGAGAGAGAGAAAGAGAGAGAGAGAGAAAGAGAGAGAGAGAGAGAGAGAAAGAGAGAGAGATGCTGGCAAGTCCAAAATTTACAAGGTAGGCCAGCAGGCTGGAGACCCAGGGAAGAGGTAATGTTGACGCATTACTTCTTCTTCCAGGGACGTCAGCCTTTTTCTATTAAGGCCTTCAGCTGCCTGGGTGAGACTGACTCCCATTATGGAAGGTCATCTGCTTTACTGTAAATCTACTCATTTAAGTAGAAATTTCGCTCATTTAGCATCTGAAAAATACCTTCACAGAAACATCTAGAATAAAGTTGGACCAACTAACTCTCTGGGTATGGTGGCTTGGCCAGGTTGGCACATAAAACTAACCATCACCTTCCGTGTTCTTGTTCAGCTGATTGAGGTTCTCTGAGGCTAAGAACCAGAATTTAAACATGGGAGCCAGAGGACCTGGGTTTGAATCTCAGCCCATTATTACCCTCAGGTTATTGCATCAATTAGTTAGCCTCACTGTGCCTCAGTCTTCCCATCTGTAAATATGTATACACACACACACACACACACACACACATATATGCATACACACATACACACATACACAAACAACTAGGCCTTAAGTGACACTGATGGTTATGTATTTATATATATATATATATATGTATACACACACACATACATGTATATATATATACACACATATCTATGTGTGTGTGTGTTTGTGTGTGTATATATATGTATGTGTGTGTATATATATATAAATATATATATATAAATATATATAAAAAATAGTAGGGGCTCCAGACATTAAAAGTAATTTGCCTAAGGTCACCTAGGCCTTAAGTTACTGTGATGGTTACATACAAGTTAAGGAGTATTACTTAATTTATTTTAAGATTCTAAAATTTTAGATCTACAAGGTGCCCTTGACATCTACTCCAACAAATTCATATAGTGGATGAGGAGTTCGCGGTAACTTGCTCCATTCATACAAATAGGTAACTATGCTGTTCTCTTTCAGGATGCCATGCTGTGCAGTAGATATTTTCCCCAAAGTGCACTAAATCAAATTTCCATAGCTTCAATCTTGTTTGAAACATTCTAGGAGACGTTCCTACTTTACTCTCACATAGAGTCTGCTGGGAATTTAGATATTAGCATACGTTACTGAATTTCTGTGAGATAGATAGAGATAGGGCCTTGGTATGAGACTCGCCTATACAGAGAGAAGCTTCCAAGCCACAGGCAAAATGAAAACATTGTTCATGACTGTTTTCTGAGCAGCACTAGCATCTGTGAGCTGATTTTAGGGTTTTGTCATTCCCCATCAGGTGTAGGGTTTTCAGAGAAAGACAGTGACTCATTTTTCTTAAAAAAAGTTGTAGAGGCCAGGCATGGTGTCTCACACCTGTAATCCCAGCACTTTAGGAGGCCAAGGCAGGCGGATTGCCTGAGCTCAGGAGTTTGCGACCAGCCTGGGAAACATGGTGAAACCCCGTGTCTACTAAAATAAAAAAATTAGCCAGGCCTGGTGGCAGGCACCTGTAGTCTCAGCTACTCGGGAGGCTGAGGCAGGAGAATGGCATGAACCCGGGAGGCAGAACTTGCAGTGAGCTGAGATTGCGCCACTGCACTCCAGCCTGGGCGACAGAGCAAGACTCTGTCTCAAAAAATAAATAAATAAATAAATAATATTTTAGAAACACATTACCCCTTCTGTTTAGGAGGTGCATTTCTAGATGTGATGTTCACTAATACAGCTGAGTACATTGCTAAGGAGCGTTTAACGTTTCAGTGGTGAACTCCAATGATGGTGTAAGTTACTTGGCAAAACAATCATCAATGGCATTTTCTTCTTAGTAGAGAAACTAGAAAAAATAGCCAATAGAATCAAAACTTAAAAATAATTCTTCCTCTCTAGAATGTGGTTTTGTTTAGTTTTGTTTTGCATATAAGGAAATAATAATAATAATACAAAGTTTATGTGGATCAGTGTGAACTGAAAACTTTGCATGATTGAAATCGTTTTAACATCGAAATAATGGATAAAAAGTTCTTAACAAGGCCAGTGGACATTCTTGAATTAGCCATCACATGCTATCCAATAATTGGAGCGATGTGCTAATTTACTGTCGTGCAGCTCTGAAGATTTTATGACATTCAGACACTTATCTTTTCCCTCAATCACAGCAATTCAGACAGGATATTCATCTTTGAAGCTTTAGCCAGCCTTTCTCTTTTCGTGCTAAACCCTCTAGAATGTTATCTCTGGCATTTTGAGATAATTTTTGAAAGGTTATTTTCAAATTGCCTTCATTCCTATTTTGATGTCATTTAACTTATCACATGATGAGAACATTAGGCTCACTGCTGCCTTGGAAAGATTGTTTTAAATCCACTTTACTTCGCTATCAGTATATTCTTTATTAAAAGGCTTAAAAGTATTTAAAATAAGTCCATTACCATTTTTAGGGTCTCATTTTGGAATTGTTTTTATTGTTTCAGGGGCACTGAATATTCAATTTGTATAGAAAAAAAGACAAGTAAAAGTATTCATTTTCTATTACTTAAGTTGGGATAAAGGGAGTCAAAAGTGATCCTGTTTGAATTCCTTGGCCTTAATCCCATATCTTTCCCCCATCACTTTGTGTTTTCTAGAAGGCAGATTTCAAATAAATATAAAATATCTTAATTGTAGATTTTTGCGTCAGAACAATATTACTATATGTTTCTATGACTTAATTCTTGAGACAGTGAAAACTCCAGTCTAATCGATGTAATAGTTATAATGTAGATGTACAGGACATTCCTCAGTACTTTTATTTGGAACTTCTTTCCTGCCTCACTCCTACCTGGGTCAATATCCAGACAGGATGCCTCTGCCCCTGCCTGTGGCATCGCTGCTCCTTTGCCATCCCTCCATGCCTTGGGCTCTGTATTAGTCCATTCTCACTGCTAATAAAGACATACTCGAGACTGGGTAATTTATAAAGAAAAAGAGGTTTAATGGACTCACAGTTCCATGTGGCTGGGGAGGCCTCATAATCATGGTGGAAGGCAAAAGGCAAGTCTTCCATGGCAGCAGATAAGGGAGAGAATGAGAATCAAGTGAAAGGGGAAACCCCTTATAAAAGCATCAGATCTCATGAGACTTATTCACTACCATGGGAACAGTATGGGGAAACCGTCCCCATGATTCAATTATCTCCCATCAGGTCTCTCCCACAACACATGGGAATTATGGGAGCTACAATCCAAGATGAGATTCGAGTGGGGACATAGCCAAACCATATGAGCCTCCCTCCTATCTGCCCTACGTGAGTGAGCAGGGAGGAGAGCACAGGACGTGCAGAAGAGGAAGATGTGTCATGGCACTGACTATGCATCCTTCCTGTCCTATGGGTACCACCAACATCCCAGCCAAGGACTGGACAATAACTGCATTGTGACAGGCTAGAGATAACATTCTAGATATTATCATATATAGCATATAATAATTACTATATTATCTAACCATTTTCATCAAGATTTTTAGAGTTCCTCTTTCACCCATACAGTTAATGATTCCCTGTTGCCATCTCTGATATCAAACTAAGGTTTGGCAGCACTTTGATGACCGATGTTACAGCATTTTCAGCATGCAATCTCGGCCCCCATAAGAATGTCCTCCCTGGTGCTATATTCTGTGAACTGCCCCTTGGCTGTACCTCCCATTCCTAGAGAACCTCTTCTCCTCTTCCCTCACCTGATCTTGCCTCCCCTCAGATACAGACACTTCCTGTTAATTAGGACTCTTGTCTTGGAACTACTGCTTAGGTAGGATGACTCTTGTCCTCATCTATCCCATTTTGGGGTCCTCTTAGCTTGTCTTCCCAGTGGTGGTGGGCTTTCATCACTTCCACAGCTAACTCTGAGTCCTGATTCACCCCACAGCCAGGAAGGCGCTTGGACATCCATGGCACATATCATAGGAAAAGGAACAAGGAACAAGGATTAAATCACGTAAAACCTAGAGGTCTTGTTAACACGCTTGTCAGGCTTTCACATCAGCATAAGAGTACTACTAGGTTACAGCGTCTTTAGGTCTGAAGTTGTCTTGTAGGGTGGGAGTCCAGGCATCTGCCCAGCAGAGGAGGCAGCAGTCTTAAAGCTCCTTTCAGCAGACAGAAACAGGTAGAGTGACTCCTCCAATTACTGAGTAACTAATTGGAGTCCTCTTTAATATGTTCTGCATGATAAGGTGGAATATCTTAAAAACAGCTTTGGTATTTAAAGGGAAAAAACTGTGGTTTGTTATATGGGATAGCTGCAGTGATTGAATCTGCTCTTCACTGATGCTCTGCAGCCCTGGCTACACAATATATGCAGCTGCTATTTATTCTCCAGACATGGATCTGTTGGGTTCATACATTTTTTCATACATTCCAGGTGTTACATCGATTTCTTTTGGATGCATGCATTCTAATTAAAAACATAAAATATGATTATGTCAAATAATTGTAACAAAAGTAGACAATATCTCAGTTTCCTGTTTATGAGCATTGCTCTACTGGCCCTCCCTTAGTAGCAGTGGTGATTTTGGGGGTTATATTGACAGAGGTCTTAAGTCATCCATCTCCTCTGGCCTGATGCCTTCTGTGATGGGGAGCATGCATTTGCAAAACAGTGGGTGGGAGGTAATCATGCAGTTTGTACCTGTGGACTGGCCCATGTGGGATTCCGCACCACAGCCAACAATGAATTAACATGCCGACTAGCGTGTGACTGACATACACAGGTTTTTCTGCTCCCCTAATTGCCTAGAACATTTCATGCTTTTTTTTTGACTCCTTGCCATGAACACAGAAATACACTATATTAGAACTCGGGGGTTTCTGCAGCCCGAAGAGCTTGAAATCACCCGTAACCCAAAAGGCTCTTAATATTCTATATTGAAGAAGATTCAAAGAATCTCCCCAAATAGGTGATTCGGCTACCAAATTACCAAGGTGATCTTCATGAGGGTTTTTCAGCAGAAAATGTCTTTAAGGATTTAATCTACTCTGTGCATTTTTAGCTATGTAATCACCTAAAAGTCTCGATATTAGTGAGCTTCCTCTCGTATTTCATTTCTAGAGCTTTGATTGCACTGAATTAACCATGTGATATGACCCAAATATCTCCTCTGATCTGTACCTTGTCATCATAAAATCTAATTCATAGAATGCATTTTGCCTTTTAGAAGTATCCCAATTTTTGCTGATATCATACAGAGAGTACTCAGGTACTCACAGCCTCATTACTCTATTATTGAGCCTGGCTTATGAGAGACTTCAGAGAATTTAGGCACTTTTTTTTATTCTTCTCAGCAGCAGTAGCAGAAGATGAGCTGCCCATCACTCAGACGACTGTGTCCAGGCTCCTTAGACAACAGGGATCTCCCCATAGGCTGGCCTCTCCCTGCTTCCTTGCCATCCCTCTCTGACTCCTACTTCATATTCCGTAGTTGCTAGAGTCCCAGATTCTTTCACACCTCTGTGCCTTTACTTGTGTTGTTCCTTCTGCCTAGACTGTCTTTTTCTACCTTCTTTGAAACATTCCTATAATGCATTCTTTATGACTTTGCATAGACACCATATCCTTCAGGAATTGCTCTCTGATCCTCCCAGGTAGGGCTGGCAGACTCTATGTAATCCCAGGGACACCCTGTAGAATATCTCTTGCCTCCCCTTGCTGAGATAAGCCATGTCCCTCTCTCCTCTGCTTTGTGCAGTGCTGGGTCACTGTTTGCTCCCCCATGCATTGGTGTCATCTGTCACTCAGTGCTCTATGCTCAAAGTAGTAGTTACAGGGTGCGTAGTGATCACTAGCTGAGCTCTACTGGAAACACTGGACTCTCCTAATAAACTAATAAACTGAGTTAAAAAATACATTAAAGCCACAGCTGAAAAAGATAATTTTTAAAAAGGATTGCTTCTGATCTCTTGGATTTCTGGGACTAACTCTTACATAGGAGTCTAACCCAGTTAGCAAATAGTGTATTCAATAAATGGAGTGAAACACATAAATGTTCTTTTTAATTTTTTTCTTTCTTTTCTTTTCTTGTTTTAAATTTCAAGACCATGTACAGTTTTTGTCAAGGTCAAGAGAGCTGAGAAGGCTAAATAATTTGATGTCGGTGTGTATGTGTGTTGCACGGATTTCTGGTCATTCTTGTTTTAAGATGGCAAAATTCCACAGCCTTTGAAACAGTTGTCTCGTAAATGCTTTAGATGAGAGCTTCTCAAGCTTTAATGTGCCACCCAAATACCTGGGACTCTTGTCAAAATGCAGATTCTGGATCTGTAGCTCTGGCAAGGGCCCTGCATTTTCTAACAAGCTTCCAGGGGATGCCAATGCTGCCGTTCCATAGAACACATTTAGAGTAGAGACGCGTTTGTATGCTGAGGGTGTCTCACTATTTTCAGTGGGTAAGACTTTAAAGCCAAATTATTTTCTCCTGTTTCAAAATGCTCAAATATAAAAGCACCGTCGACAACTTGATTATAAGAAACCCAAGTAAAACTCATATTGTTGTCTGTCTAGGCTTTTGAAGGACCTTTTTGTAGTCTAGGCAAGTTTATGTGACATAAACAAGACGTGCTGCATCCTGATGAATTTCAGCTTTTTTCTTTTTTTTTTTTTTTTTGGTGATATATTTAGAGTGAAAGGAGACACATCTCACTGTTCTCTTTAAGAAAATTCTACTGAGAGGAGCTGGCAATTTTGTGGCGTTTCCCAAACCATTTCATTGTCTCCTATTCCCATTGAGTGAAGAGTAGAATATCCTTGTACCTGGAGATTAAGAAGTCTTTCCCACTGGTTCCCCAAAACCCCTGTGCATTAGTTTCTTAGGGCTACTGCAGCAAAGTAGCACAGACTTGGTGGCTTAAAACAACAGGAACTTATTCTCTCCATTCTGGAAGCCAGATGCTGAAATCAAGGTGACAGCAGGGTCACGTGGCCATTTTCCCCAAGAAGGCTCTATGGGGGACCTCTTCTTTGCCTCTTCCAGCTTCTGGTGGCTTCTGGCATTTCTTGGGTCATGGAAGTATGACTCTAATCTCTACCTCCATCCCCATAGGTCCTTCCTCTCCATGTGTTTGTGTGTCTCAAATCTCTCTCTCCTGTCTCTTATAAGGAAACAGTCACTGGACTTAGAAGCCACCCTAAATCCAGGATGACCTTATCTGTAGATCCTTAACTCAGTTACATCTGCAAAGACCCTGTTTCCAAATAAAATCATGTTTGCAGGTACTGGGGGATAGCAATTAGACATATCTTTTTGGTGGACATCATGCAATCCACTGCATCCTAGTTCCTTGAATCCATAATGGATCCAGAATATCAAGACTGGTGTCTGAGTCTGTTTGAGCTCCTATAACAAAATACAATGATTGGGTAGCTTGTAAACAACAGAAATGCATTTCTTATGGAAATTTATTTCTAGACTGGGAAGTCTAAGATTAAGGTACCAGCAGATTTAATGTCTGATAAAGGATTGCTGTCTGCTTCATAGATGGCGCCTTCTATGTGTCCTCACATGGTGGAGGGGGTGAGCAAGTTCCCTCAAGCTTCTTTTGTGAGGGCACTAATCCCATTTATAAGGGTCCCACTCTCATGACCTAATTGTCTCCTAAAGACCCTATCTATCAATACTATTCATTGGGGATTAGATTTCAACCTATGAATTTGGGAGAGATAAAAACATTCAGACCACAATTGCTGCAAAAGAATAATTCATGCAAATACCCTGTTCTTTGCAGAGCACAGTAAGAGATGCTTTGTCCCTGAGTTTCAAGGGAGGGATTAGGAAGGTGTCTATGCCATAGTCTCTGCTCTCAAAGTGGTAATCATGATAACTAGAGAAGAAATAATGAATAGTTACTGGATTTTTATGAGTGATAGTCTGTAAAAGGGCTTTCTTGAAAGTTTTTGTTTAATCTTTCCAAATATGAGATAACCTGTTATTGAATGATATTACAGACTTATTCCTTCATTTATAATATATTTTCTTTAGATAATTGGCCTCTGTTTATTTCTTTCTTTCTTCTTCTTTTCCCTTTTTTTTTTTTGACGGAATCTCGCTCTGTTGCCCAGGCTTGGAATGCAGTGGCGCAATCTCAGCTCACTGCAAGCTCCACCTCCCGGGTTCACTCTATTCTCCTGCCTCAGCCTCCCAAGTAGCTGGGACTACAGGCACGCGCCACCACATCTGGCTAATTTTTTGTATTTTTAGTAGAGATGGGGTTTCACCGTGTTAGCCAGGATGGTCTCGATCTCCTGACCTCATGATGTGCCTGCCTCAGCCTCCCAAAGTGCTGGGATTACAGGCGTGAGCCACTGTGCCCAGCCATGTTCTTGGAAGTAATATTGATTGGGGCAAATGCCAATTCCAGCTGTTTACTGGACTTCCCTGGGTCTCAGTTTCCTCATCTGTAACTGGGATAGTAGTCTTTCATGAGGACTGATATGAAATGATGCACATAGAGCCCTTAGCTCAGGGTCTGACCTTTCTCTCAAGCATTCTGCTAGGTACTGTACACATGAGAGTTCAGGGCGACTTGGGAACTGACAGTACTCAGCAGGTGAAGCCACTGGTGGCACTTGAACAATTGTAAGGGCTGTCAAGTTCACACTCCTTGCCCCTAGCCCCACCCATTTACAAAGAACTTTAAAAAATTGCATATCTCAGATCCCAGGATCAAATTCATTTTCAAATGGACTGTTTCCTTCTCTCTTGAGGGGAGAGATTGGGTTTAGCCTTGCTGAATTGGTTATTCAGCTTTTAGCTGCCTGCAGCAGAAGGAAACTCACTGTCGGTGATTGAATCTCCCCTGGGGAGGATGGGCCGCTTCCTTTCCACATGGCGCTGGTCTGAGTGAAGTGGGACCAGATCAGATTAGAGACCAGGATAAAGGAAGTGCCCCCAATCTCCCTGGCTCATGGAAATTCCTTCCTATTATTCTGAAATGGAGATAAATTATGTGATAACATGTTACAACGTGGTGATCCCTCTTGCGTAAGGATGTTTCAAAAGTCTATTGGCCAATAATAATGATAAAAAATCTTTGTTTCACAGAATGCACTTGCTACATAAACATTCAGCAGGTTAACTGACGCACCACAAATTCTGTTTGCTGCTTGGGAATTTTGTCAGAGCAGTGCGTTTGTCTCTGGGAACATTTGTGTCTGTGTCTGTCTGTATTTTTCTAGGTGAAGAAATTCAGGCCTATAAAGAGTTGGGAACTTGCCTAAAACCTATGTTGTTTATAGCTAGCAATGTGGCTTGCCTCCTTATGTGCCAGGTGGGATGTGAAATGCTTCACATGGGTTATTTCTTTTCATTCCATCCTTATAAGTCAGGCACTAATATTGCACCTATTTCATAGGTAAGAAAGTCAGCCCAGAGAGGCAGAAGTTCAGAAGCGATAGAGTCACTTCTCCCAGGTTCCATGTCTGGGAATCCATACAGATAATGTAAGAAACTGAGAGTCTCAGCAGGGCATTTCTGAATGAGCACTGCCTAAGTTGGGATTATGTAAGTTGGAAGCTTATTGTGGTAATTAACAAGTTACTATGGGTTAAGGCAACAGAAGAGACGGCAAAAGATAATGTATGATTAATTCCTAATGAGTGAAACAGCCAATACTCACTATATGTGCTCAAACTAATAGGAGTACACATTTGTATTTTTAAAAATTAGATAAAACATATAGTTGGTTATTCAAAATCAGCTTAACATCCCTCTATAATTTTCTACCACAAAGTCAATTCTTAATCTGTTTTCAATTGCATTGTTCAATATGCTGTTCATAGTAAACATTTCCTGAAAACATTGACATTTACAGTGTGGCTTTGTCAGGCTAATTCATACTTACCCCACAAAGACATGTGCTGTGGTGGTTCAAGGGCAATTTAGGTGAAAGGTTGTCTGTAGCACAGGCTGAACCAGATAAGCCAATGACATGGCAGGCCATGTGAATTTCCTTGCTTCGCTTGTTATAAACCGAGACCGACTTGAGAAATTAGATAGCTGCCTCTAGAAACTCAGGCTCTTGTAAAAAAATAAACAAATAAGTAAACCAGCTAAGGTAGAATTACTTGTACACTGAGATCAAAAGCCTAAAAGCCTAATAAGAAACATCAACCTATGGTCCTAAAAGCCTAATAAGAAGCATCTTGTTTTCTTTGATGATCCAAACATGGGCAGTGGAGAGACGGCTGGCAGAATCACCAATCTTGGAGAATTCCTGGGTTTGTGAAATCCAGCATAGGCTGGGTGTGGTGGCTCACGACTGTAATCCCAACACTTTGGGAGGCCAAGGTGGGTGGATCACGAGGTCAGGAGTTCAAGACCAGCCTGGCCAAGATGGTGAAAGCCAGTCTCTACTAAAAATACAAAACAATTAGCCGGGCATGGTGGCGGGCACCTGTAATCCCAGCTATTCGGGAGGCTGAGGCAGAGAATTGCTGGAACCTGGGAGGTGGAGGTTGCAGTGAGCCAAGATCACACCGCTGCACTCCAGCCTGGGTGACAGAGCGAGACTCTGTCTCAAAAAAAAAAAAAAAAAAAAAAAATTCCAGCATATAAGTCTAGGCAGTCTAGGCTAATTTCCATAACCAGTGACCTTGAAACTTCCATGGCTTAACACAGTTGAGTCTTTATTTCTTGCACACAGTGAAGTCCAGTAGGGCTGTCAGTGAGAGGGCTCTTTGCTAGGGTTCAGGGTTTCAGCTCTTGCCATCTGGTCACTTCATCCAACATGCCTTGGGGCTTGTCTTCCTCCCCTGGATCCTCAGCATCTGGTAGACAAAGGAAGAGAGTATGGACCATGTGTCTGTGCGAAATGTGACTCACATCAGCCCTTCCCTTGTCCCATTGACAAGTGCCAGTCACATGACCCTACCTTGCTGCAGGTACTGGGGACTGTCATCTAGCAGGCTGTCCAGGCCTAAGTGGGGGACTCTGATGTTGGTGGGCACCCGAAGTTTCTCCCACACCTAAAGACTTTTTAAAAAATAGAAATATGGCCATCTTATGATTATCATCCCTGATTCAAAAAGAGGAACCTTTGCCCGGAAGAGGTTAAGCTCTGTTAATATTTGATATCTGATGAGCAAGCCTTATTCTCCCTGCCTGTAAGATCTGAAATTTGAATCCCAGGGTAACCTCCTCTTCGTCAACTTCCTTGGTCCTGAGAGATTGAATAAAGTTGCTGCTAAGATTGGGAGGGACTTTGAGGCTTTAGTACCTGAAAGACAGCATCTTCTCCAAACCCTCATGGAGGCTGTCCTGGGTGATGAGCCGCATGGCAGGTGGAAATCAGCTTTGCTGGGCTTGGATCCTTCCAGGGCACTCTGTGACTGGCTCTGCCCACTCTGGGCATCAGTTTTGACTCACTCTAATTGTCAGGTAGAGGCCCCTCAGGACAGTTGCCATCTATAACAGGACCTAGAGGGTTCTATTAAGATGACAGAGGGATTTGATGAGAATGAGCCCTCACTCTGTGATAAGAACAACAAACATCTCCCTGCCAAGTTATAGGCAGCACCAGAAACGATGCAGACCAGCTTCTGGTGTCAGTCTTCCATTTCTCTTCCCTAAGGAAAAGCTGCAAGCTCTGAGCTAGTTTGGAGAGGAACCGTCTCTGCTTAAGTCTCGCTTTCCTCCTTTTACCTGTGGGCCCACATGGTTCTTCCTCTTGATCAGCTTCTCTCTTCAGAATTCTAACTAGTGAGTCTTCTATTAACAATAGCTTCTTCTTGCTGCTGTAATAAATGACCACAAACATAATGGCTTAGAACAGTGCAAATTTGTTTACTTTTTTTTTTTATTTGTGATGAGTCTTTAAATGTATTTTTTTTAACTTGTTATAGAACAGTTCTATATAGTGTTCTACATAGTGTTATGGAAAACACAAGCTTGTTCTCACACATTTATGCAGGTGAGAAGTTTAGGATGGGTCTCTGTGAACTGAAGTCCAGGTGTTAGCTTAGCGATCTTCCTTTCTGGAGGACGTAGGGGAGAATCTGTGTCCTTGCCTTGCCTGGCCCCCTGCTTCCCTTGGTGTGTGGCCCATTCTCCATCTTCAAAGCCAGCAGTGGCCAAATGTTTCTCATGCTGCAACACTCTGACACTGACTATTCTCCCTTCCTCTCTACATTTAAGGGCCTTGATGATTACATTAGACCCACCTAGACAATCCAGGCTAATCTTATTTTAAGGTCAGATGATTAGCAATTTTAATTCTATCTCCTATGTTAACTTCCCTGTAACATGTAATATAACATTAGTAGGTTGTGAAGAATAGGATATGGACATCTTTTGGAGGCTCTTAATCTGCCCACCATAGGCTCTGCAAATGCCCGAGTTTGAGACTAAGGGAAGGCAATTGAAGCTGGTGATCTGAAGGTCAAGGTCTTTGGTATCAGATTGCCTGAGATTTTTTGCTTTAATAGTTTCTCATCTTTGTGACCTTGGGCAAACTCTTTAGCTTCTCTGCACTTCCATTTCTTGCCTTGTAAAATGGGTGTGATAATAGGACTGGCCTCCTAAAGTCTTTGCAAATTTAAATGAGGTAATACACGCAAACATTTTGCATAGCATTTGGCCCATAGTTAGAGTGAATATACTGGCTGTTAGTAATTAGCAAGTTCCTGTTGTTGATCACTCAAGGCATGGCAGTGTGCTGTGCAGCTCAGTTTCTGCACATGCCTACACTGGCTTTTGCATTCTCTGGATGAGGCAGAGTGGTTTTTCAAGGTTGCTTACAAGAAAGTATAAAAACCCAAGAGCTAATGCATGCTGGGATTAATACCTAGGTGATGGGTTGATAAGTGCAGCAAACCACCATGGCACACGTTTACCTATGTAACAAACCTGCACATCCTACACATGTACCCTGGTACTTAAAAAGATTAAAAAAAAAATCCATTTGGAAATGAAAATTCTCTCTAATTGCATTTGCCACTCTGTCCTGACACTGGATATTGATGCTTTCTCCCCTCATGGGAATCTTGTGTTCACACCGTGGTGAGATCCTTTCTCCATCCTCCCCAAGTTTCCATTGTAGGGAGGAGGGCCCTAGTTAGTCAATTTCACCAACTGCCTGGATGGTGCAAAACACACACTGTCTCTTGGGTAACAGACTACTTGAAGATGTATTCAGTAGGAACACAGTAGTTTTATTTGCTGAGAAGTGTGGATAGTTCAGTGGGTTTTTTAAGAGACAAAGGGCTGACTAGTCGCCAGACCTTATGCTGTGATGTCAGATTTCCCTGAGCATCTGGCTTGTCCAGGTGTAGGTAAGAGCAGGAAAGGGTTTTCTACTTGGAACCTTCTGTTTCTGATCATTGTTTGCAGAGGGGCCCTGACTTTGTTTCAACTTGATACATCTCCATCACCAAAGCAGGCCTGGGATGGATTTTATCTGAGCACAAGGGATTTTAGTGAACCAAACCATCTGGGGAGTCAAGGGACCTTGGATCTGCATCCTTATGGGTGGGCATAGAGGGTGAATTATCTATATTCTATTGAAGTAGTTGACAGAAGACCAGGGAATCTGGTCTACATGTATTAAATTTTTGCCTGTGCAACGGAAGCAAGAAGGCAATGATGCTTTGCATATATATATTTTTTAATGTAAGTTTCACCATTGTTCTAGGTAAGAAGCCCAGTTTTTATCTTCTGGGAGAAAATGAACTAGATCATTAGGGAGTCATAATTTCCTTTGTAGTTTTTCTAATAGTTTCATTGAAATGTTGTTTGATGTGATAAAAAGAACCTATTTTTAATTTTAAATTAGCATAGGGAATTAAAATGTTAATGTATATAATCTTACTATAAATTATTACAATCCTATTACTAAATAAAACTGAGTTTGGAGTATGAAATAAATATAAAGGTGTCTTAGTCACTTTGGACTGCTATGACAAATTCCATAGATGGAGCGGCTTAAACAATAGAAATTTGTGTCTCACAGTTCTGAAAGCTGGAAGTCCAAGATCAAGGTGCTGGCAGGTCCAGTGTCTGGTAAGGGGCCTCTTTTTAGTTGGTAGATGGCTAGCTTCTTGTATCCTCATGTTGGAGGTCAGAGAAGGAGGAGGCAAGCTCTCTGGTGTGTCTTCTTATAAGGGCACTTGTCCCCCATCATGAGGGTTCCACCTTCATAACCTAATTCCCTCCCCTTGACCCCATCTCCTAACAGTGTCATATTGGAGATTAGGCTTTGACGTATGAATTTTGGAGGGACACAAACATTCAGTGTGTAGCAAAAGGTATGATGTTCCAATTATACAATGTAAAAATAAAAACTTCTATAAAGGGGAAAGGGGATGATTATATTCTTTCAAAAGTGAGTGAAATCAATGAGGTTTTCCTCCAATCACTTTCTACTTCTTTCCAGTTGATTCTTTTAGGCAGTGAAATCATTTCTTGACCAAGAGATAGGTCTTCTAGGGAGAAAATCCTAATTTTCAAGCACTGGTCACATGGTGTACCTCTTAGTGCCACTTCCTCTTGGGCTGAATTTCAATTCACTGTTGGAGCATCACATTCAGAATGCCATTCTAACATGGGACTTACATGTGACATGAATGTGTTTACCCCAAGTTCTAATCAAATAAACTCTCCCGCTTCTCTCAATGTTTTATGCATCTTTATGCATGTTCAATTAGAAATTCATGGAAACCTGTGCAGTAAGCTAAGCTGTTGGTGCCCTGCCTTCTGGTACTGAGTTTCCTGCCTCAAAATGGTCTGTGTCAAAGCCAGGGGGTGCAAATTTGCCTATGTAAAGTGGTTGATGAAAATTACATCTGCTGCCTAATATGTGGGAAAGTAGAGCATAAAATCAGAGTGTGTTGTATTATTTTTACTTTCCTCAATCCCTTACTTGCCTTTCAATTAAAATTAAATTTTTCTACTGTTTGAAACACGTATTTTTAAAAAGTTCTTACCTTGTTTCTAACTCCCTGATTGTACAGCACAAGATTTGGGGTTCAGGGGCATGTTGGTCTTTGAAAAATCCTGTCAGTGGTTGAAAGACACAAAAATTGTTGGGAAAGAGTTCTGGTTCTTGTAAGTTCCCAGGCCTAAACCAACTTCCCCAGTGCAGCCTCAGTGCACTTGGCCAGGCGTGATCCTCTGACTGTTTGCTCTGGCAAAAGGAAGAGAAAATCTTCACCGTCTCTTTAGTATTAGAGAAGCGTGGTAGAGAAGAAAGCCAAAAAATGATGATGGAGATTCAGTAGGGGAAAAGGAATAAAGACAACTGGAAAAAAAGCACGAACGTGGCGAGAGCAGATTGCTCTGAGCTGCCAAAGCAAATAATCCATTAACTCCTCACTTGCTCTGAACATGAAATCTGTGGTGCAAATAGCTAGCGGGAGAGTTGCTGTCTCAGAAAGAATGGAGGAGCAGAGCTTTGGAAAGCCTGCTTGAACCTGGTCTCAGAAAGAAGAATAATCATGCAATCGAGGAGTAGACAATGGGTTGAGAAAGGAACAGCACTCTCACATATTAAATATTTCTTGGGATGAAATGTTATCCTAATTTCTTCCCCCCCAGCCCCAGGAAAGAGCAGCTACTATTTTTTAAACATAAAGACTATGTTTCTTCTGAGAGATATAGAAAATTACGGGCACACGATGGGCACTTTACAAGTGGAAACTACTTAAGAATATTTAATGTGCTTTAGATATGTGTCAATTGGACAAAGCAGCTTCATTTCAAGGCTCTGAGAAGTCCTGTCATAAAGAAACTGTTTCCCATTAGAACATTTGCTAAATTCCTGACACCATAATATTCCTTTCCCCTCCTTTTATCTTTTGCTTTGTACATCGTGCTGATGGGTGAAACAAACTTAAAAGGAATGCTTGTCTATCTCCCTCATTTTACAAATAAGGACATGAGCCAAAAGAAAAGATAATTGTCCAAGCTTCTTTTCTCTGGAAGGACTGAACTGAAATTGGAACGTCAGTGTTTTGCACAGAGCGCACCTGTTAGCTGTTGTCCTCTAAGACTGATAAAAGTCCTACTGCAGCAGGAGCACTCTTTGAATGCTCTATGGCATAGGCTCATGATTCAATGGGCCTCTGAATGTTGGTTTTGCACTGAACAAAACTTTTGTTGGACCTAAAGCTCATGCCTGTGTTAAGAGACCTAAGAAATTCTAGAAGTGTAACAAGAGTTTGACCTCCCAGAATTCCTAGCTCTGGTTTCAGAACAATTCAGATAAACCTTATGCTCTATCGAACTGGCAGTGAGTTTGCTTATTGAAAGAAAATCTTCTGAGAATTTCTCCTTGCTTGTCTTCTCTGTAGAATCAGAGTATTGTGGCTTCAGTGCAAGTCCTATTCATTATCATTTTGGGAAAAATAGGAGGAAAACTTTCAGCTTTTTCGGTTAGAAAAGAAAGAGGGATTTATAAGTGTCACTTACAAGAGAAATAGTGATTAAAAGGTGTTTCTACAGAATCTCCCAAAGAACATATAAACCATCAGTTGGGAACTATTCCTAATTATGCTTCAGTCTTTAATATACTGTTTTATTTTTCAGTATTGACATTTGTATTTGACATTGTCAACTGAATGAATTTATACAAGCAGAAAAGCTATAGGGCTTATATAATATCTGATTCTTATGCTTTCAGTGGAGGTAACAGAAACAGAAGGAAACTTAACAACATCTAATCAAAGGAATATAGTTTCCCTCCTTACTGCAAATACAATCCGATTCAGCTATATTAGCAATGATATCCCAAGTTGTTGTGCTTAGGTTTTTAGTCAAAATATTCTGGACCCTGATTTATATCTAGTCTGATTTTCTTTAATGCATTCAAAGCTCAGCATTCTCTATATGCGACAAAGAACATAGCACATATGTAAGACGGGGCGAGGGGGTTGTTACTTTTACGATGCTCTCCCAACAAGTGTGACTTCTTCAATTTGAAGTTTACAGTAAGACACTTGTATACCAGCTTAAAGTGATTTCACACATGAGGTCAGTAGAACTTCATTTTCATAATCATGTCATGTATTTCTGTCCTGAAAATTCCTTGAAGGCTTTATTTTATCTTGTAGCAGTGGTGGACTTCAAACATCGCTGTTTTTGTAGAAATGTCTTATTCTTTAATCAAACTCAGGGTGACATTAACAAGCTATTTTCACAGCTGACTTCCCAGTGCTGGAGCTTTCTAGTGTGTTTTGTATGTTCCCGCTTTGCTCTTCACTTTCGATTTGTTTATTTTTCATGACACATCTGAATGCCTTCTTGTAAGCAGAGCCCTTGTCTTGAGATCCAACTGTGGGGTTATTATTACAAGGGCACATTGCAGGGATCCTTAGTGAGGGGTTAAGAGACATGGTTCAGAAATTATTTTCTTTTCTGACCAAACATATGCATGATGTTTTTCCTCCCAAGGAGATAGAAGCCAGTCTTGAATTTCTGAAAGCTCTGAGTATGTAGGACCCTGGTGCTTTTGATGTTATCTGTCTGATCCTCTTTAGAGAGATTTATATTATTATCATCTAGCTCAACCACTAGAAGGGAAAGACCAATAATTCAAAAGCTTAAGCCAAGACCTATAATGTGTCCATGAGTCAGAGCTTTAATCCTAAAGCTGTCTTCTTTATGTCACATGGTCAAGCTTAGTGACATGGACCTCAGGTGTATGAAACGGAGACATCTTTACTAATATGTTACAAGAAAATTGCTGAGCTCTTTCTTTTGAGTGAAGACTACAAATTATCTTCACTCTATTTAGCAGGGATATTGCCTCCAAAACAAATTACTTAGACTAATGCTGGCACTGTCCAAAAAGTGGCATACATCTACTTAGTAAAATGAGAATATAAAGGCATAAATTAGCAAATGGTAGCATTGTGATTCCCTTCTCTATTTCAGATTAATCACATTTTTTTCCAAAGTGAAAGAGATAAGTACATGATATTTACTTAGATCCAACCTCCAAATGAATGTCCATTTTAATTTGTAAGTGTAATTCTAATAGGAATATAGCTACTTTGCTTATAGGCAATTAGAGAATTTTGCTTGTAGACAAAATTACAGACTTTGCCTGTGGACATTTCTCTATCTGTTACTTATATGACTATTCTCCAACATCATTTGACATGCTTATATATTTTCCCACAGATTAAAAGTCATGCACAAGATGAAACTCATCATTTATTTTCTCCTGCATTGGTGCAAAGATATCTGATTCTTCTCATTCTCGAAACTTGAAAATCAAATTGAGTAGAACCAAATCCAGTAATTATCAGAAAATCTACTAATTATCACACATTTAAGAGTGGACACTAACTTTGTAGCTGTAAGTCAAAGACTTTTTTTTATGACTGCTCATATCCAGAAGAAACATTTTTCAGTCTGTACCCTTCAGTGAATGACTGATCGGTCTAATTTGAAATTGGACAAATGTTGGGTACAGCATGATCATGTTATGCTGTGTGCAATATGCTGACAGATTCCAGTGTCTATAATGAGTATCTTTGTATGAATGGTTTCTGATATGAAAAGAAATTTGCTTATCAATGCAAGGAGAACCATTGGTATGTTAATTTTATGCAAGTATCTCTTCACTTTCTAATTCACTCCTCCCAATAATGGAATGGTAATTGGATTTCTGAAGGAATATGCATAGAAAGCAATTTAAAAGTAATTTGTTAATCAGAAATTACTCCAAATTTGTGCAATAAAAATGAGGCCCTGTAGCCTTTGTCCGAAAATGCAAAATGGGCAATTTTCCCTAAATATTATAATTTGAGAGAGGTTTACCTACCACAACCTATAAACCTCAGTGGTCATTTAATTTCTACCATTAGAGAATTGAAAGTCTCATTTTATTTGTGTTAAGCATTTTTCCCTCATTTTGGCCTTGAAATGCAAAAACCTAAATTAGAGGTGTTATATCAAACCTTTATTACCTTAATCTTTCTAAATGTTTTCCAGTTGTGTGTTTCTAAGAGGAGAAACCGGGGTCTCTCTGTGTTTGTGTGGTTTAGGTTAGGGAAGGGTATGGGAAGTGTAGTTTTGCTATCCTTAGAAGTGGGACTGTGACTCAGGAGCTACGTGTCTTTGGCATGTTAGTTAATTACTCAAATCATTATTGTCTTCGTATGTAGAATGGGGCTCACGCTATCTGTTATTAGAGTGTGGTGGGGATAATACATGTAACGTATCGTGTGTAGCATGGCACTTGGCCCATACTAAATTGTGTCCTCACTAAAATCTTTAAGATAGTACTTGTTTTTTTCTTTTGTTTGTTTTTTTTTCTTGCTGATTTGTTTGAGTTTCTTATAGATCTTGTAGATATTAGGCCTTTGTCAGACATATAGTTTGTACATATTTTAGGAATTTTTGTATATGGTGAGAGATAGGGATCTAGTGTCATTCATCTACAAGTGGTATTCAGTTTTTCCATCACCATTTATTGAATAGGGTGTTCTTTCCCCAGTTTGTGTTTTTGTATGCTTTGTCAAAGATCAATTGGTTGTATCTGTCTTTATTTCTGAGTTCTCTATTGTCTTCCACTTGTTTGTGTGTCACTTTTATACCTGTACTGTGCTGTTTTGGTTACTATATCCTTTTAGTATAATTCGAAGTCAGGCAATGTGATGCCCCTAGATTTGTTCTTTTTGCTTATGATTGCTTTGGCTATTTGGGCTTTTCTTTGGTTCCATATGAATTTTAGGATTTTTTTCCTAATTCTGTTAAAAATGACATTATTTTGATAGGAATTGCATTGAATATGTAGATTGCCTTGGATATTATAGTCATTTTCATGATATTGATTCTTCTAATCCATGGCCATGGGATGGATGGCTTTCTATTTGTTTGTGTCACCTCTGATTTCTTTCAATAGTGTTTTGTAATTCTCTTAGAGATCTCTTATCTCTTTGGTTAAGTGTATTCCTAGGTATTTTATTTTTTTGCGTCCTATTTTAAAGCGGATTGAGTTCTTGATTTGATTTCCAGCTTGGTTGTTGTTGGTTTGTAGCAGTGCTACTGATTTGTGTGCAGTGATTTTGTAACCTGAGACTTTACTGAATGTATTAAATCTAGGAATCTTTTGGAGAGGAGTCATTAGGGCTTTCTAGATATGAGATTATATCATTGGCAAGCAGAGATAGTTTTCCAGTTTTGATGCCTTTTATTTCTTTCTCTGGCCTGATAGCTCTGGCTAGGACTTCCAGTACTATGTTGAACAGAAGTCATGAAAGTGGGCATCTTTGTGTTGTTTCAGTTCTTAGGAGGAATGCTTCAACTTTTTCCTATTCAATGTGATGCTGGCTGTGGGTTTGTCATATATGACATTTATTATTTCGAGGTATGCTCTTTCTATGCCTAGATTGTTGAGGGGTTCTTTTTTTTATCATAAAGCCATGCTAGATTTTATTCAATGCCTTTTATGCATCTATTGAGATGATGGTATGATTTTTTTCTTTTAAAGTTCTGTTTATGTGGTGAATCACATTTATCGACTTGTATATGTTGAATCATCTTTGAATCCATGGGATGAAACCCAGAGCCCTCAGCCGATGCACACATACATGGATAAGCTCAACCAAGATCTGCAGACTCCCAGCTGAACTCTGTAGATGTGTAATGAGTAAATGTTATTGCAGACCACTGGTGCTTCAGACATTTTTGTTACACAGCAAAAGTCAGCTGATACAAGGAGGATTGGAGAGGAAAGACCAGAAAAGGGGGCGAGGCTTGATGGCTCGCTCCTGTAATCCCAGCACTTGGGGAGGCCGAGGTAGGTGGATCACTTGAGGCCAGGAATTCTAGACCAGCCTGGACAACGTGGTGAAACCCCATCTCTACTAAAAATACAAAAATTAGCTGGGCATGGTGGCATGCACCTGTGGTCTCAGCTACACAGGAGGCTGAGGCACAAGAACCACTTGAACCCGGAGGTGGAGTGGCTGAGATCGTGCCACTGCTTTCCAGCTTGGGTGACAGAGCGAGACTCCATCTCAAAAAAAAAAAAGAAAAAGAAAAAGAAAGAAAGACCAGACCAGAAAAGGGGAGGGAGAAACAGGATTTAGAAAGGAAAACAGTGGGAGACCGAACATCACAAACTGTGAAGGAGACTGACAGTGAGAAGAGGACCACAGTCTGACTTGGGCATTGTTCTTAACCTTGATAGAGAATGGCATTCAGTGGAGTCAATTGCTGGGATTGGAGCATGAATCAGGTTATAAGAGAGTGAACAAAAGATGAAGAACTTTAAACATGATTTGTAGACTTCTCTTACCCAGAATTTGGCAAGAAACAAAAGGATTGAGAGAGGTATACGGACAAAGATCTGTTATAAAAATGAAATGGTGTCATGGGCAGTGTATTAAGTTTTTATTTTTCGAGAGGATGCATTTAAGCATGAGTCTAAGTTCTTTGGTTTTCTGGGACCTCCAAGAGCACTTTTGGGACCAGCTCAGATATGTGAGCCAAAGGTGCCTGTGACTTCAAAAGCTCTCGGTCAGCACTTGGAAAAAGGAAAGGTGAAACTGTTAGTTAATTGACAGAGCTGTTGGGTCTTAGTCATCATGCACAGTCCCTAGTAGTTTAGTTGAGTGAGAAACTGGACATACTGCCTTTCAGCTTGGACTATCATGATGGTGCCACTAGAGAGATTCCTCAAGGAAGGCCAGCTGCACCATAGCGGCTCTCTTTTCTCTTTGGCTAGTTTCTCCATCACTGTTTTCCTTTTTGCAGTATGAAAACACAAGGATTGGGTAGTTAGTTGAGTTGCCTATGCCCCTCTCATCTTTGCTTTTCACTTGTTTCAGATAAGTGCTCTCTATGCTCAAGTGATTCCCAGAATAGACTGTCTACTTCTTACAGTCATGCTGCGATGTCTTTCCACCTTTGTACCACCACCGTACAGTGGAGACCCTTGGATGACCAGGCACTAAAGAAATGCTTAAAGATTGAACTGAGCTAAAATATGAGTTTGAGGGTTATAAGCCCATACCCAAGACAAGTAGGAAACACCTTGCTAGTAAACTTGTTGGTTCTGTGTGTAAATGCAGTAGGCATTCATATCAACAAGAAATCAGTGCAAGCCAGGACGATTGGCATTAACTTCAAGAAGAGGTTGAACGTGCACTGTACTTTCAAGGTTAGACATCATTTAGCTGAATGTGTGATGGCACATTATGCATCCCAAGTATTTGTACCAGGAGTAGCTTGTTTATGAAGGACAGAGCAAGTCTGCAGGATAAGGATAAGGCCTGGCAGCAGACACTTGTTACTCACAGATGGCAGTGAAAAATCCAAAGATATTCTGGCCAAAGGGTTACCATTGCCATTGACTGTGACTATCAGGGCTGATGCTGAAATTGTCTAGTTAATGTGACTGATAAATTTTTGTGAGTGCCTCAGTTCATTCAGGTTACTATTACAAAATACCTTAGCCTGGGTAGCTTATGAACAACAGAAATGTATTTCTCACCTTTCTGGAGGCTGGGAAGTCCAACATCAAGGTGCTGGTGAGAGCCTGCTTCCTGGATTGTTGTCTTTTTGCGGTGACAGAAGGAGTGGGGGATCTCTTTAGGGCCTCTTTTAGAAGGGCACTAATTCTGTTCCTCAGAGTTCCACTCCCATGACCTAACCATTTTCCAAGAGGCCCCACATCTTCATACCGTCACTTCGGGGGTTAGGATTTCAATATATGAATTTTGCAGGGACACATTCAGGTTATAGCAAGGAGTTTGATGATGTTTCCTGGAAATGTAATTGCATATCAGCTTTTTTTTTTTTCTTTACCAGAGGGAGTTTTTGTGAATCTCTTACTTATTTGAATAGACTCTCTTACTTATTTGTGTCTGTCTAAACCCATTGCTTTGAAAGGGAATTGCATGCCCATTTTGCTAGTAATCATTTATATGAATTTTAATATACATTTTTAGAAAATAATTTAATTCTTATTTTCTACAGTAACAGAATATATTCTAACCCTATTTGCATAATAGTATTATGCAAATTTTATATAGATGGAAGTATGTTTATTTTTATTTTGTAGGATGCATATCATAAGTAATTACTTATAGATAAAGTTTAAAAGGGAAATATCTCTTCAAACTTAATGTCACACAGGAGAAACAGAGAGAATGGGCAAAAGATACAGAGATGAAGGCCCTTCAGGCAGTTATCAGAGATTTCAAACGTGGTAAACAATAGAGGAACCTCAGCCAGAGGGATTAGCATTAGTGAATGTTCCCGGTTCTCTGTTTTACTCCCATCACTACCCTGGTTTCATAAAAGGTTAGAGCTTTTTGGCAGTAACACAGTGCCTGGCACATAGTACATGTTCAATAAATAATTATATGTGTGAATCATGTAATGAATGCATGCGTGAATGAATGAATGATGATGACTCATCCATGTATTTTTCTCTCATTTCTTGCCTGGCTTCCATTGCATCCCTAGTTTGCTGAAATAGAGCATTCATGAATCAACTAGGATTTGTTACAGAAAACAAAAACTATGGGATATAAGACAGGGAATTGGGTACTTAAAAATTACTCAGAGAGCTGGAGGAGTAGGACTAAGGCCTGCTTGTACTATTAAGTTCAAGAAAACTCTGATCTGGGCATCGGGAAGTTGGAAGCTACAAGCCACAACACTGGACACTGCAGTTGCCCTTTGACAACCACCTGACTCTCATGACCTTCCAGGGAGGCACAGCCAAAGCAGCAGGAAGTGAGCTCACCTCCCTTCCCCCTGCCATGACTTTCATCAGTGCCTGACTCAATGCCTTGTGTGTATTCAGGTTTTCAATAAAAGACAGTTATTTAATCAAATGGCATTAATTAAATTAGTCTGTTATTCTGTAGATTCCTGCTTTGCTTTACTTGAACTGTTTTTTCCAGATTACGTTCTTTAATTTCTATGTTGATTAGCTTATTTGATGAGACATAAAATAACAAAAAAGAATACCTTAGGAATAGGCAGGTGTTCTGATTGGTGGGTGGATGAGCAAATTGTTTGGGATCATTGTCTTTATTTTAGGGAGATATGAATGAAGGATCTAGATTGAGTTTGAGCTTTGCACGGTAATTACAGTTGAGATCAGATGACCAGGAAATAACAGCAGGAACTGTTCACGTATGTTTCTTATTTGGGGTACGTAACTTGTTCTAACCAAATGGGTTTTTTACTTACTTAGAAAACCACAGGCCACAATCATTCTCAAATTTCAGTTCTTCTGTCTCTCATTTATTTCTCTTCTTTCTACTCTCTGGCCTCATTTATCTACTATGGAGTACTTAACTGCCATCCATATAGAAATACACCTTTTAGTTGCTGATAACTGACATTTTCCAGCTGGTGAAACAGAAATCAACACCACAGTCTGAAGTCTATGTTGTCTTTCTTGAGAAACAAAGACTCCCTTTCTAGACAAATTTCTGAGAGCTGGCTCTTTAGTATTCCAGTATTAAGTGTATCATGTGGTAATTAATTATGTATTCCATATATGTTTAGCATCTCTGCAGTTAATTAATACGCCTCCTAGCATTTTACAGATTTCATAAAATGAAATCTGCGAGGAAAGATCTCTTGTGAAAAGCATTGGGAAAGCCTTTATGTCTTTACTTAATTAGTGTGACAATAAGAATCACTCACTTGAGGGAAATGGCGGCGTCTAGGGATCAAGGTTATTCCAATGACTTGATTATTTCTTTTCCTTTTAAAGGAGTCTAGTCTATTCAAGGTTGATACAACTAAAATCTCAGTAGAGATTAAACTCATAGGGCTTAAGCGTTTGAGGGGTAAATGCAGCTCTGAGGAACAGAATATACCAAAGTCCATTTTAACTACTGCCTTTCAAAGTTTATAAATAAGCCAGTGTTTTCAGACACCTTTAAATATAGAGAACTTTACCAATATCAGACAAGTAATAGCTGCAGGCAAGCAGCAAGTGCGAGTTATTGATGACCAGCTGCTTTTGCTTCTGCTAGTGTGTTAAAAAAGAATGAACAACTATGACGTTTCTCCACTCTCTCTCTCTCCTTCACTCCTTTGTTTTACTTCTGAATGTCTCAGAGTATAAAAGTAAGGCTCTGTTTCCTATCTTCTGGTTGCCAATGTGAAGTTAGAATTAAAATATTAAACAGGCTTTCAGTAGGAGAGATTTAAGAATTTCCTGAGAAAATTATGGAAATCACTGTCACCAGCAATACTTTGCAAGCACAAAAATAATTTATTCCAGTGACTCTAACAGTATAAGCTACTGTGTAGCTTTTAAATATAAACAGAGGAGAACCTGGACAAAGATGAATCCCTACAAATCTCAGGCAGTATTCATGGAAAGTAGTGAACCGGCTTTTGATAATTACTCAGCAGAGCAGAAGCAGGCTTCCAGTGTATTTTTGCCTCTGATTTTTTTTTTCTTTTGTAGTTTATGACAATGAGACACAACTGGAAGTAAGTGCGTGGTGTGAATGTGGAAACTATGATCAAATTGCTGTGTATCTTGCCACTGACACCATCTGTATTTAGTCTCTATTTCAGGTCCATAGTACCAGATTTTTTCTCTAATGACTGAAGGTTGAGAACAAAAGAGTATTTCTTATTGTGAAGAGGTCTGGTTTCTGTTAGGAAGATGTATTCTGTCCACTCCTTCATTTCATCATGAATACTCCATTGCCTGTTCACTTTCTTTCTTTTCCTCGCTTCCTTTCCTTTTTTCCTCCTTCCTTCTTTTCTTCCTTTTTTAAGCCACATTTTTGAGGTATGAAAACGCTGTCCTCATCTTACTGGGAGGGATTTCTTATCTAAGGCATTTGCCTTCTTTATCATCATAGCCTTAGGGCCTGGCTTACAGTAGTTGCTCGGTAAATGTTTTAAAAATGAAGACACATGTAAGGGCAAAACCGAAACCCAAAAAATTGTTGCCTACCTTCCTCAGGTGCCTGTCCGTTCATAAGGACTCACCTATTTCATCAAGAATCTTTATACTCTTCAGAATACACCATGTTTAGAAACTCTCAAACCTATTTGTGAGGAGCTGTTAGTGAAAGGAGCTCAGTTCTGTCTCTTGGGAGTTAGTTCCTGCTCCTGGCAGCTCTTAGAGACCACATGGAACAAGAAGTCCTCTCAGAAGCTTCTATTCTGGGATTTCTGCAGAGTGCAGGTGTTTGTGTGTGGGGGGTGCATGTGTGATTAGTATGACTTGGTATAATGCAGATCAACTGAAATTGAGTTGAATTTTGTGGTCTGATGAACCATATACGTAATTGACTAATTGAAGGACAAAGGGCATACTTGATTGGTGGAATTGACTTTTCTATTTATGTAACAGGTTACTTGTGTTGTCAGGTATCACAAGTATATATCATATATATTTAAGCAATGCTACTTCATGGGTATTTTCTAACTACTATTTTGACTGATGTTTCTACAGTAGTCATCAAATGATCTTAAAGCTTGTGTGTGTTGTATCATGTGTGTGTTTAAGGAGAAAGGGAGAAAAGCAGGAAGGTTGTAGACTTCGTTACTCAATGGCAACTGTCTTCGAGGAACATTTATTGATGTCTAATGTGCACACTGACATGCATGGAAATTGTAAATGTACATAAAGGCTGCTGAGTTTTCATGAACACACCCATGCAGCCTGTACTGGGATCAGGAAACAACCTTAAACCTTTGCAGGAGACATTTGATCCCCTCTTATGCGGCTGCCAGTCACTATCTCCCAAGGGTAGGCACTGTCCTGGTTTCTAACAGCATAGATTGGTGTTGCCTGTTTTTGAACTACATGTCACTGGAATCCCACAAGTACTCTTTGTTGTCTGGTTTGTTTTATTGAACATCATGTCCTTAGCAGTGACTCTTAAAAATATGCTGAGTTCCACAGCACCTGATTTGAAAAATGTATGCGTGCTCTAGACCACAATAGATCTTTTTTTAATAGTCAGTATCTGCTGTGATAACCATTATTATGATTTTTAACTCTTCCCACAGGGTAAAAAAAAATTAATGTAATTTGATAAGCAGTTACCCAGTGAATTTGATCAACATTGAGCACAATGTGTATGCCTCAGACTTTGAATCCTTGAATGCAGCAGCTGTCTTCTTTACTTAATCTGATGTTATTTCCAGTTATTTGAAAAGCTAAAACGTAGTATTCATTCTGACAGCAGTTTGTGGTTGGAAAATGGAAGGTAGTCACTGACTGCCTTCTCAGTGTGTGTGTGTGTGTGTGTGTGTGTGTACACACGTGTGCAAGCATACTTAACTGTGTTGTGATGGTGAGAATATTATGTGCATGCGGATGCTCTGCAAATATGAAGCATGCTATACTGAAAGACGGCATTGCTGCTCACAGTTGTAAGCTTTACAAAAATTATGTATAAATCGCTGTCTCTGTCTTACCACTCATGCCAGGAGACTTTAATTGACATATTTAGCTTATGTGATCTTTTTCTAGTTGTTACTCCACCCTCTGTCTCACTGCCATCAAGCCTTCAGTTAAGTTTTTCACGTAAGTAAAATGAAAGAGCCGCCTAATGTTTGGATGCATCAGCAATTATATGATTTAAGTTTACTCTCTCCTTCTTTTACTTTTATAAAACCTTTAGAAATGCAGAAGGTCCTGACTTAAGATGGTTTGACTTATGATTTTTTGACTTTATGGTGATGCAAAAGCAATATGGCTTCAGTAGAAACTGTCCCTTGGGTACCCATACAAGCATTTTGTTTTTCACTTTCTGTATAGTATTCAATAAATTACATGAGATATGCAGCAGTTTATTATAAAGCAGGCCTTGTGTCAAATGATTTTGCTCAATTGTAGGCTAATGTAAGTGTTCTGAGCGTGTTTACATTAGACTAGGCTAAGTTACGCTGTCCAGTAGGTTAGATGTATTTAATACATTTTTGATGTAATGATATTTTCACCTTTCAATGGGTTTATTGGAATGTAACCGCATCATAAGTTGAGGAGCTTCTGTAATAGAAATTTAAGCTAATGGAAAATGCAAATAAGAAATCACCCAAAACTAATTATATTTTAAAAATAAAGATATATTGCTCTTTCCATGTTCATTACAAGTTTGGAATAGGTCCTGAATTTAAATATAATTAGGCAGCGCAAAATAGGGTATGTATTACAGGGTCAATAAAATATTGACTTTTAAGGAAATCCAGTCGCCTTATTTTAAATGTTGTTAATCTGAATATAATCTTAATTTTTTATAATAATAGACAGATTTCCCCTCAACTGATTTTTCAGAAGCTTTAATCAGCTGTCTCTTGAATGCTTCCTCATGCTCCCAGCAGTTTCAAGTTTGTCTCATTTATAGTATCATGTGGATTAATATTATTTGGTATGATGCAGATCAGCTGAAATTGAGTTGAATTTTGTGGTCTGATGAACCATATACTTAATTGACTAGTTGAAGGACAAAGGGCATACTTGATTGATGGAATCTACTTTTCTATTTATGTAACAGGTTACTTGTGTTGTCAGGTATCACAAGTATATGTCATATATATTTAAGCAATGTTTCTTCATGGGTATCTTCTAACTACCATTTTGACTGATGTTTCTACAATAGTCATCAAATGATCCTAAAGCTTCTAAAATGATTCAGAACCTGAATTTCACAATTAATTAGCCAGCCAGCTCTCTCAAAATTCAATTCAATCCAACACAGCTTTATTGAACACCTTTTGAATACAAGGCATGGGATTGATGGTAAAATGCAAAGGTAAATGAAATGACTTTCCTGACTTGAAAGAGTCATGTTCTTACGGAGGTCAGAAGACTCTAGAATCAATTGATGAGATCTTTCATGGACTTCTTGAAAGACCAAGGGAGTCACATCAAATTGTGTGATTAAGTTTCCCTCATTTGCATGAAGACAATACCTGTACTTGCTCTTTTTTTTTTTTTTTTTACAAGTATATGTAGTATGAGGATGAGAGAGATGTGTATGCAATGGGTTTATCATTGTTAAGCTATCTCTATAATTAAAATAATTGTAATAAAATAGTTGCAATTGTCATAGTTTATTTAAAGAAAAAATATGGTGCATTATCTTGTATCATTTTCCTAGTTAGAAAGCCTTGTCTTCAGCTCTTTAAAGAGGGAGGTGTTCAGAATCCAGAAACGATAAGGAGAAAGGAAGGAAGAAGAAAACATAGTTTTAAAAAGAGGTGACTCGATTTTCTACTGAAATGAACTATCTCCTTTGAACTACTAAGGAAAATAAAGCAGTATTTTTCTTAGGCCGTATCCTAACTGCTTGCTCGCTGTGAATTATGAAGCTTTAAAGCAGTAAAGAGAAATGTGTGCTTTTCTCAAGTGACTAGAGAGTGAATGCTGTGCATTGTTTCTCACATGTGATGTTAAGTTAGAGCTTGCTTCACAGACTCCACTCGCCCTTTGTTCTTGAAAAGTCTTGCCATCTTGGCTGTGAGTCTGGTGAACCCTTTTTTAATGGTCATACAACAAATACTGTAGTGGTTGAAAGTTGGCTGCTTTCGCATTGCTTCAGAGTCTGTGTCATCACATTTGTTATTAATCAGGAACATAATTATATTTGAAGCATAGAAAAGAAACCATTTATCTTGGCAGGATGGGATGAGACAGTCGCAATTCATATGCCTGTAAACCCACCAGCTAAGTCAAATCACTATTGCCAGCTCAATCGTTTTAGGTTAACCTGGAGGCGAAACAGAGCTGTCAACACCATTACCAGTTAGAAAGAAAAGACTTTTCCTGCCACTTATTGGCATAAGGAACAATTAAAGTATCCCCATGCATATGCCAAGAGAAAATTTCCACTTTGTATGAAGTGGTGGCCATGTAGGCAATGAATAAAAATAATGATAATAAATAATACAGGAGGTGGCCAATAGCAAGAAGACTTGTATCCTTTGGCTTTGTGTCTGACCTTGTCACCTCTCTATCCCTGAAATAGCCAGTGGCATGACCAGGAAAGCCAGAGTACCTCCTCGTGTATAGTTCTAGTTTAGAGCTTGCTTGAAGCAACCACAGTAATAAACACTGTGTCAGCCAGCAGAATGTAACTATTTAAAGGGTCCGATTGGCAGTGAGCTGTCTCAAGTGTCTTCTGTTTATAATCATTCACTGAAGTAAATGTTTCCTATTATATAGACAGCATGTGGTAGGTTACTGAACTTCACTGCCTGGTTAAAGTAACGCAAAGAATGTAAAAATCTGGGAGCCATTGAACTCCTTAGCTACCTCTTCAATATTTCAGTCAACCTTTACATCTTTCTGTCATGAGGTTGCCCCTGTGGCAGCTCTCTTGTGGCGTTGGCTGTTTTGAGCTATTGCACGTGACCAAGGGTGTTATAATCTGAATTGCCTTTGACAGCTTGCCAAGGTTGTACTTGGAATAAACATGTTAGCTCTGAACAGGTAACCCTTGAGTCCCAAGAGCTTCCCTGGGTCAATTTCACTCTCATCAAACCAAGAGATCTTTTCATAATGGAATTATTTCTGACACTCACTACAGAATGAGAATACACCCATATATTTTCACTGCTTAACTGAAGAGGTGGTTCTGAATCAAGTGTTTGTTTGCTGGTGTCATCCTTTTCAGTTATTTCTCAAATAACAGATGTTTTTCTCTTGCCTCAAGTTCTTTAGTGTCATACTAGTGTTTATGGCTAATATTGATTCAAAATTTGGGCAGAGGCTCCTTTTCCCTGTCTAATTTAGCATCCTATTTGCTAGTAACATTAGATCTTAAAAAAAATTCTTTTAATGTTTTGCCTGACATGGGCAGTGATGAATTGTAGCACGGCCAAGTAGTTTTTTATGCCCTTGCACTCTTGGCCTAGGTGTGCTGGGCAGTCCATTACTTGGTATACATTAGCCACTCCAGCACATACTGGATTGAATGAATGAATGATCAACTGAATAGATGGAGTTATAATATTTATGTTACTGGAAAATAAGGTGTTCAGTTGGGCCATGGAAAGAAATGGGTTCTCTGAACAGCAGGGAAAAGATTGTTCCTACAATCTCTTGGGTGCCTTTCGCAAATTCATCATTCTTCAATGTGCTTTTTTTTTCTTTATAGTTTTCCTTAATGTACAATTCCCCTGCTTTATGAAATCACATTAGGATGGAAGCATTTATTTAGTTTTGAGACCTTTATGTCCGTCAATTTATGGGCATCAATTTAATAAGTTTTTGGAGGTGCATCCCTTTCCTATTGCCACTATAACAAATTAATGCAAACTTTTTCAGCTTAAAATGACACTCATTGGTTATCTCACAGTCCTATAGGTCAGAAGTTCTGGTGGGCTTTACTGGGTCTTCTGCTTAGGGCCTTAAAAATCTGAAATCTAGATGTTGGCTGAGCTGTATTCTCTTATGGAAGATGTGAAGAAGAATGTACTTCAAAATCATTCAGATCTTTGGCAGAGTTGTTTCTTGTGGTTGTAGGACTGAGATCCTTGTTTCATCACTGGCTGTTAGCCAGGAGCCACTCTCTGCTCTAAAGGCCAGCTGCATCCCTTTTCACATGACTCCATCCATCCTCAAACCAGCAATAGTGTTGGAGTCCTTTTCACACTTCCAGTCTCTCTGGCTTCCCCCTTTGTTACAGCAAGAGAAAATTTTCGGTTTTTAAAAACAAAATTCATATGATTAAACCCACTTGCGTCATCTCCTTTTCTTAAGGTCAACTGATTAGTAACCTTAATGACACTGGCAACTCTCTTTCACTGTGTGATATAACATAATCACTGGAGTAACACCATGGGGTAAAGGTCAGTGAGTCCACCTTAGAATTAGAATTCTGCCTATCACAGAAGGTGGGAGAGAAGAAATACCAAATTATGGTACAGCCATGTTTGTTTGTTTTTAACTGACTGGTGGTGGTGTGCATTTCTCCATGCAACATTATACCTTCTTTTTGGCATCATAGTCCATGTTGGAGCCTCGTCCTCTTCCAGAGTCTGAAGGAGGCTCTGAATCATTGATAAACTTGAGCAGTTACTCTGAGTATCATGGTGACATCTCAAGAACACCTGATCTTGACTCTGTGGCAGCTCTGGGCTTGAAAATACAATTTTGAGACATATTAAAGAATACTGAGGTTTTATGCACATTTTCTGTTAGGTTAAGGTTATAATTTGTGTTTCACTCTCTTGACTTAAGTGTTGCTGAGACTAAACAGTTTCTCTGAAAAGCCAGCTGGAAGTACTAGACTGAGAATTCTTCATGATGCAGTTTGCTCTTCTTGAACTCCCCTGACTTTGAGAATTCTGTGGTACTTTCCTGAGCTATTTGGCAAATTCTTCTGCTTTTAGCTGCACTTCCCAGTAAATGCCAACATGCATCATATTCTGCAAACACTATTAACTTTTGTTTGTCCAGCATTTAACTCTTTGTGGCATGCACTCCTTGGCTTCCCTTGATGATATAGTCACCTTTAATGGAAGGAACTAAAGCAGCTTTATAAAGCAGGAAGTCATGTTTTGTAACTCAGAACAAGGAAGCTTAGAGCGTCTCATATTGCACCTTCTCTTTGCTCCAGTGGTTTCATCATGCTGCTGCCAAATGGTTCTTCTAAAATGCCATCTGCATCAGCATGCCATTCCTCTCCCAAGCCCTTCAGTGGCTCTCTGCTGGCTGCTAAATCAGCTTGAAGCATCCTGGCCAAATTTATTTCTCCTTTCATTAAAGTTTCTGCTATAGACAGGTTACATCTCAATATTTTTCTCTTGAGTCACATTTTTGAACCTACTATATACCTAAGCACTGTACATTTTATGTTGCATTATCATTATGTCTTTAGATATTTGGTCTTCCCTGCAAGAGTCCAAGCTTCTTAAGCATAGTAATCATGTTTTAACTACCTTGGTAGCTTCAGGATCCTGTAGAGGTCTGCTGAGTGGTAAGTTTTCAGAAAACAATGGTTAAATGTATTTGAATGTATGTATCAACAATGTAAACCTAAATAATAAACAGGGAGAGGCTCTCTAAAAGAAAATGATATTTATTCAGGAGTAGGCATTGCAATGGGAATATGTGTAACATAGTAAGCTATGTATGTATTCGGGGAGGTGAAGGAAAGCAGAGGTTTTTAGAGAAAAAATGAGGAAGATTACATTATTGTTTGAGATAATTATCCTTTGCCACTAGCATCCAGCAATAACAAGGGTGGTTCCAGTTTGAGGCTGGACAGGAAGGTACTGGGAAGATGTCCTCACTGAAGTATTTTGTTTAAGGTTGAGATGGCTTTTATGTGAGGTTGTGTTTTCTACAGTCTTTTATGATAGTTCTTGTTATCAGGCATTCGTGCATGAGAACCTTCTCATGGCCTTCCCTAGCTCTATTTGTTAGAGGTTTTCTTGTTTGTTTTAAACATATGTGACTGCATTTTGATTTGGGCAACATTCACAACAGTTTATTTAATAAATATTTATTGAGTCACTACTGCATCCTGCACCGTGCTAATGGCTGAAAGATGCAAGATGAATAGGATGTGACTTCTGCCCTTGAGAACATCCTAGGTTCCTAGAGAAAGACATGCATTAAATTGTTCTGTGATCTGAACTCTAATTGGTGCATATATGAGGGTTGAACACAGAATTTAGAGCACCTAATTTCACCTGGAGGGTTAGGAAAAGGCTAGGAGGTGAGGAGGTGACTTGTGGTCTGTGTCTTAGTGTGAGGGGTCATTCACAAAGTAAGTCAGGAAGCTAGGATGGGTGTTGGAGAGCCATGCCCGGGAGAGAATGCAGGATGTGCACAACCACAGAGGTATGTAAGGATGTGTTGACTCAGGGAAAGGTACCTGATTTGTTAGGGCCTCAGTATTGGGGTGAAAATGAGGCTACAAAGGTAGGTAGAAGCCAGATTACAGAAAGCCTCAAGTGCCTTGAACTTTGTCCAGAAGACAGTGAGCAGCCATGAGTTTTAAGGAAGGAACCTGATGAGATTTGTATTTTATTTTTGTTTGTTGATTCTTTCACATGAACCATGGAAGACAAGTTTTACCCATGTCTCCTCCTGGCCAGGCAGCCGCTGAGGTGCTCACAGGTCATGCCTTGGGAGGGTGGACTGGAGAACAGGGAGGCAGGAGAGGCCCCGCCTCACCTGTCCCCTCCCCTGTTGCTGGACTGCAGCTGCCTTGCTGCCTCTGACCGGCAGAGTCCCAGGCAAGCTCCCTCCTGGACCCACTTCACAGCTTCCATGCCAGTGCTCCATGCCCATCTCCTTCCTCCCCTGCCATGGCTTCAACCTCACTGCCCTCCTCCAGAATACCTGAGAGTGTTTCTGCTTAAACATCTTCTTTTTCCCATAGTATAATGGGGGCACAATAATTACTGGATAGATTCAGCCCCTTGGTCCCAGGCTCTGCTCTTTTAACTTTGGATTTAACTGATGCTTGACAGAATACAGAGAAAGATTGGTCTCATCTTACATCTTTCCATGCCACTATTTATCTCCTCAAATGGAACAACTGGAGATGCTAAAAACCCACTTCTTGAAATTACAGGACAGAAAAGAACTTGTAGTACTTCACTTCCCTGGCACGTCTTGAGTGCCATAGACACTTAATAGTGGCTCATGCCTCAGTGGAGAACTGGGGAAACAAATTGTAGAAACCAAAATGGAACTAGAGAGGATAGAAAGACAGATAGTATAGCAGCTTAAGGAAAGAGACTCAAATCTTTCTAGAGGTTTCCCATCTTTGATTCCTCAGAGCATATATTCTTGACAAACTGCAAAATGATTCAATAGATATGTTATTTTTAAATTAAAAAATAAAAGTGTCTTCAAATCTTTGAAGTCCTGTTGAATTAGGATAAGTAGACACAATGAATAAATATTTTGAATAAAACAAACCATATAGCAGTCATGGCAAATAAAGGAGGTCCCAAAGAGGCTTTTTTAGAGTTAAAATACAATTTCCTGGCCAGTCTTCTCAGCCCCGACTTAGACCGATACTCATCCTGGTCTTTGATGAGTAAATTTGCTTTGGTTTCTGATTTATAATAACTTGACAAAAAGAAAAGTATATCTTTTAAATAATCTACTTTTTGCTTTTTTCAATTTATTTCCTCCCTTTTTGTTTTAAATTGTTTCCACAGGCACTTGATATTACATACAGTTCTACTTTGGAAACATAGCATCACTTGTTTTGCCTAAGCAATGTTATAAAACATTTTTATCTAACCTACACTTACTTCAGCATTCTTTTCCATTTTCCTCACTCTCTGAAAAGTATTTTTTTTTCCATTGCAAAGCAGCTGAGGAACAAGAGTAAAAATTTATTATAACCTGGAAGAAAAAGCAGGATTCAGCCACAGAGAACACTCACAGTGGGAAGACAAGTAGGAAATATGGCGGAGCAGGAGAGGATGTTCTGAGAGGTGGGAAGTAAGATGAAGATGATGTCATCTGTGAAACAAAAACAAGAAAGCAAATCAATAAACATAATCCATCACATAAACAGAACCAATGACAAAAACCACATGATTATCTCAATAGATACAGACAGGCCTTCGATAAAATTCAACCCCACTTCATGCTAAAAACACTCAATAAAGTAGGTATTGATGGAACATATCTCAAAATAATAAGAACTGTTTATGACAAACCCACAGCTAATATCATACTGAAGGGGCAAAGCTGGAAGCATTCCCTTTAAAAACCCGCACAAGGTGAGGATGCTCTGTCTCACTACTCCTATGCAACATAGTGCTGGAAGTTCTGACCAGGGCAATCAGGTAAGAGAAAGACACAAGGGTATTCAAATAGGAAGAGAAGAAGTCACATTATCTCTGTTTGCAGATGACATGATTGTATATTTAGAAAACCCTATTGTGTCAGCCAAAAAGCCCCTTAAGCTGTTAGGCAATTTCAGCAAAGCCTCAGTATACCACATCAATGTGCAAAAATCACAAACATTCCTATACACCAATAAAAGACAGAGAGCCAAATCATGAGCAAACTCCCATTCAGAATTGCTACAAAGATAACAAAATACGTAGGAATACAACTTACAAGGGATGTGAAGGTCCCCTTCAAGGAGAACTACAAACCACTGCTCAAGGACATAAGAGAGGACACAAACAAATGGAATAACATTCCATGCACATGCTCCTTCATGCTTGTGGATAGGAAGAATCAATATCGTGGAAATTGTCATACTGCCCAAAGTAATTTATAGATTCAATGCTATTCCCATCAAGCTACCATTGACTTTCTTCACGGAATTAGAAAAAACTATTTTAAATTTCACATGGAACCAAAAAAGAGCCTTTATAGCCAAGACAATCCTAAGCAAAAAGAACAAAGCTGGAGGCATCATGCTACCTGACTTCAAACTATACTACAAGGCTGCAGTAACCAAAATGGCATGGTACTGGTACCAAAACGGGTATATAGACCAATGGAACAGAACAGAGGTCTCAGAAATAACACCGCACATCCACAACCATCTGATCTTTGACAAACCTTACAGAAACAAGCAATTGGGAGAGGATTACCTATTTAATACATGGTGTTGGGGAAACTGGCTAGCCATATGCAAAAAACTGAAACTGGACCCCTTCCTTACACCTTATACAAAAATTAGCTCAAGATGGATTAAAGATTTAAATGTAAGACCTAAAACCATAAAAACCCTTGAAGAAAACCTAGGCAGTACTATTTAGGACATAGGCCTGGGCAAAGACTTCATGACTAAAACATCAAAAGCAATTGCAACAGAAGCCAAAATTGACTAATGGGATCTAATTAAACTAAAGAGCTTCTGTGCAGCAAAAGAAACTATCATCAGAGTGAACAGGCAGCCTACAGAGTTGGAGAAAATTTTTGCAATCTATCCATCTGACAAAGGGCTAATATCTAGAACCTACAAGGAACTTAAATTTACATGAAAAAAACAAACAACCCCATCAAAAAGTTGGCGAAGGATATGAACAGACACTTTTCAAAAGAAGACATGCAGCCAACAAACATGAAAAAGAACTCATCATCACTGGTCATTAGAGACATGCACATCAAAACCACAATGAGATACCATCTCATGCCAGTTAGAATAGCGGTCATTAAAGTCAGGAAACAGCAGATGCTGGAGAGGATGTGGAGAAATAGCAATGCTTTTACACTGTTGGTGAGAGTGTGAATGAGTTCAACCATTGTGGAAGACAGTGTGGTGATTCCTCAAGAATCTAGAACTAGAAATACCATTTGACCCAGCAATCCCATTACTGGGTATATACCCAAAGGTTTATAAATCATTCTTTTATAAAGACACATGCACACGTATGTTTATTGCAGTACTATTCACAATAACAAAGACTTGGAACCAACCCAAATGCCCATCAATGTTAGGCTGGATAAAGAAAATGTGGCACATATATACCATGGAATATACTATGCAGCCATAAAAGAGAGTGAGTTCATGTCCTTTGCAGGGACATGGATGAAGCTGGAAACCATTATTCTCAGCAAACTAACGTAGGAACAGGAAACCAAACACTGTATGTTCTCACTCATAAGTGGGAGTTGACCAATGAGAACATATGGGCACAGGGAGGGAAATATCACACACTGGGGCCTGTTGGGGGGTGGGAGGCAATGGGAGGGATAACATTAGGAGAAATACCTAATGTAGATGACGAGTTGATGGGTGCAGCAAACCACCATGGCACATGTATACCTGTGTAACAAAACTGCTCGTTCTGCACAGTTATCCCAGAACTTAAAGTATAATCATAAAAAAAGTAAAAAAAAAACAAAAACCCAAGAAAGAGTTTCACAAAGGGCAGCAGGATGGTCCATAAATGCAAAATTGTCTTGGGATTTGACAGTGGGGAAGTGATTGAGGATTGGGGAGAAGATTCAGAGGATTCTGGAATAGACAGCACAGCTGTAAGATTAGGAAGAGATTGGGTGTTGAGGAAAGAGATCAGTGGTTCTCAAAATTTACTTAAGAATCATCTTGAAAACTTGTTAAAAATATAGATTACTGGGCCCTACGCAAGGAAACTTCAATCCAGAAGGTCTGGTATGGACTAATGAATTAACGCTTTTAACTAAGTATTCCTTCTGATTCTGAATATTAGGTAGTCTATGGAACACCTTTTGATCAATGGTATGGCATAGACAACCAATGTATCCTGCTGCTTCTGGAAGTGAATCAGGGAAAGGAAAGTAAGAGACAAAGTGGTGAGTAGAAGCAGTAGTAAGGTGATGTGAAGGTCCAGCCACCACCCTGAAGAAGAGATTCTGATTTAAAAACAAAGAGGAAAGTACCAGTGGTATTGGAACACAGCAAGATACCAGGGAGGGCAGGGACAAGTGTGAGACCAGTATTCTTACAGTACTTCTCAGGAAAAAAGGAAGAGCATAGCAGTTAAATTAATCTTTAGTGAGAGTTGGGGACCCAGCTTAATTGACAACGAATGGAGGAAAACATCAGAGAAAGTGTGGCAAATGGTGACCGACTTCCCTGTGATTGTTGTGTTTGTGACCTTGCTCTGTGTAGAGCAGCATTTAGTCCCCCTCATTTGTACATTTGCATAGTCATGTGGCCATCTTGATTGCAAACATGATTCAAGTCGCTTTTTAGACTTTCACTGGATTTATGGAGTTTACTTTAAAATCCAAACATATAAAGTTGTGGAGGTTTTGTTGTGTTTGTCTTGTTTTTTTCTATAAAAGTAGTCAGTGTTCACTGATATGTGGTGGGCATGACAGATGGGCCAGGCTTTTGTGAAAAATATGAAAGTGACTGCAAATTATGTATACCAGTATATTTTATTAGAATACTAATGTAGATAAAATCTCTCAATGCATATACAGATGGTCCTCAACTTACAATGGTTTGACTTACGATTTTTTACTTCACCATGGTGCAAGAATGATAAGCATTCAGTAGAAATGCATACTTTGAATTTTGAATTTTGACCTTTTCCTGGGGTAGCATTATGCGTTACGTTCCTCGTACATGAAATATTCAATACTTTATTTTTAAAATAGGCTTTGTGTTAGATTCTTTTGCCCAACTGTAAACTAATGCAAGTGTTCTGAGCACATTTATGGTAGGCTAGGTGATGATGTTTGGTAGGTTAAGTGTATTAAATGCATTTTTGATTTAACAATATTTTTCACCATATGGTGGGTTGATAGAAATGCAACCCCATTGTAAGTCAGGGAGCCCTGTATATTACATAACTACAAATTCTACACTTTTAGCTACCTGGAGAGAAAAAATATGTAATATTGGTCGAACTAGTTTTGTCCCCGCATTTTTAAAACTTTCTCAACAGCAAGCTCAAATCACCTTGAAATCTGAAATATATTTTGCCATCAATTTATAGGCCGTTGATCATTTAAAGGAAATAAGGTATCTGTCATAATTTATTTATGTAGTTTATGATCAAAATTATATTTCTGAAATCTATTTGATATTTGAGACATATTTTAGACCAGGCTAATTAACTCATTTCTACCTAAACTATTTAAATATAGATAAGTGTCTTTTAACACTTAGGATTTATTTAGGCACACCTGACTGAAGAATTATGAAGAATCATGAGATAGTATTTAATCAATAAAAGTATTACCATCTCCTAAAGTCATTATTTCCTTGCACAATTGTGTATTAGTTTTACTAATTAAGAATACTACATTTAAAAGCATTACTAAAATCCCCTATGTATTTTGATGTTGCTTTAGTTGACTTGTTCTCCCTTCTTCCCTCTCTTCTTCCCTTTTCCTCATTTCTGTTTGTCTCCATTTTAAATCTATCTTATTGTTGCGGCTGCATCCTTCTTTTATTATTATCTTTTTTTTTAAGTAATGTTAATTTCTTGAAGTATATTTTGCTCTGGATTTTTGGGGACAGGTCTCTTTCCCAGAAAACCTAGAGGAGTGGGTATCTGTTGACAGAAATCAAATATCTTAAACATCATTAACGGAACAGATTGTGGCATTTGTTGAAGCTTCTTGTGCTGTCTTCATAAACAGGTTTACCATCTGACTTGCCATTTTACAAGTCCTGTAAAACCTAAATGTAAATCTGACAGTTTGTCAGTTTGTAAGCCGTTTGACTTATGCTTTAATGATTTCTATTTTGAGGGAGTTTTACAAGAATACATTTAACTTGGATGATGCAGGGAGGTAAGTATGGCCCCAGGATGGGAAAACATACCATTTCTTACAACTGTGTGGCAATGACATTGTTTATGTGTATTTATACATACTGATTTCCCTGGACCATTGTGCGGCCTCTAAAATAAGAAAGTAAAGTTCATTTTAATAGAAACTTATTTTGTTTCAGGTTTATTCCCAGTAGCCAAAATCTTTGAGAACCTAAATGCCCCGGCTTTCTTCATAATTGCCCTAAATGAGAAAAATGTATTCACCAACTTGGAGCAAGTTGTATTAACTTAATTTTAGTTAAATTCAATAAAGGTTTGTTTGGATCTGTAATAATGTTTACTGATTTCTTTAAAAAGTAATTATAGTTCTGTTGTCCTCTGTGATGTCTGTACTTCCTACTGAATATTTACAAGTTAGACTAGGACTCCTCTAGCCTAACTTGTAAATCCCCCAAAATACGTGGGGGATAGGGTTAGTTCTGTTGAAGACAGGAGAATATTGATTGTGTGAGAAGAGATGTTTTCTCCCAACTCCTCTAGAAGCGTAGAGCGTGGCAATTCATGCAACTACACCATAATTTTCCTCTCATTTTTTGATGAAGCTTAGTTTTCACAATAAATTGCCTCTCAACTCTCAAGAGATTACCTGTTGCTAGTTGGTCAAACCCTAGCTTAAAAATGGCAGCAATTGGCTGGGCGCGGTGGCTCACACCTGTAATCCCAGCACTTTGGGAGGCCGAGTCAGGCGGATCACGAGGTCAGGAGATCGAGACCATCCTGGCTAACATGGTGAAACCCCATCTCTACTAAAAATACAAAAAATTAGCCAGGCGTGGTGGCGGGCGCCGGTAGTCCCAGCTACTCAGGAGGCTGAGGCAGGAGAATGGTGTGAACCTGAGAGACGGAGCTTGCAGTGAGCTGAGATCCCACCACTGCACTCCAGCCTGGGTGACAGAGCGAGACTCCGTCTCAAAAAAATAAATAAATAAATGGCAGCAATTACCCAGTTTGTGAGGATAACCTCATTTTAGGCCCTGCAGTTTGTAATCACCTTGCTGAGTAGGTTTGTTCATCTTATAACACTGGGATGATGCAAAGATTGTTTTTAAGCTTGGCTTCCAATTTCACAAGCACTCTAACACCTTCTAGAAGTTCTTATTTTCTCAGAAGATCTTTTTGCACCCTGTTATGATCTTTCCCACTGATTAAACTCCTTTCTAGGTGTTCATGGGGGCACATAAAGCCTACATCAAATTTGATGAGTACCTTGGCTTTGAAAACAGCGAAGCACAACTGCCAAATACGTAACAATACATGTTTTTAATACAGCAATTTAAAGGAAAGCCACAGCTAAAACCATCACTGAAAATGAAAATCTACCACTAGATTTGGACAAACTATTTATCTTTTTTTTTTTTTTCTTTTTTGAGACGGAGTCTCACTCTGTCGCCCAGGCTGGAGCGATGTGGTGCGATCTTAGCTCACTGCAACCTCCACTTCCCGGGTTCAAGTGATTCTCCTGCCTCAGCCTCCTGAGGAGCTGGGACTACAGGCATGTGCCACTATGCCCAGCTAATTTTTGTATCTTTTAGTAGAGACAGGGTTTTGCCGTGTTGGACAGGCTGGTCTTGAACGCCTGACCTCCTGATCCACCTGTCTCAGCCTCCCAAAGTGCTGGAATTACAGACATGAGCCACCACGCCTGGCCTATAGTTTTATACAATTAGCATACCTCCTGATATTAACATTATGATAGCAAAACTTGTTAGATAGTTTAAAACTCCCATTGCCAACTATACATTATTTTCTTAGTTGATTATTATTTATTATTATTTTAGGAGTCTAGAAAAATGTCTGGTTCATAGTGAAACTGAGTTATCTTACTTGGTTCAGATTGATGGACTAAATCGTATTGTTCCTTTGAAAATGCAAATTTTGCTAACAAGAGGAGAATGAATTCATTGTTTTACAGATTTGTATATGATCCCATGAGTACTCAAAACTATAGAATGACACAGGGCCATTTGGGAATATAAAATGAGAAAATTTCTATATTATGTCTGTTACTTAAATTACTTTTATAAGGATGGCATAGAAAATGATTTCCATTCTATGAGAAAATATGTTTAGAAATAAAACAAAGATTTCTATTTCAAAAGAGACAATACAGATAGAATGAGTCATTGTTTCTTTTTCACCATAATATCTTTTACACCATAGATTTCAGTGGTTTCAAAAACATGGTTATGATGATAAACTAGGAAATGCTGAAGCTTATCTTTTACTGTGGGCTTTCCTCAATAGATTCTTCCCTTCTAACTATATTATTTCAAAGGTAGAGTTAAAATTTTATCCTGGGGTTTTAATTACACCAAATAGAACTTAGCGTGCATGAATCCATGTGTGGCAGAAAGATGATAAAACAAAGCATTGTTACTTATATATAGAAGATATCATGGACTGGCCAGCTGGGCGCCATCTGTTTTGTTTCCTCTATTTGTAAATTGGGATAATAACAGTATCTACCTCATAGGATTGTTATGAAATGACATAATGCGTGCAGAGTCCTTAACAGAGTGCTTGGCGCTTAGCATGTGCTCAGAGAATATTCAACAGTGACCACACCAAAGGCATCAGCAACAACCCCAACAACAACACCTGGACAAAGAAAAATTCTCTTGCTTGAAGCAAATGTGGTATAATTATTTAAACGTTATGTTACTTTCAGGAGTATGAGGTGATACCATGGACTGTGGCAGGTGGGAATTGTAACTTCTCTCAGAGTCAGTGTAGTCAGACCCTCTGCAAGCTCATGGATGAAACTTTTCAACTCAGCGATGTCTCTGGTCTGACTTTTTTCTTTCTAAAAATTATAGTGAAAATACATTGGAAGAACATCATATTCTACTCTTTGTCGGTATCAAGTAACATTCATTTGCTTAAAAAGTGAACCAAAAAATTAAATATTAATATACACATTTACTTTATGGGATATAATCTAAATATAGAGGTAGATTTCTAAAAATTAAAACATGTGAAGCATGTACTAGTGAACTGCAGTTGGATTGTTTTAGGAGGTTTGTAGATACCGGTAATGAAGAATTTGACACCATTTCTTGATGTTTGATCATTCATAACTTTTAAGTCTTCTATCCACATCTGGGTAAGCTGATAAGAAAGCCCTGGTGCTTTTTCCCTTGTGCCAGTGAAAAGCCACACAGGGAATTCTCATCCTCATCCCACCCTCTAATCAGTATTTTAAAACTCCAGCCTAGGTTCCTTGTCTTGCTCTCAAGCCACTTCTGTAGCTGCTTTTGATGCCTCTCCTGCTCCCCCAGAAGGCCTCATTATGTGAATCGTAAACATTTTCATGCCCTCTTGGTATGAGGGTGCAGGGAGGCATCATCATTCTCAACATTGGAACCGAATTTTGGGTGGACGTCCATCTTCTTCCTTCGGAGGGGCCACAAAATTACTGGATATAAGTTTATGATCAGAGCTTCTTAGCTACATCTTGTGTGTTGTTTGTATGTTCTAAATATTGTCAGAAGAAAAATAATAAGCAAATTCTTACTTCCTCTATGAATCATATTGAGCCCTTTACATGGGTTATCTCATTTAATCCCCTCAAGAGCCTTTGATACAGAGATTCTCATTGTCCAATTTTCGATGATAAAACTAAGGCAGAGAAAGATTAAGTAGCAGTCTTAATGTCACATAACTAGTAAGTGGCCACTTAGGATTTGAGCCCAGGCAGCATGGCTTCAATGCCTCCCCCTTCATATAAACCTAATATACAATTTTTACAAACTACTTTATGGGAACAGTCATCTTTGCATTTCCTGTTTTCAGCTCTTACATATTTAGAAAAGATTACAGTGCATATCCAAAGCTCTGTGTATACTGTGGTCTCCAGCAAATCCTATCAAACTGAGAGCAGGGCTGGCTTCTTTGGCTTGTTTTCTTCAAAGCAAGCACTGGTCTGACTCCTAGCAGGCGACCAATAAATGCTTCTAAAAGTAAAATACTATGCAGATGTTCAGATATAGGTGCTTTCTGTCTTCTGTTTTGTTCCCCCCTCTTGACTTCTTTTGTCAAACTGTTGATTTGTGCTTGTGTGTGAAATGTGAGTCTTGAAAAGTCAGTTTGAATAATAGAGGATTTTTAAGAAAGTACACATTTAAAGGAAAATATTATTTCTTTGATAAAGCAGTAATAATATCTTAGTGCTTAGCACTTCACTGGTAGCTTGTAATACAGGCGATTGGATGACACCTGTTTGTACATGTGCCTACTTTTCCCATTCAGGTATTGACGCCCAAGAATACAAAACCAGCGTCTTACTGAATTCTGTATCCTCTCCCCCGCTGCTCTAACAGAAGCCTTCACACATGGGGCATTTCTCAATATATGTTGGCTAAGTTATTCAATATTGTCCAACTAAGTCTAAAATGTATACATTGTGCCTTGGAGAAATAGCCACCAAGTACTTTCTTGTTGTATTTGCTTTGTGCTTATCAACTGTGGTCCTTGCAGTGTGGTAGGACTGTTTTCTCCATTGCCTAAAGTCCCATAGATGGTAAGTTCTGGCCCTGTGACTCATCTCCAGCCATCAACCTCACACCAACAGAACAGGCATACCCTCCACTGTGCCTGGCGCCTCTCTCCCTTACTGTCTAAAGTTCAAATCTTGGAACCTAAAACTCACTAACCCTTGGGAGTGATATTTTTTAATGTCCTCAGCTGAGTTTATTACAAATTGACCTGATAATCCTTGTTTAAATATGGGAGAAAATATGTAATTTTTCTACCTGACCCTACTTGCTCCCTCATCTCACACACACACACACACACACACACACACACACACAAAAACCCTTCTCGTTAAAGAAAGGAAAGAAATTTTGATTGTTATTATTATTGAGGAGAGATAAAATTTTAAAAACTCTTTTCCAAACTGGAGGTAGAGATGGTTAGGAAAAGAAAGATATTCTTCCTCAAAGAGAGAAAGGACAGAAGACACTGGGCTGCTGGGCAGAATTTGTAGGCACTCTGAGAGAGAGAGAGGGATTGGGCAAAGGACTGCCTGCACCACATCGTGGAAAGTGTTTACACCCAGTGGTCAGTGATTGGTCCTGGGTTGGATTGCCAGTTTTTACTAAAAATAGCGGACCCTCTGTGGGCAAGTGACTTAACCTCTGTGGGTGTCTTTCTCTTCATCTACAAAACAGACACCAATTCTTACATACACAGTTGTGAGGAGAAAATTGGATACCCTTGCGGGCGGCTTCCTGTGTCCATGGAACATAACTTCTCTGATCCGCTCCATGCTGACAACATGTGGACTAGCCCAGCCTTCAGTCCCAAACTCGCTTTTCACCTCAAGGAAGTCAGAAGGCTCTCCAACTAAGCTTTCCCCACAAATGGAAGGGCAACGAATGTACTCATTGTATCCAAATACCTGTAACTGACAAAATGACGTAGTGGAAAGGAACCTTGACACCCTAATTGAATTACTTGTCAATTTTTGTAAAGTGTGCTTGTTTTCCAGAGGAAATCCTTTTTTTTTTGTTGAAGACAAACTGCAGTATTCGTTACACCCGGACAGTCTACTTTTGTAAGACATTTTGGGTTTTGCCAAGTGACACCCTGACAAATAAAAGTGGGAGGTAGAGACAAACCTCATGAGCCAAGCATTAAAGACAAGCCTGAAAGCCACCAAGTTTCTGGCACTGTGGAGACTTTCCCAACACACCAGGCCACCCTGAGCCACACTGAGTCCTCCCCAGAACTCCCCTCAAGCACAGCTCCCTTCTCAATGCCAGGGCAATGGGTAGTTTGGTTCTACAATTGTGCATTACATGGAGCTCATTGCAGTGGGCAGCTTCACAGCTGACCAAAGCCCAGACCCTGGTGTCCAAGTTTTCCAGTCAAATGTGAGACAAAAGCAGCTAGACAGAGACTGTCCATAGAATGTACTGAGTGCAGACAGAGGGAGACTGTAGCCCTGGAAGTTACATGAGTACAGAGAATGGAGACCTCTTGGAGACTTCAAGGAAAGCTTTGGAACTGACTTTTGCTCTAAAGGATGAATAGAGAGACCTTGCCCTGCCCCCATTGCACAGAATGCACCAGGCTGCTCCAGTAGCTGGAATAGCATGACCAGAAGCCAAGATGACAAGACAGAGCACCGTGGGGCCCAGCAGGTGGGAGAGCACCACAGAGCTTCTTGTGTGAGGTCACATCTTGGAGGGGAGATGGATGCAGGCTATGGATGGGCTAAGGAAGGTCTTATTTGCCATGCTGGGGAATATAGACATTATCCTATCGGGGGAGGCATGTTAGAGCTCTCTCACTGGCGACTTCATGGAGGATTGGTAATGGGCAGGGCAGAGGAGTATGGATGGAGGCAGGGAGATCAGTGACCAGTTAGAACAGCATGGCCATCCTCCAGGGGATGGGCATTGAGGGCCTTTGGTGGGGCTATGGGAGTAAAGAGAATTGTACAAGCTGCAATGGAGGGAAGTCAGTGGCCTCAATTTCACAAAAGAAGGAAAACTGAGTATAAACTTCACATTCCCCCCATCCTCTCCCTTACTTGTCTGTACCTGACACATCATATATAATCCTTTCCGGCTTTTCATAAGCTTATCATTCTTGTAATGATTTTATGCTAAGAAATTGAATTATTTAAGGGTAATATGGTTTGGCTCTGTGTCCCCACCCAAATCTCACCTTGAGTTGTGATAACCCCTACATGTCAAGGGCAAGACCAGGTGGAGATAATTTAATCATGGGGGCAGTTACCCCCATGCTGTTCTCATGATAGTAAGTGAGGTCTTATGAGAGCTAATGGTTTTGTAAGGGGATTTTCCCCTTTTTGCTCGGCACTTCTCCTTCCTGCCCCAATGTGAAGAAGAACGTGTTTGCTTCCCCTTCTGCCATGATTGTAAGTTTCCTGAGGCCTCCCTAGCCCTGCAGAACTGTGAATCAATTAAACCTCTTCCTTTACAAATTACCCAGTCTCGGGTGTTTTTTCATAGCAGTGTGAGAACAGTCTAAGATAGTAACGATGGCATATATTTAAAAATTTGGTTATAATCTGTTCCTATGGAGTTAGAAGAAACCTGTAGAGAGGATTGTGGGTGTTAATGAACCTCGTATGAGTGGATCGGCCAAATCACACTTGGTATGAACACAGTGATTTACCTGCTGGTTTGCTGTGATGAAACTTTAGCCATTTGATTTCTTAATGGAGGGGGATTATAGCTTAATATCTAGAATGGAGTCTTCAGCACGCGTATGCTATGTCCTCAAAATAGAAACTTGCTCCTTTCAAATATCTGTCTCTGAGGGACCAGAGGATCAGGGGTGGAAAATTCTGAGTATTTTCAAATCCAGCCCAAGTATCATCACACTTTGTAAAAACGACTCAGCATAATGAAGGAGTCACGGTGCCTCTGACTTCATCCAGGATATGGAAGTTATTGTTATATTCCCAGTGTTTGAGACTGTTTTTGCATATATAAAAGTTAGAATGGTTTTCAAAAATTGGCTATTTTAAGTTCTTGGCTAGCTCCTGCACATCCTTCACATTTCAACACATGTGTTACCTCCTCTGAGTGGCTTCCTTCAACTCCTCTAATCCCACTGAAATACCTCCCCTCTTGTCACATATTTGGCAATTTGTATTGAATTGCCTGTCATCTGTCTTCCTGACTAGACTGTGAGGTCTTTGAAGAGAGGGACTGTTTAGTTTTTGTGCTTTCATCACCTAGAACAGTGCCTGGTGTAGATTAAGCATTAGGTAAATGAATGGATAGAATCTGGATTCTACCGTATGCTGGCTCCTATTGTGCTCATTTTGACAATTTAGTTCTGTTTGGTTGGTTGGTTGTTTTTTTGTTTTTCTTTTTTTCCTTTTTTTGTGTGTGGCTTAAAACATAGTTTTGTATTCATGTTTCCTTTCAACAGCAATTGTGTTAGAAGTAGAAAGGTTGTTGGTGAATCACCTGGCTTTCCTTGGATTATATAAAGAAGTATAAATTATACTATTTCCATGCTTATGAAATGTTTTACTTGGGGGTCTATGTTTACATCAATAGTTTAATGTCAAGCATACAAATTATTTTCATCCACTACTGGCGAATCCATTTGACCACTGGAGTAGAACCTTTGGAAATGTGTTGCAATAGACTATGTGGTGGTCAAGATGGTAGCTGCAGTTAGCTGCATTTATCATGCAGGTTCATGCCTTACATAAATCTCTGAATTTCAACCTGTTTTTTTTTTTTTTTTTTTTGTAAATCACAAAAGACCCATTTGTAGCTTTAGTTTAAAACAATACAATGAAAAAACTTTTCTTAAGAGGAAATAATGACCTCAATAAACCTTGAACAAGCTCCCTTATGGTTTTAATTGTTTACATTTAAAAATTGATGTGCATGTGTGTGTCTTTGTGTGTGTGCATGTGTATTTGTACTTTACTTTGATGTGAGAGTGTAAAGTGAGAAGCATTTAAAAATTTATAATAGAAATGAGATTAATATTCCATATGACAGCAAATACTTCCAGCAGACAATGAAGCCAACAGTTTCTACTTTTCACTTAATCTTTCTGCAGGATCTAATTGGTCACAACAGTGGGAGAAATAGTCACTAGCATTGCTTATAACGTATGTCATATCTACTCTGCTTTGGAGAAGGAATTTTTTTCCTGCCCCACCTAAAAACTAGACTAGAACTTAACAGTATTTCTCAAAGGAAGGCAGCTATAGAATCCTGGATTTTGGCTGGCGGTCAAAAGAAGAGTTTCCTTCAGGTACTTAAATGAATAGTTTAAAGTGAAAGCAAAGTTTCTGAAAGTCCTGGATACTTACCATTCAGCCAAGGTCTTTCTTGCCGAGCACCTTGAGAATGTGCTGTTCATCTGTGCAAGCTGTTAAAGTAAGAAGCAAAGTATCAATATGGGGCCAGTGATTGGCATCTGGTTATCACTCTCTTGAGCCTGCCTCACTTAAAAGGCTACTCCAGGCTCATTAAATTTCACAGTTTTCATAGCCACCATCTGTTCGCTAGAAGGAATTGCCATACCATTCCATGACTCCAGCATATTTTCCATTATGCTGGCTTTATATAGTCTACATTTATGGGCTCTCTTTGGCATCAGCATCCGAGACAAGTAGGTTTCATTTCTCCTTAATTATGCTTTTACTCCAGGGTTTTAGCTTAGAAGATTCCAGTATGATCATGTTCCATGACTTCCTCAGACTTCTTTTCATCAAAGGGAAAATGGCTGCAGTTTAAATAATTTTAAGTCATTACAGTAGTGGGCAGTTGCAGTGTGACTCTTCAAAAACACAAACAAATATGCTTTTTCACTTTCGAATATGGCAATTTTTTTATCAAAAATTGGATAATTTATGAATTTAATGAATTCTTGGGACAATTACTTATGTTTTGAGGAAGTCAAAAGAAAGTTCAATGCTTACTGTTGTTCAAAACATTTCTTGAAAAACAATAATGTCTATGCAGCTCAGACCATTTCCCTGTGCCCTAAACTTCATGGCTGATAAACAAACTCATCTCATCCAAAACTTAATTCATCATTTTTCTTCCTAAATTGTTCTTTCTTCTGTGAGTGGCACAACCCCCCACTCAGTCAAATCCCCACCACCATGATCATGCCTATTCTGTCAATCATGAACCAGCTCAATTTTACTTCCCATCACTTTCTTTTGTTCCTGGCTCTCTATTTTGTACCATCATCCTCTTTCACTGTAACTACTGCAATAGCCTCTTACCTTGCTTCGCTGCCTCCAATCTCCCCAATCCATTCACCTTATTGCATTCAGAAGGATCTTCCTGAAAATAAAAGATCTGTGCATGTTATTTGCCTTCTTGAAACACTTGAATGGCTGAACAATTAGGTGACTTACACACTCATATTTCTTCTCCAGCCTCAACATTTTCTCTCACCCTTTTCAGTTCTTTAGACTTTAGCTTTGAATATTTTCCCCTAGGATGATTCTCTGGTCTCCTGAGTCTGAGTCTGGAGCTCTCTGAGGCCCTGGGCACTCATTGCTTCCCCTAACATAAGACCTAACAAAAAAACTGTAAAAAGAGACAAAGAAGGTTATTATATTATGATAAATGGATCAATTCACCAAGAATATATAACAATTGTAAATATATATGCACCTAACATCAAATCATATATAAGTATATAAAGTTATTTTTAATAGATCTAAAGGGTGCTATAGAATGCAATACAATAATAGTAGGGGACTTCAGTACTCTACTTTCAGCAATGGATAGATCATCCAGACAGAAAATCAACAGGGAAACAGTGGATTTTAATAACATTATAGATCAAATGGACCTAACAGATATATATAGAATACTCCATTCAACAGCAGCAGATTACACTTTCTTCTCTAGCACACATGAAATAGTCTCCAGGATAGATCATATGTTAGGCCACAAAACAAGTTTCAATAAATTTCAGAAGATTAAAATTATATCAGGTAACTGTTCTGACCATAATGGAATGAAACTGGAAATCAACAACAGGAAGAATTTTGGAGAATTCCCAAATGCAAATAAATTAAACAACATGCTCCTCAGTAACCAGTGAGTCAAATAAGAAGTTAAACAAGAAATTGAAAAAACATCTTGAGACAAATGAAATTGGAAGCACAACATACCAAAACATGTGGGAAGCAACAAAAGAGTTCTGAGAGGGAAGTTTTATAGAAATAAATGCCTACATCAAAAAAGAAAAATGATCTCAAATAAACAATCTAACATTATACTTCAGGGAACTAGAAAAAGAAGAACAAACTAAGCCCAAAGTCAATAGAAGGAAGGAAATAATGAAGATAAGAGCAGAAATAAATGTAATAGATATTAGACAGACAATAGAAAAGGTCAGTGCAGCTACAAGTTTGGTTCTTTGAAAAGGTAAACAAAATCAATAAACCTTTAGCCAGACTAAGAAAAAAGAGAGAATACTCAAATAAATGAAATCAGAAACAAAAGAGGAGATGTTGCAACAAATACCACTGAAATACAAAGGATCATAAAGTACTACTATGAACAAATTATTCGCCAACAAATTGGATAACCTAGAAGAAATGAATACATTCCTAGAATCTGCCAAGACTGATTCAAGAAGAAAAAGAAAATCCGAACAGACAAATAACAGGTAAGGAAACTGAATCAGTAATAAATAAATTTCCTATCAAAGGAAAGCCCAGGGCCAGACGACTTTGCTGCTGAATTCTACCAAACATTTAAAGAACTAATACCAATATTTTTAAACCTCCTCCAAAAAGTTGAAGAAGGAATACTTTCATACTCATTTAATGAGGCCAACATTAATCATCATTCTATTCTTGTAGGCCTTGTGTGATTTTGGTAATCATCATCACCAGAATCACACAAGACCTACAAGAATAGAAAATAATGGATCAGTATCTCTAATGAAAACAGAGGCAAAAATCCTCAACAAAATACTAGCAAGTGGAATTCACCAGTGCATTAAAAGGATTGTTAAATGTGATCAAGCAGGATTTATCCCTTGTATTCCTGGGTTACAAGGATGGTTCAACATACACAAATCAATAAATGTTTTACAACATATTAACAAAATGAAGGACAAAAGCCATAAGATCATCTTCTTAGATGCAGAAAAACCATTTGACAAAAAACAACATCTTTTTATGATACAAACTCAGCAAATTAGCCACAGAAGGAATGTACCTCCACATAATAAAGTCCGTATACAAAAGCCCACAGTTAACATCATACCCCACAGTGAAAAGATGAAACCTTTTTCTCTAAAATCAGAAATAAAACAATGATGGCCACTCTTATCATTTTTACTCAGCATAGTATTGAAAGTTGTAGCTAGAACAATTAGATAAAAATATATTAAAAACATTGAAATAGGAAAGGAAGAAGTGAAATTACCTCTGTTTGCTGATGACATGATCTTACATGTATAAAACCCTGACAATTCCACCAAAAAAAACTGTTACAACTGATAAATTAATTCAGTAAAGTTTCAGGATAAAAAATAGCACACAAAAATCAATAGTGTTTCTTTAATAGTGAGCTGTCTGAAAAAGAAATTAAGAAATCAATCCTAGTCACAATATGTGTCAAGAAAACGGAAGTAAATTTAACCAAGGAGATGAAAGATCTGTGTGCTGAAAACTATAAAACACTGATGAAAGAAATTGTGGACAACATGAATGCAAAGTTCTCTTTTGCTTATGGATTGGAACTATTAATATTATTAAAATCTCCATACTATCCAAAGTGATCTACAGGGTCAATACAATTTCTGTCAGAATTCTAATGTCATTTTTTTCAAGGAAATAGAAAATATAATCCTAAAATTCATATGGAACCATAAAACACCCCAAATAGTGAAAGCAATCTTGAGCAAAAAGAACAAAACTGGATGCATCACACTATCTGACTTCAAAATCTATTACAAAGTTGTAGTAATCAAAACAGCATGGTACCAGCATAAAAAGAGATACATTGGCTAATGGAACAAAATAAACATCCTAGAAATTTACCCACCAATTTATAGTCAATTGTTTTTTTTGATGAAGATGCCAAGAGCACGCAATGGAGAAAGGCAATCTTTTCAATAAATGCTGTTGGGAAAACTGGTTCTCCACATGCAGAAGAATGAAATTGGACCCTTATCTCACATCATATACAAAAATCAATTCAATTTGGATTAAAGACTAAAGAGAAAGGCCTGAAACTATAAAATTACTAGAAGAAAACATAAAGGCAAAGTTCTACGACATTTGTCTGGGCAAAGATTTCTTGGATATGACCCTAAAAGCACAGGTAATAAAAGCAAAAAATAAATAAGATTGCATCAATATGGCCTCTGCACAGCAAGGTAAACAATCAGTAGAATGAAGTGGCAATGCACAGACTGGGAGAAAATATTTGCAAACCATTTGTGGGATAAGAGGCTATAATCCAAAATTTATAAAGAATTCAAACAACCCAATAACAAGAAAACAAATTATCTAATCAAAAAATGGACAAGTGACTTAAATAGATATTTCTCAAAAGAAAACATACAAATGGCCAACAGATATATGAAGAATCGCTCATCACTAATCATCAGGGAAATGCAAATTAAAACCACAATGAAATATAACCTGGTAAAATGGCTATTTTTAAAAAAAGACAGATGGTAAGAAGTGTTGGCGAGGGTATGGAGAAAAGGGAAATCTTGTGCACTGTTGGTGGGAATATAAGTTAATACAGCTATTATGGAAAACTGTATAGAGGTGCCTCCGAAAGCTAATGTTAGAATGACCATATGATACAGAAATCCCACTTCTTGGTATAGAACCAGAGGAATTGGAATCAAGGTGCGAAAGAGATCTGTGATCTCATGTTCATTGCAGCATTATTCGCAATAGCCAAGATATGGAGCCAACCTACATGTCCATCATCAGATGAATGGATAAAGAGAATGTGGTATATATGCACAATGGAATACTATTCAGCCTTTAAGAGGAAGGCAGTCCTGTCATTTGCAGCAACATGGGTGAATCTGAAGAACATTATGAGAAGTGCTTATTGCTAGGCCCAGAAAGACAAATACTGTATGATGTCATCCATATGTAGAATCTAAAAGAGTTGATCTCATGGAAGTAGAGTAGAATGGGAGTTACCAGAGGCTTGAGAAGGGAGATAGGGAATGGGGAGACATTCATCAAAGGGTACCACATTTTAGTTAGACAGGAAGAATAAGCTTTAGTGATCTATTGCACAGAATGGTGACTATAATAAATAATACACTGTGTATTTCAAAATGGCTAAAAAAGTAGACTTTAAATATTTTCACCACCAAAAATATGTAGCCTGGTGATGGTTTTGTGAATAAGCTTGATTTCATCATTGCAGAATGTAAATATATATCATAACATCATTGTGCACCCCATAAATATATGCAATTATTTGTCAATTAAAAATAAAATATAAATACATAAATAAAAGTCAACTGGTGGGAAAAAATAGGACCTGAGAAACTGATTCTAAGTGTTGTTTGTAATTCTGCATCATCCCCTCCACATAAGCTGTATATGACCAGGCACTCTGTTCCTTGTCATATCCCTAGCACCTAGCATAATGCTTGGCACATGGTCTGTGCTCTGTAAATATTGAGTGAAAGAATGTTCACTTTTGGGGGATGTCGCAAGGTGAGGTAAAAATGTCATTTAACAGATTTTGCAATTGGTTTATCAAATTATATTTGCTAGAATTCTCATGAGAAGTAAACACATCGTAGCACTTACACAGTAAACTTGCTAGCTGAGACCATTTGATTTAATTTAGTGTACAGTTTTGAATTCCTGTATCATAGCTGGGTGGAAAGCACACTAAAATTAGATTCAGAAAATTTTGGGTTCAAGCCATGGTGGCATCCCTTAGACTGTGGAACTGGACAAGTCAGTTTGCTTTTCTGATACTGAGTTTTTTCCTCTGTTTAATGGAGTTGATAATGACACTGACATATACACATGAGATTATATGTGAAAACACCTAACCTTGTGCCTAGCACATAATAGGTATTCAGCGATGCTTTCATGTATTGCCATGAGTGAGAGCTAAGATATACTGATGTTTCATATTGGTCAAGATGCTTTAGTTTTTCTTTTTTCATGAATTCAAGTCACTGTGTGGGACATAATTTACCAATCCTAACTTTGTGTGCTCACTTTTACTTTAAAAATGTATAGTACAACTTTAACTAACTCAGCCACACACACGCCCATTTCCATCAATTCTATTCTGTTTCTCATCCACTCCCTCATGTCTCATCCATTTCGTTTTTTTGTATTTTGTCCTATAGAAAACATTCAAGGATAGGGATAACTCTGTCTCTAAGTTAGCTTGGGTTTTTCATTTTGTTTGTTTTATTTTGTGTTCAAGAATCTCGAAATAACTTCAAATTTATATTTACAAAATTTATATTGACACTGAAGAAACACATTAGTGTTCTTCCCCTAACAGGTAATTTCACATTTGTCTCCTTTTTGAAGTATTATCACACTTTTCTTTGGGCTGCCTCACTTTCCACGGACTTCTGAAGCTCTTTTAAGATGTGGTTTTGGAGCTTTTTTTCTCTGTAAGCATATTTCATGGTTGACAAATATACCTCAAGGACATGTTACAATCAGTGGTAGGGAAAAAATAGATTCTGACTTTGCCCTCATGGAACTCACTTTTTTTTTTTTTTTTCAAATTATTACCCTCAATTTAATTAACATAATGAATGTGATCAAACGCAAATTTATTGACTTAGCATTCTTATCAAGTTTCTTTGAAAGTGCAATGACGCTGAGGTTGAATAAAAATGAGATGCTGGCCAAGAGCTGTAGTTTCAAAATATATACTCAAGAGAACTGCTGAGAGAGTTACAGAATATATGATGCATGCCAGCAGGGGCGGCTGTCATATGGACATCTTCACGGTATAACCAGTTCACACATTTGAACCTTCATGTAGCCGGAAGAGAATCCTGTGTCTCCACTCTAGGTGTAACCAGCATCCATGCTGCAGAGTACCTTCTCTGCTGGAAAACCAACAGCTAGGACAAGACACCAAAACAAACAAACAGAGGAAGACCATTGGAAAGTTCCTGCTGTGAACTCATCTCTTCTCTCCTTTTCAGAATGTGGTATTTTCCATTAAAGAAACAGAACATACTGAAAGCTGTCAGTAAAACTGCTGGTTGTGTTTTTATTGATTTTTCTGAGCAGACTTCCAGTAATAGTTCATTGCATATTCATCCTGGGATGTTGTAATATAGAGCAGGATTAAGAAGTAACTCTCTAGTATTTGGGTGTCCACGGAGAAGCAGCCCCTTGCAAGCCATGAAAATTATATTTATTCTGGCTTCTCCTCTACCTGGGGGACACAGCCATTCACCATAGCACAATTGACCTTATGAATTGTATCCTGCCTTGGAGGAAGAAAGGCTTTGCATTTCTAATTGCTTTCTAATTCCTTTGTAAACATTTAAGTCAGCACAATATCATTGTCCCATTTCTGACATGTATCGAATACTGATTTTACGTATCTTCTGCTCCTATCCGGCTTTTAAGGAATGTGGAGGTAGAATGCTGTGTCCATTATCTTTGCAATCACAGTTTTCAGAAGAGAATTATTCATAGGTATGTAATCTCAAATGCCTTGTCAACATCTCCCTGGAAAGTTGAAACAAAAACCCACACTGATAATTCTTAAAGCTAACCAGTTCTACCAACTCACACAATCTGCAATATTATTTTAATTAGGCTCTCCTATGTTGGTGATATTTCTGATACATTATTTAGGTATTTTACTTGCTAAATTATTATTTTTTCATAATTTTAGTTATCACAGTATCAAAAATTTTCTCACTCAGTTCCAATTCTGTTTGCAGTGCATATCTTTATTTTGATAAGGCAAAATGCAGTAGCTTCTTTGGAGTTGCAGAAAGAAAAATTAGTAGGTTTTTTTTTTTTTTTTTAGACAGAGTTTGGCCCTGTCGCTCAGGCTGGAGTGCAATGGCATGATCTCTGCCCACTGCAACCTCCGCCTCCTGGATTCAAGCGACTCTCCGGCCTCCAAGCAACTCTCCCACCTCAGCCTCCTGAGTAGCTGGGATTACAGGCACCCACGATCGTGCCCAGCTAATTTTTGTATTTTTGTAGAGATGGGGTTTCACCATGTTGGCCAGGCTGGTTTTGAACTCCTGACCTCAAGTAATCTGCCCTCCTCGGCCTCCCAAAGTGCTGGGATTACAGGCATGAGCCACCAGGCCTGGCTATTAGTTTGTTTTTAACTTTTACGTTCTTCTAGGTTGTTGTGGATGTTTTGTTTGTTGTTTCTTATGTTATAATAGTGATATTCAACACGTCTTGAGGTCAGCAAAAATAATAAAATAAAAATTTCTTTCTCTTATGATAAAGTGGCTTGTATTACTTTCTTTTTGGAATTTTTAAAATCCTAGAAAAATACTATGTCAGGTAAAGCCGACAATCCTTTGTTGGAATAGATACGTTGTCTCTTCTAGCTACATAAGGACCAGGTGATCCTGCCTCTCTCTTCTTCACCTCAGGGCATGAAAAATCAGGAAATATGAATCTCTACTATTAGAGTGTATTAGAGGATGAACCACCAGGGACACGGAGGTAGAATTATTTTAATCATACTGGCAATGCCCTTTATTACCCTGGAAATTGATTTTCGCAAGAAATGTGTGAACACCTTTTGATTATCAGATTGCTTGGTGGTGCATTGGGAAGGGAGGGAAAAAAAGCCAAATCGGGTGAAAGGGCTATAGTCAAAGAGAAATATATATATATATATTATTTTTATTTATTTATATTCTGGGCTGTAGTCAAAGAGAAATATGTTTTTTTACTTTTTGAAATAGATTTATTTATACTACATTATGCTGAGGCCTTATTGATTTGCTACATTTAGCATGTTAGGGTTTAGTTTCCTAAAGACAGATGACTTAATCATACAAATTACTCCTCCTTGCAAGAGGGATACGTTCAGAGATCAAAGGCAAGTCGGTAGTGTGCCTAACAGAAGCAGAGTGTATCAGTTATCTAGGGCCACAATATTGCTGCATAACAAGTCACCCCAAAACTCAGTGGCTTGTTATGTGGCACTCTCGTGACCGTAAATGGCAAGGGTTTGGCCGTTAATTGGGGCATGAGTCATTAGTCATCTAGTCTTCCAGAGGTTGGGGCTTTATTCTGTGGATTTTATACTCTTGTTAATATTCTTATCTCTTGGCTAATCTGGATCCAGGAGCTATGAAAAACATTCTTGAGACCAGCCACTGAGACTTCATTTGGAAATGGGGAACAGTACCCATGAATAGATACACTCTACCACTCAAAATAACCAGATTATGTATAGTCTGCAAATGACTTGCCTTTTCTGGTTAATGAAGGGTTAATTGAATGTGAGGTTTCTGTGGATTTGAATTCCAGCTCTTAACAGTCAGCCGTGTCCACTTGGACAGGCAATTCATCCTCTCAGCCTTAACTTGCTCCTATGTGAAATGGGAACTTTGATTTACAAGATTAGAATTGAGTATAATGCCCTATGTGGACGTGCTTTGGAAACTTTTAAAGCACTAGAAATGAGTTATTTTATTGAAGTCAGGCTGTATGCCGAAGAATGTTCAAATCCAGCCTTTATGGCCATATTCTCAGGCTTTATCCTGCTTTACACAGCAAAATTGGTAGATATCTTTGTAAGTTTGTTTGCTTAAATATGAGTATAATGTTATCTTCAATTTAACACATGCTGTATTTAGTGTATCAAACCAAAAACATATTATAGATACAGAGAACTTAAAAGATACAAATGTCTGGGGCTTTTATGAATGGGAAAAGTCATAGTTATAATCAGAATCAATTTCCAATTATCCACATATAGATTAATCAAATGGGCACATACCCAAGGCAACTCCACTTTTTATCTTTTTCCTGACAGTATTTTTTCCTCTGCTTATCTTTTAGTTTTCTCCTTTAAATTGTGGCTTGGTGGGACAAAAGGAAAAGCCTTTTAAACATGCTAAATTACCCTTGTTTTTCTCACCCTGCCTGCCTCAGGGAAGGTTCAAGGAGAGAAGTCACAGGTAGAAAGGCTGGTGTTTGAAATAAATTGTAGGAAGTCAGCTGCCCATGAGGAGAAGGAAAGGTTGCAAAAGGAGGCCATGTCGAGGGAGCCTAAGTTGCTTGAGTTGCTTCACATCTCTTCTTGCATCAGGCACCCATGCATGTTTCACCTGTTATTGTAGGATCTGTAAACTTTGAGAGTGTGAGCACCAATGATGAATGGCAGGTGTTGAGACCACAATGGACGAATTCAGAGTACCTAGTCAGTCACCATGTCTTGTCCCTCATTTTATTTGAAGAATCTGGTGTTCTCCCTCCTCTTCATTTGCACGGATGCTGACCTCTGTTGAGGTACTCATGTCTGCACCATGACTTGACTTTATCTTCTAGTTTGTGTTAAAAGACAGTAACTTTCAGAAAAAGACAAAATCCTGACTTTTATACAGATATGAAATGAACAAGAGTTAGTAATTTTTTCTGTTAATACTTACCAATCCATGAGGGAGCCAAGCAGATGCTGTAACAAATTCTCAAGGAAAATCCAAAAAGCAGATTCACTGATAGGTCAGGAATATTGAAGTGAATGTACAAATTGAGTAAAACCAGACCCCCCCCCCCCCCCACACACACACACACACTGCATTACTGTCATTTACCTAGAGCTTATGGAATTGCAGCAGTTGTAAAATACTCCCTTATAACCACAATCAGATAACCTGGAGGGGTTCTCTAGGGTCTAGACAATGTACCATATTATATGGAAACACAACGTAACATTTTTCCCTGTGACTGGCTGGTCACATTGCGGTTGACTTTGACCACCACCACCACCAAAATAAACTTGTATAAACACTGCTTTCAACATTTGACTCATTCCCACCAAATGTTCCTTGGCTTTCCATCATAGATTCTACCTAGTGTAAAGTCTTCCCAGTCATCTGGTCCTTTGGTAATCGCTTCCATTGTCAGCATCACATGCCGCTTCTCCTCAAAACACAAACCCTACTCCAGTCAGACGGGCTTCTCCACTCTACATTTGCACAATTCTTCCTTCAGCCAAGCTTTACGCAGATCTCTCCTTTGTTGAAAAGGTTATTCTGCCTTATTAAGCCTGGTCTTTTCTGATCCCCTGATGGGTGTATCAGTTGTACTGAGCAAACCATCACTTAATTACCTGCTTTCTTGCATTATTGGGGTTCACTTTGTGTTTGCTGATTTCAATTTGATTGCAAGCTCTTTTTTTTTAATATCCCACCCTGCCTAATAGCATTATGAGCATATAAAAGCCACCTGTTATATACTTCCCACTCTGTAATGATCCAGTCTTTGGATACCATCCATTTGTGTGATTAGAACAAGAATTGAATAAATGAGGAGAGACAGGGAAAATTTTCATTTCTTAAAGTTGTTCTCTAAAATTAAAAGCACTTACCTGAATCTTAATTCTAAAACCTGCCCCCAGGAGATCCCAAAACGTTGGTCATGACTCTGTCTTGACTGATTGGGCTCTCCCTGATTGCTGGGTTTCATTTTAGAAAGAATGTACTTAATGGGAGCAGAAAATCATTTGATATTTTATCATTAAGCCCCTTCAGAGCAACTGTTCGAGTAACTATAAACCACAAAATTACATTTTATATTGTGTCCAAAAACGATAGACCAGTTTGGAAAGCAAAAAGTTAACTTCTCTCAGTCCAAAGTGAAGTGAGTTGGGAACTCCATGCAGGCCAAGAGAGGGAAACTGAGGCTGTTCCTCGGGCTTGCTGGGGGAGACCTTCCTTGAAGCCCCATGCAGCCCCTGGGGTTGGCAGGTGCCATAAGTTCTAGCTTGGATTACAGCAAAGGAGAGGATATGATTTTTCTCTTCCTTTATGAAGACAGAAATTTGTGTCTGTTTTATTCGCTTCTGTCTCCACATGCCTATAACAGTTCTGGCTTATTTTAAGTGCTCAGTAAATGTTTGCTTTCGAATAAACAAATCTTGTTTTTCATTCTCTAATCAGTGTAACATCTTTATAGTTTCTGAGTTTATAGTTTTTGAAAATCCCATTTTGGTGGAATTCAAATGAAACTGTTTTCTCTAATCGAGAAACTCAAGAAACCCAGTTGTATGAGAAATGTCCAGTCAAGAAAAAAAAAGAATTAATATAATTACAGCCAAAATATGACACGTGTATTACATATTTACATACATTTATATGCCTCACATATATTTTAATTGATAGAAATCTGCCTTCTACCTATAAGTGGTTACGTTTATAAGTGTTCTATTAGGTTCTTATGGCACAGGCTTTTGTTGCTGTAAATTACAACTGACTAAAATCTCACAAAATTATTTACTTATTAAATACAGCTTTCATAATAATTGTACATGGCACATATAGAATAATAGAAGTCATTTGAGACAAAGCTTTGTTTTAGTGTTGGAGCTTTTTATTTAAAAAATTCTTACTTATAAAAGAAACTTTCAAATGACTCAAAGTAAAAATCTGCTTATGTTAATTATTCTTGGTCCACTATCAATATCCACAGTGAGCTAGCTCCTGAAATGGTTATTGAATACCTTTTTTCCTCATGTCAACTAGAAGCCAAGTTGCCTCCAGTAGTTTTCAGGCCATTTTTTTTTTCCTTTCTGCTTGAAATGAACATTTCCCACCGGTCAAATTAGACAACAGATTACCAAGTAAATTTATTTCATGTATGAGGGCTTCTGGAGGAGAAAGTAAACCAACACATAAATCTGTCTTAAAAGCAGCAAATATTTTATTGATCCCCATTTGTTGAAAAAAAAAAGCTCTCTAAGCCAAGTCCCATCAAAAATAACAGTTAGGTGGAAAGATCCTTGGTAGCAGTAGAAATGGTCTTTCAGCTCTTTAGAGCAGTAAAAACTTACTATGAAATTTTATTGCTAAACACCTTAGTTAAAATTAAACTATCTTTAAAACAGAATATTTAATTGGAGAATTTCCCCCTATATCCAGTATTATAAAGAAGTCTGAAATTTATTTGGTGCAAACATTCATAGTATATTTTATTCTATGGGATTTTTTTTTCCCCAGGGGCCTCAAGAAGATGATTTGTAGTTTGTACTTTCCTCTGGGCAGTTGTAACCTTTGGGTCCACATATATGAATTATGAGAATGCCTTCACATATAAATTATGTTTATTCCTGTCATTGAATATTTTGGCACTATAACGTTGTTAAATCACTTTAGTAAAATTTGGAAATAGAGAAGTGGAGGGCGTCAACTATCCAATGTCCCCTGGATAGGACCAGCAATGAAAGCCTGAGCCAGGACATTCTGAGTGTCTGTCAGCCCCAGAGCCCACACATTTCCCTGTTCTTCAGTTGAGCTGGGGACCAAAGGACATCCTGACCTGGATACTAGGCAGCTGGGACTTTTCTAAAGGGAGATATTTAGTCTAGGTCTGGCTTTAGACAGGATGTGAAGAATTTAGGCCAATGTTATAGGAAGAATGTGTTACCTACCACAAGGCAGGGAGAAAGAGAATTGGGAGCTGAAAAAGAATCCAAGTTGGACTGACAAGCTGGGGCACAACAGTTTGCAGACTTTACAATGAGGCAGACGTGATGCTGACTTTTTATGCATGTTACCTCATTAAGTTTGTTCCCTGCAACACACTTACACCTTAGGTATTGTTACTTTGTTATGTAATGGTAATGGACTGTTAGCTTTAAAAAGTCCATGGTGTGGTGGCTCATGCCCATAACCCCAGCATTTTGGGAGGCCGAGGCAAGCAGATCGCTTGGGCTCTGGAGTTCGAGACCAGCCTGGGCAACATGGTGAAACCCTGTCTCTACTAAAAATACAAAAATTAGCCAGGGGTGGTGGCACATGCCTGTAATCCTAGCTACTTGGGAGGCTGAGGCAGAAGAACCGCTTGTACCGGGGAGGCAGAGGTTGCAGTGAGCTGAGATCACCTCACTGCACTACAGCCGGGGCAACAGAGTAAGACCCTGTCTCAAAAAATTAAAATAGAAAAGACCATAATTCACATGATAATAACAATCAGATATCTTAGGATCCAAAAGCTTTTTTTGCATATTTATCTGTTTTAGTCGATTAAATTTTTCTATTTGTTTACCTTTGTGTTCCTTTTCTTCTAATAAAATTCTCTGGAGAATTTGCGTTAATTTCCTCCATGCAGTAGGAAAATGGAAAGGTACAGGGCTTCACACCTGAAATAGTCATGGAGTGAGACTAGAATTCCTACAGAGCCCAGGAGTTATGGTGATCATTGAGAGTACATGTAGAGAATCCTAAAAGAAATTCGGAATTCAGACTAGATTCATATCACCTTTTCAACTGGCCTTCCTGCCTAAGTTCTGTTAAGCTTTTCTCTTTCATTGTATGCATTGCTGGCCTATTATGGATAGCAAATAGCTATTTTCTTCATAGAAAATATTAGGAGATACATAAAAGGCATATCATTTGAAGAGCAGTGATTGGCTTTTAACCATATGATTGTTCTTGTTGTTTTTGTTTTGTTTTTGCTTGGCATATGACCTTTATGCCACTCCCAAGACAGTAGGGTATCATGGCTTGTTTACTAGAAGGCCTACAGTGACTTCCATCTGAGCTACCCCCAGAGCTTGAGATGGGACACTCAGTGACCAGATGGCTAATGGCAGGACAAGTATGTGTCTGTGGGAGTCCTGTGCAAGTCTATTGCATGTACACACCGGTATATACACTGTACTAGGTAGAGTGGCCGCAGCTTCATGGGACTCTTCCCAATCCACCATTATTTGGCAGCTACCATGCTGTGAACTGAGAGTATACTAATCATGTAAACATTTGGGAAGAAAGACTTTTTAGGAAAGAAATATTGTTAAGGACCCATGACTCAATTCAGTATAATCGAAAACACTCTCCAGATGTGTAGCGTCTGTTTCACCACAGAACAAGGGGTTTGCTGCTGCAGCAGTCCTGAGCCCTTGATTTAGGATGGGCAGAGCACTAGAGCTCTGCTGGAGAGGCTATACATTTTGACAGCCAGAGCCATCTCCATGGTTTTCATCAGTCATGGCCCTCATTTTGCATTGTGATATGTGAGAGAGAAGCGGAACTAATGACCACACGCTCTAATGGGGGATTGTACAGATACAGCTGCGGGCCTTTTGTATGGTTGGCTAAGATTTTAGAGTCTCTTGTCTTGCCCCAGGGATTGTGCTTCTGTTGAGATTCGCAGAAAGATAACCTAAAGAATCAGGAGCTGTCATTTAGGAAAAGTTCTACAGACAAATGACTTATTATTTGGACATTTTTTCATATTTTTCCTCTGTTATAATTAACGTTTATAGAAATTTTGACTGCCTGAGGTTAATTATACGTAGGTGTGTACATGTAGATACAAATGTGTATATATAAATACTTCTATGCATGTGTGTGTATATATGTATATATATCTTGGTGTGTAAACTAAACTGGTTATAAAAGAGTTGGATGCTTCTGGGAAAAGGCAGCTCAGTATCATGACACTGTAATGCAGCACATTTTTTCCAGAGTTATGTGTGTTCTGTGTCGATGACTTTTCCTGATTTTACCCCTCTGATTGAATTTCAAAACAGCATAAATACAGTGAGAAAGTTTTTTATGGTCTTCTGAGTGCAAAGAGGTTAACCTCTAGATTTCTGAGCTGTGAAACTTGGGATAGAAATGAGAACATGTCTCTTATATCATCTTATACTATATTAAGCTCTTGGTTATCAATTATCTGAGCTACTACTAATAAATTACTAGGTGACATGCAAGTTGGTAAAATGTATTTGGGTGCTTATAATTGCTCATGGTATGTTTCTAATGTTCTAGAATTGCCTTGCATTTCAAATAAATTCAGCTACCCACCAGGATTGTCATTACCACCCCATATTATTTATTTATCATTATTCTAGACATTCTGGCCAATGGAGTGTGGTATAAAACAAAGTGAACTATAAATATTAGAAAGAAGATAAACCACCCTCTGTGGAAACAAAGAGGGTCAGAGAAATTGAACAAGTCATTTACCAAAGAAGAAATACAGATTGCCAACATACATGTGAAAAAAATATAATCTTACTAGCAATCAAAAAATAACAGGATACCATTTTTCATCTGTCAAATTAGCAAAGATGATAAAGTGATGATCATCATTATTGAAAAACATCTGGTATGTCGGGGGAGTCTCCCATGTAGCTATTGGAAAGAAAGATGGGAAAATTATTTCTGAAAGAGAATTTAATATATACATCAAAATCTTAAAGATGCCCATAGTCATCTCTACCACAGCTCCACTTCTAGGAATTTACTATCGGCAGTGTCTCCTCTCTTCTTTTGCATTGCTAATCCCTTTGAGAATCTGATGAAAGTGATGAATCCTCTCTTAGAAAAATGCAAATATACAATCAAGTTTGCATTTAATTTCTCAGGTCCTGTGGTGATCGCCAAACCCCAGCAAAATCACAGCACCCTCTATTGCAATATTGATTTTGCGTAACACCCAAAATACTGTTACTTTAAAAACTGGAAGGAATCCATAAACTCGAGTCTGGGAAACTTTAATACATTTTACATATTAAATTAGAAAAACAAGGCACAAAGTAAAATTTTACATTTAGAAAAGTTAAAAAATTAAGCACATATTATCATTGTAACATACATTACTAGCCGCTGCTGTCTGCCCTTCCTTTTGACTTCTACCCCACCAGAGCTGCAGCCTACATGGAGCTGATGGAATTTCAGTCCCTTCCTGCCGTGGTTAGTGCCCCTGAGTGGAGTTTTAAGAACCAAATTTTGGGCTGGTCCTTCGCTCTAGCCAGCACCTTCCACTTGCAAATTTTGCTTTTTCTCTTTCCTCTACCAAGGAGAGGGATTTGTGAGAGCAAAAATAAATGCCAGCACAGAAGGGAATTCAAGTCCCCTTTGCAATCGAGAGACCCTCCAGAGGATTCCCTCCTCCTGGGCCAAGTGCAGCATTTTGTTAATGTTTTTAGGGAGTGAGGGCTGCAGTGCAGATTGGCACAATGTGGATGGGAACAATGGGGTGATCAAGCTTGGTAGGTAGTAAAAAAGGCTGAGACAGTGCTGCTTTAAAGGGGGTTCCTGAGTTAGGAGAACATCTGTGACTTAAGCCAATTCAGAGGGATTTTAGAATGAGGGGAAAATCACTAGATCCTATACCATGCTGTTGTAACTGATTTATTCACACCCAACAAACTGTCTCAGAGTTAGAAAATAACTCTTGGTATGATGAGTAGAATGTATCAAGAAATCATCTGCCACTCTGAGGCTCACCCTAAAAAGCAAAATCTGTGGAAGTGACAGTATATTGTCATAAAGGGACATCTTGGTTTCTTCACGTCAGCAGTCTTACTATGCAGACTCTCCTGCTTTTCTTTTTTTGTGATTGCAGCATCTCTGGCTGAGATCTTACACCAAGATGTAGAACAGCTTCTTAAAGCCAAGCCATTCAAAAACCTTTGTTCAGGCTCTTGGGCTCAGAGGGAGAGTGTCTGAATTCAGATCCCATTTTGTTTCTAAGAGGTGTTGTGAGAGTTGGGTAAGAGCTTTGATTCCGAACTGCCTGTGAATCACCGGACAAATGACTTAACCTCTCTGTTCTTCATTTCCTAAACTGGTGTATAATTGGGTATAACAGTCCTTATTTTCCAAGGCTACTGTGAGAATTTAATGACTTCATACATTAGGCATATAAAACAGTGCCTAATAGCACTCAATAAATGCTAAATGTTATTATTATCTTTATATTTTGGATGAGATCCATAAAATAAATAGAAGTCCTATAAATTCATTATAATATAACTACCTGGTGACATAAAACTCTCTTTAACTTTTATTTTGTTTTTATTCCTTTGTTTTCTAATTAGATCATTACTTAGTGTGATATTGGCTTCCAGTGGATTATGTTTTTGTTTTGTTTCAATCTTACTGTGGGACCAAAAGACCATCTATACCTGGCTGAACTAGGCTTTCTGTCCAGACCTTTGGCCTGGGTGTAAATTCCTTTTGCTAGCAGGGTGGGGGCCAGATGGAAGGATCATCTCAAGGGAACCTGGGCAGGAGCCCTTTCCAGGGTTGATTCTAACTCTGCATGGTTCTGGAAGGCCAACGGTTGACAGCAGGGTCTGTATCCTTGGCATGAACATTGGTGTTACCCTCATGGATGTGATGCTGCTCCGAAATGCATGAGCAGCGGCAGACAGGACTGGGGAGGAAGAACATGGTGGTGTTAAATGGTGACTACAGGCTTTGTGGGGCCATAGAGGACATTTCCTTGGAAACACCCTGAATTAACTGCCTATTCTTTTATTGGGAGCTATTTTGCAGCTATCAAGATGGTAGGAGATCTTGCCACATTATTTGCATGTACATAAACTGAGAGTGATTCAATTTTTATAAGCACAGGCTGGGGGTTTTGGGAGATTGAAGGTTCATGTGCAGTCAAGAACGAGTAGACCGTTGGATTGCAGAACATTGAGTTTAAATTGCTGGGATTTTCTATGCATTTTGAAAGCAAGATGGTATCGTCAAATTGTAATTTTTGTCTAAACCAAAATCTAACAGCGAGATCAAGTTGTTTGGAGTGACTGTTTGGGTTCCTCTTTGAATCTAGGGTTCTAGTCTGAAGAATAAAAACCTCACCTGTCTGCTTTTGGAAGCTGATTGTGGGTAGGGGTGAATTTAATTCATTTAGGGATAGTTTTTCATTATCTAGGGCTTAAATTATATAATTTTTTTTTTACTTTTTCTGAAAGAAATTAAGGTAAACTAAGAAAGAACTTAAGATTTTTCACCGTAAGATCTAGCCAAGTTTATTAATTTTTCCTCTATATACCTCTCCAAAAAGAAGAGCTGTTTGAGGCATGTTTTAAATTTTTTTTACCACAAAGTGCGTTTTTTGGTTCCCCCCCTCCTGACTCACACACACACACACACGCACACACACACACACACACACACACACACACACTTTCCTAATTTAGGGATGCTGAAGTTTCAGCATTTACCAAAACAAAACAAGAAAACCTTGGAGGAAAAGATGTTTAGGAAGTTAGTTATATGTGTATGTCTGCGTATTATTTATAGGACTAAGCTTTGCTGAGAAAATGTAGCATTCTTTCATCTTGTTTATTTTTTTAATACAATCTACTAGTTAAAGATGAGGAAATATTGCCTTATTGCAGCATGGTTCCCAGCAGAGTCGGGGGGTTCGTTGATGGAATATGTGAGACGCTGCAAAAGCCATTTTTTCCTTCAGGCCCTGATTGAATTGCTACCAGCCAGGGGCAGAACGATGGTGGTCAGAGATGGGCTATGTCAAGTTTAATTTGGGCTGTGGCACTTAAGGCAGGCAGCGGAGGCCTTCCTGTCACAGAGTGAGCCTCAGCAATTGCAACCTATTCTGTGACTGCCAAATCAAAGCATGTTAAGTGACCAGGCAAGGGCTCTCTGCTCTTGACAAGACACAGCAACAGTGACTGACAGAGAAGGCTGTGGGAGTGGCCCAGAAGGGCATGCTCCGTGACAGTGTGCTGGGCAGGCAATGCAGCACCTTGGCTTGAGACATTTGCTGTTGATTGAAGTCTCCTGAAATTCATCGGTGTGTTCACAAAAGAAAGGTTTCCTCATCAATTCACTCCCACCCCAAACTCTGTTTTGTTGTATAGCCCATGCAAGGCACTGCTCACTGTTACTTTCTGAGAATGTTCACAAGTTTTGTGCAAAGCACTTCCCAAGTAAAATAAGACATCACTGCCACCTGTGATAGCAGAGCCCTGAAAGCCCAGAAACCTTGAACAAAGGAACAGAACCATGGACACAAGTCAAGCCACCAGCAGCTCCTGTTCATTTGAACCAATCATTAAGGAAAATTAACTTAGGAAAGAGCATAAGTATCAGGTTGGCCACATTTTAGGTTACATGGACATCTTTATTATGTTTATTAGGATATCAGTCATTCACTTTATTAATTGAAATTATTATTAATCAACTATTATCACTTATTCACCAATAGACCAACATCCAAAAGAAAAATAAACTCTCCACATAAAACTAGCCTGAATCGCTGGGCACAGTGGCTTTTGGCCTGTAATCCCAATATTTTGGGAGGCCAAGGCGGGTGGATCATTTGAAGTCAGGAGTTGGACACTAGCCTGGCCAACATGGCAAAACCCCATCTCTACTAAAAATACAAAAATTAGCCGGGTGTGGTGGTGGGTGCCTGTAATCCCAGCTACTTGGGAGGTTGAGGCAGGAGAATTGCTTGAATCTGGGAGGCAGAGGTTGCAGTGAACGGAGATTGTACCATTGCACTCCAGCCTAGGCAACAGAGTGAGACTCCATCTAAAAAAAAAACTACCCTGAATTTTAAAATATTTAAAAATTGTAATACCTAATACGTTTTTATGCCATTAAAATGTTGGACGTTAAGGAGAATTAATTTATTTTTTATTCGTTAGTCTTTATTGGGCTCAAGCAGTGTGTGGCATGCTATTACTATGACTCACATCTCTACATTCTAGGAATTTACACTTTAGCATGGGCTGTTACTGTGAATTCCTAGACAGTCATACACAAAGCAAAATGGAGGGGCCTGGCAAGAAGCATAAAGCAGTCCTGAGTCCAAGGGGCAGAGCGAGGCTGTGATGGCCATTTCCTCAGGAAATGATGAGCACAAAGACTTATCTTCATTATTGTCCATTGTAGAACTTGGTGTTACAGGGAAATCAAGTTTGACTTTCCAACTTAGATTCAGTATCAAATCACTAGTGTAGAGTTTGAGAGCTGGCAATAATGGAGGGACATTTGGAACTGTCTCTAAGATAGGAAGGAGAGGGACATGCAGGGCTGTCTCTCAACTAGGATAGTGAGGGAGAGCATTTGTCGGGGAAGCAGGGGAGAGGGGCCAGGTGGTGGTGGAGTGCAGGTCCTACCTTTTTCTTGGTGGGATGGGCAGAGAGGAGCTAACTCAGCACCAGCTCTGTCAATGATCCGCCTCTGTATTCCTGCAGGATATAGATTGCCCTTTAAGTCCTGGTAGATCTTCTCACACAAGCATCTCAGCATCCTCATGCGTCAGGTGATGGGGGAAAGCAGGAACACCCAGGTACACCAGCCCAACAGAAGGGTTTTGGGAAAAGCACAGTCGAAAAAGTCAATATGCAAACAGCCACATGGAAAATCCAGAGTTTACAAGGACATTCATCATAAAGAGACATTTCCTAAAACAATAAAAATAAAGTTCTCTTTAAAAAGAGATCTGCTTTCCTGGTTTAAATCTGTGAGTCACGGTTTCTGTATCTTTGCTTTACACATACAAGGTCCTGAAATATGGAAGGGGCCCAGAGAATTCAGATAATCATCTTTTAAAGGACTTCAAAGGATTTGAGCTGGATGTGTCCTTGCTCTTCCTTGGCTGGCCACAGAGCCATTTCTTCTAATGTGGTTCACAGGTCTGCCCCGGGCATTGCCAAGATGCATTTTCTGCTTACCTAAGCCGATGGCTTCCATGGCTGGCCAGGCATGGCTCTCTCCTTCTGAATGAATCAGAAGGAAGCAGTTCTGAATCTGTCTACTAGACAGTGATTGCCTGCTTTGCCCTGCTAGTAATGTGCTGCTGTGTCCTAAAATAAGAAAATAAGACTGCTCCCTGGACCACTGAGAAGGTGCTTCTTGAAAAATAATGAAAGAGCTTCATGCTTTTCCTTAATCCATCATGATTTGAAACTTTTGCACCAGTGCAAGTACACTCTCACTAAAAATAAATGTGCTTGCTGAAGTAGCCGTTCGTCTCAAAATATCCTGAGTCCGCTTCGCTCTTTATTCTTGTTTTCCAAACATTAAAGAAGAGAAAAGCTTCTTTTTTTTTCTTCTCTTAAGAATACACTTCTTGGCAATGACTTTAACTAGACACCATTCAAAATTACAATCCATAAGCCTCTATATTATCAGTACTTTCTTCTGTATTTCTAAATATTTGATATCATTCTCCCTTCTTAAAAAGAAATTTCTCAGCTAGGCATGGTGGCTCACACCTGTAATCTCAGCACTTTGGGAGGCCGAGGCAGGTGGATCACCTGAGGTTAGGAGTTTGAGATCAGCCTGGCCAACATGGCAAAACCTCGTCCCTACTAAAAATACAAAAATTAGCCGAGCTTGGTGGCGAGCCCCTGTAATCACAGCTACTCTGGAGGCTGAGGCAGGAGAATCGCTTGAACCCAGGAATTGGAGGTGGCAGTGATCCAAGATCGCTCCACTGCACTTCAGCCTGGGAGACAGAACAAGACTCCATCTCAAAAAAAAAAAAAATTTCTCCCTTTCTCCTCTCTCTCTCTTTCTGCGCTACCCCCTTTCTCTCTCTCTCTCAAAAAAAATTAAAAAAAAGAAAAAAATCTAATAGGAAACTCCTGTAGGATTTTTTTCAATGTAATAACTCTAATATGGAGATGAATAGTAACAATATTGTCAAATTGTCACAGTATTTCCTTGGATCAGCTCATTAGGTAATAGCAGAAAATCTGTGGTTCCAAGATTATGTTAAGAATATGAAAATGTAACGGGACTAGTCATTAAAAATTACTTTCACATCATGCATTGGGTTCTATTTTGTAAAGAGAAGGTAGAATATGACATTGAAAGCTTTTGAGTGGTCACAGATTTTATTGCCAAAGGTACTATTTTTAACCTGGTGTATTTTCCAGTTAAATCCCTGGATACACTCTCCTCCTCCTCCCTCAGCCCTCTTCTTGCCACACACATGTGTGCTCCAGGACGGTCAGAGTAGAATTTGTCACATGTCACTAAAATAGATTGATCCAGCCAGCATGAGAGGGTGGATTTTGATCACAAACAGGTCTTTTGAATATATCTTAAATTTACTCTTCAGGATATGAACATTGCTTAGTCAACTGTATATGCTCATGAAAATCTTCATCTTTTTCACTTAAATTAAGATGGAGCCAAGGACACGTCTTCATTGATATTCCTTTTAGCTTTTTATTATGAAATAATTTTAACAAAAGAAGTTGAAAAATTATTATAAAATATTTCAATATACATAGGTTTCTTTTTCCCATTTCCCCCCAATATTTATTTACTTTATCATTTATATTCTATATGTATGTGTATATTTCTATCTTTTTCTCTTACAGACACACAATTATTGTCTTTTGAACTGTTTGATAGCAAAATGTAGACATGATGTCTCCGTACTTCAGAGTATGGTTTCTAGAAAGTAAGAGGTTCTCTTATCCACAGGACAGTTATCAAAATCAGAAAATTGACATTTATACAATACTATTTTATAATCTAGAGACATTACTCATATTTTCACAATTGTAAACTATTGTACTTTATATCAAACTAAAAGTAAATGAGTGCCCGGGAACTGATCCAGGATAATGAGATTGGTCTCATTAATGTCCTTTAATCTGGAGCAGATCTTTATTCTTTCTCAGTCTTTCTGACCTTTATACTTTGGAAGTTTAAGCAATGCCCTTCCATTTGGATTTGTTCAACATTTCCGTAAGATTGGGTTCAGGGGGTTGGCAGGGGGGTAATGGAAGTAATGTTGAATTCTTCACAGTGTATATGACTTTATCACTTAGTTGTGATGGGGTGTGTTAGATTTGTCCATTGAGAATTTATTGCTCTCCATTTGTAAATAATAGGTGTCTTGTGGAGGTACTTTGTTTCTGTGTAAATATCCAATTTCTCATCAGATGTTTAGTCCCAAATTTTAGCATCCACTGATACTTCTTGCCTGCAACATTTATTACTTCACTGGGAGTCAAACGGTGATTTTCTAGTCTCATCGCCTCTTTTACCTTTATTAGTTTGTGTTCTAGTATAGGAACTTTTCTTTTTCTTCCTACAATTTATTCATTTATCTATTTATATCAATATTGATTCATGGATTCCTACCCATTCTGTGGGTTGTAATCATTACTATAATAATTTACTTTGATGGTCTAATTGTCCCCAGTTTGGCCAGCAGGAGCCCCTTCAAGTGCCTCTGTCGTTTGAACATGTTTATATCATTCTTTGGGCACTTTCCTCCTTTCTGGTAAAGCGTGATGTTCCAGGACCATGTCACTGTTTTGTGTGACAGCCCTGAAACAGCTCTGTCTGAGTAGGGATGGCTTCTTTTAGTGGAGAATGATATTTAGAAACCAAGATCTGGGCTTTAGTTACGCTCACAGTGACTGGCACATTACTGCTCGCAGGGTGCTAGGCACAGCTAAGAAGTATATGTATATATGCATGTACACACAAACTCACCTGTATATTGATGTCAGTGTCTACATATCTAGATATATTGAAAGCCATGGATTTGGAATTACTCCAGTTCCACTCTAATGTCCCAGGGTTCTGTGTAGCCTCCCTGCTTTGCATATTTGTAACTCTCTTTAACAATGAGAAACATGGTTCTCAACATTTACTATATAGCTACTTTTTAACTTATTTCTTTAATACACATGAAGTAAGTTCAGCATTGTAAGTCTATGGCACTTTGATAAATAAACCTACTAACTAAAGTACAATGATGGTTTATAGTTTTTCTGTCTTTAGCCAGAGGGAATATTGTCCAAATACTGTGTTAAAATGTTATTTGAGCTTGTTTTTTCCTCTCTTCACTGCAGTTATGTTTTTCATTTGCAATCCAGTTAGGTTTACTCATTTTTACTTTGGTTATATGTTGAATATTTTCTCCCTGTTTCTCTTGATTGTGTTAATTTTTGTATCCATGATTCTGCAAGTCACAACTATACAAAAAGGTATAGTTAAAGAAGTATCACTTCTTCATGCCTTCTACCCATTCCCACATCCCCATTATTTTAACTCCATTCCCAAGCAACCACTGCATGTTGGTAATCAGTTTTTTTCTTCTGGTTTCTTTTTTCACAAACAAATATATAAAAATATACACTTTCACTTCCCCTACTTGCTTACACAAAACAATTTTTTTTACTTTGTTTGTTTGTTTGTTTGTTTGTTTGTTGACGATGTCTTGCTTTGTTGCCCAGGCTGGGGTGCAGTGCCGCGATTTTTTTTGTATTTTTAGTAGAGATGGGCTTTCACCATGTTGGCCAGGCTGGTCTCAAACTCCTGACCTCAGGTGATCCGCCCTCCTCAGCTTCCCAATGTGCTGGGATTGCTGGCGTGAGCCACTGTGCCCAGCCTTTTTTTTTTTTTTTTCCACATAACAATATACCCAATAAGTCACTTCATGTAAGTACATATACTCTTTCTCACTCCTTTTCACACGTGGAATAGTAGATTAGATGGATTTACTGTAATGTATTCAACTGCTTTATTTGGTATGAGCATTTAGATTGTTTTATGTATCTTATGATTACAAATAATGCAACATTGGATAAACTGTGATTATGTATTTTCATATTGAAGAGTACCTTCATTGTAAATTCCTAGGTATGATATTGATGATTCAAAAGACATATAGAGTTTTGTTATAGAATGATAGTTCCCTTCCAAAAGGGTTGTACTAAGTTGCATTCCAACCATCAATATATGAGTGTCTGTTTCTCTGCAGCCTTGCTAACAGAACATGGGCCATACATTTTACTTTTCATTAGTATGTCCGGTGAGAGAGGTATCTCAGTGTTGTTTTAATTTGCATTTCTCTAATTATGTGATACTACGAGTAGATATTTTAAATAAGAATCCGTCAGTTAAGAGATAATCTAGGGATTTCATTCAGTTTTCTACCAAATATATTAATATTCTAGTTAACCGCACATTTTTAAGTATATATCAAATATTTTTGTTCTAAGTTTAAATAGTTGCAAGGGATATAATTTCTAGCATATGTTAAAGACTGTCATTTTAAATAATTTTCTACATGGCTCTTTTAGATGTAGCTAATATAATCTAAACACCAAGCTGGCATCTCTTTAAAATTATCATGAACAAGCTCTTCTTTAATAATCATAAATTTTATCGTTGTTTTTCCTTGAACTTTAATAGCCCTTCTATTTTCCACACAGAATTTCAACCTAATATAAGTTTATGGTTCAGTCTTTTATATGTTACTCTGTGAGATTACACAAAGAATTGGATATTCAAATAAAAAAGCTCATCTAGTACCAAACTTTACTAATAATTACAAATAACCAAATAATTAGAAAGCACAAGCAAAACAGAATGTGAGCTAGGACTGTCAGTACAGCACCCTCAGTCCTTTCTCGCTGCGTTATATATGGTCTGGCTCAAATCGGCACGGAAGATACCTAATACTGTATACAGTGGCGTTACTTAAGTAGAGGGCACCCTTTTAATCTTGAAACATCTCCATTTTATACTTAGTTACATTGTGAGATTCTTTCTTGGAAGCTATATGCCATAAATCCACAGATTTCAGGTTTGTTTACCGATTCTAGGCAAACAGGTATATCCTACAAAAAGAATTCCACAGGTAAGGATTTGCTTACTTGCAAACAGCAGAAGATGTGGTCATTAACAAGTTGACAATAAGATTAGACTAGGTTCTTTCTTTCTCTAGGGTTACCTCCCTTTCTGCCTCATAAAGGGAGAGAGTGGATTTCATAACTGTTGCTTAATCATTTATTGTCTACCCTGTCATATTTTCTCTGCAAGAAAAATATATAAGCAATTGAAATTTTCAAAAATTATTTTCTGTAACAATACATCTTTAAGTTTAAATATTTCTTTGGTTTGAGTTATCCTTACAATTAGTATTAATATCCATTGATCAGAACAACATAAATATATGATACATTTTGATAATTATAAATAAAAGTAGTCCCTGCCCCTAATCCCTGACAACCAGTAATCTGTTCTCCAGTTCTAAAGTTTTGTTATATCAAAATTTATATATAAATAGAATCATATAGTATGTAACCTTTGGAGGATGACTTTGACTCAGTATAATTACCCCCAGAGATTCATCCAAGTTGTTCCACATATCAGAGTTTATTCCTTCTTATTGCTGAGTGGTATCCCATGATATGGATGTACCGCAGTTTACTTAACCATTTATCTGATGAAAGACATCTGGACTGCTAGTTTTTGGCTATTGCAAATAAAGTTATGAACATTCATGTAAAGGTTTTTATTTAAATATGTATTCATTTCTCTAGAATATATAACAATTCCAGGTCTAATTAGCCTCAGTGTACCTCTCCTTCTTTTGTTCCAAATCTCCACTGGTTGCTTACTAGAATCTCTAGACTTGTAGCCAGTAGATTTGTGTGTTTGTGACCTCTAACCACATGCTGTCTCAACATTATTCTTTCTAAATGTTTAGTGCCTTCTGTGATCCATTCCTAATGAGTTGTGCACGAAGGAAAATGAATTGATAAAGTGCTACAAGGACTAAAATTGGTGACATTTTTCACCTGCCACACTGTTTGTCCCTTGAATCCATTTGTCAGGATGACTCAAGCAGTGTGCTTGATACTGATTTATCATTTAGAGAATTTTCTCGTTGTGAACATGTTAGGGCCTAGAGAGCTCTGCTGAATTTCTGTCGCTTTTCAGCATACTCTTCTGACTAGAAAGCAGAGGGAGAGGTATCAGACCTGTCAGGAAATAAATTGTTCTTGGGCCTCTGGGTGGAACAGCTCCAGGTTTTATCATCCTAAGTCCAGCTCACCAGAAGGGGCCACATGAGGGGATGTGTATTTCAATGTGGTCTCGTTTTTATTAAGTGACTTTGTCTTCAGGGGCACACTTCAGTACCTTCAAGATAAATCGCTTCTGTCTTTGACAGTGACAATGACAATATTTCCAAGCTTCACACATCCAAGAGCCAATTGACAGGACAAATTGCACATGGGGACTGCTTGGTAAGTGCAAAATGGGGCACAAAATCTCAAGTCACCCTGCATCATTGGAACTAAGTTCTAATACAAGTGGCAGAAATAAATCTGTCACTTTACTACCTAATTGTGGGACACATGCCGTATTTAACAGCTGAAGGAATGTTCACCTCTTTGCTAGAGTTCAAAAATAGTACTTAGTTATTCCTTGATATTGGGTCTTGGTAAATTTGCTTTTTCCTCCGTGGTATATATTTCTATAATAAAAATAGATTTCCTAATAAAATTTCTATTAATATTTTTATAGATTATATCGACATAATCTGTGCAAATACTTAGGGAAAAGTGCTAAGCATTTTTTAAATTTTCTCAATATTTTTAGCCTTAGGAAAGTTACTGAAATAAATATCTCCCAACCAAGGCATGTGCATATATGTGCCCTAGAGATTGTGTACTTTATAAAATCGGCATGTTTGATACTATTAAAAAAATTAAGAGTAAGTCTGTATGCCTTTCTGGGTCATAATCATTCCATTTAGAAAAACAAACCAAAACAGACTGTTAAAGTCAGAGGAAGGCCTTGTTTAGGCAGCTAAGCTTACCCTCTACTTCGTGGTCAGGCAGGTTAACCTGGCTAAGCAGACATTAGGCAGAAGACTTGGAGGGGTAGCCCCATGGTGAATGACAATTAGTAGGCTTCATCCCAGTCTAGCCATGGGACAGCTAGATCCATTTTCGGGTTTTTTTGTTTTGTTGTGTTTTGTTTTTTTGAGCTGGAGTCTAGCTCTGTTGCCCAGACCGGAGTGCAGTGGCATGATTTCAGCTCATGGCCACCTCCGCCTCCCAGGTTCAAGCAGTTCTCCTGCCTCAGCCTTCCAAGTAGATGGGTTTACAGGGGCCTGCCACCACACCCAGCTAATTTTTGTATTTTTAGTAGAGGAGGAGTTCACTGTGTTGGCCAGGCTGGTCTCGAACTCCTGACATCATGATCTGCCTGCCTCAGCCTCCCAAAGTGCTAGGATTACAGCCGTGAGCCACCACACCTGGCCTAGATCTACTTTTATCCTGATGAAGTGAAGTAGATCTGCCAAAAGACAGACCCCAAAATGGTATCAGAGACTCACTCTGGGAACAAATCAAACAAAAGAAAAAACCTAGCTTTGATTCAGAGTCATATGAGCTTCCTGAGGATGACACACAGAAGCCTGTAGGGCTGAGGAGTAGGACTCTGGAGCCATTGCAACCATAAAGGATGCCCAGGCCTGCTCTGAGCTGAGACCAAGCCTCTTGGGTTGGCCTTCTGAGGGTTTCAACTGCCTTTATTGAGGGATGTGCACAGTCCTACCCACCATAGTGTTGGGCTCCAAGAGCAATTTTTTAGCATGTGTTGTCTAGTATGTTGATATACAATGCACGAGAGGCAGGGTAATAACCAGCATAGCACAGATGTAATGTTTGCTTTTTGGAATTATTCTTTGAAGTGGGAATGGTTTGCTTTGTTAAACACCATTTCAGAGTTCTTTAGGAATATGATGTCTGAATATTAACTATGCACACTGTCTTTTTCTTTCAATGATTGATGCATTATAATCTAAAATCCTTGGGCTATGCAAACACATCTCTGGTTAAGGACAGTTTACCTGCCTTTGACCCAAACCACCTTGCAGGATGTTTAAAAAGCCTTGGTAGGGTGCCTATTGCTTTTTGCTGTCCCTGACTAGGCCTTGGTCTCAGTATGGACATTTGAAGAAATGGCCAGAGAAAAGGTAAATGATATAAGAATGGAAACTAAGGTGTCTGAATCCTCTTCAAGTGAAGAAATTAAAGCAGTGGAAAGAGCTTTTGTTTTGTGGTGGAGGACTTGGGTTCTACATCTCACTTTTCCGAGACCAGCTGTGGGATTTGGGGCAAGTGTTCTCAGATCTTTTGGTATCAGAATCATTGCATTTGCAACAAAGGAGTGGTGTTAGGTTGGTGCACACACACACACACACACACACACACACACACATATAAATGATTGGCCCCATTTATATGTATGTGTGTGAGTAGAGGGAAGGAGGGGGGTGGAGAGGGAGAGAGAGAGAGAGACAGACATATCTTTAAAATAATTGACTCACATCATTGTAGGGGCTGGCGAGTCCCAACATTTTAAGGGAAGGTGGGCAGACAGGAGATCCAGGGAAGAGACGTTGCAGTCTTGAGTCAGAAATCAGTCTAGAAGCAGATTTTCTTCCTGCTTGGGCATCTGTTCTCTCTACTAAGGTCTTAACCTTATTGGATGAGACCTACCTACATTATGAAGGGTAATCTGCTTTATTCGTAGTCTATTGATTTAAATGTTAATCACATCTAAAAAAGAATACCTTCACAGCAACATCTAGGCTGGTGTTTGACCTAAGAGTGGGCACCATGCCCTACCCAAATCCATGCATAAAATCAGCCATCACTGTATCTAATGATATGCCTTATTATAGAAGTTAGCTTAAGGAGTCACATGCTGAGATGGAAGGAACATTTTTCTTAGAGTTGGGAGACATGGGCCCAAGAGCTGATTCTCTCACTGGTGGGCTCTGGGACTGCCACTGACTTCTCAGTGGAAAATGAGTGGCCTAGTTTTGATCACTGGGTTCCAATGTGATCACTGACAGGTACACATTTTCCATCATAGGCTCCATATTTTGAGCAATTTTATTTGCCCAATAAATCACATTATGTAAATGTGAGTTCATTTTTTGCTTATACATATATATATATATATACACAATAAAGGAGACACTGTCAGAAAACAACTTTCCTTGGCCCTTTTGAAGTATTGAAAATAGTTCCCAGATTACCACTCCCCTTTGCTATTGTTATGGGTGTCTCCAGGGTACAGGAAGACTGATGGAGGACCCTGCAACTCCTTGATGGCTGATGCTGAAACTGGGCAGGGAGCTCCAGGAGGAACCAGACAGGATCCTGTTAGCAGGCTCACCACAAGTCTAAAGGGACCAGCCTTGAGAAGGGCAGTTGGGATGTGGCAAATGTGAGCCAGGTTTCTGGGTCCTACTGTCCAGGTTCAAGTTCTGGCCACTCTGTGACCTTGGGCAAGTTACTTCAACCTCTTACAAGTTCCCTAATCTATAGAAACAGCTAGTACATACCTTATGGAATTATTATGAGGATTAATGATCCATATAAAGCATTTAGCCAAGTACCTGGCATAGAGTAAGTCCTGGATAAATGTTGGCTGTTGGTTCTGTTCCTGTTAGTGATTCCCAGGAACCAGGAATTGGTTCTAGTAGCCCCCTTTGTGTCTTCCCTCTGCATTCTTCTAGACCTCCAAAATTTATTATTGTGCCGACAATAATTTCATAGATTTCACTATGAACAGCATCTATCCTTTAATACCTTCTTCGTGGCTTAAAGCTTGTAATACAGGTTCATGGTCATAATTATCGAGTCAGTGTTTGTGGTTTAGATTGTTGGGAAATTGGCATGCAGATCCATCTCCACTCTTCAAAGTGCCCAGTGGATTCTGTGCCTCTGTGGCCAGCAAGAAAGGAGCAGATTCAAGCTGAGGTCATAAATCTCTATGTTGCACCCTTTGCCTTTTCTCTGGAATGTGCAGGTGGGAATCCATGTGATGGAAGAAGAGCTTGACTCTGGTATTTTGCCCAGGGTTAAGAGCAGCTTTTCTTTTTCTCATCTTCTGCCTTGGAGCCCAAAGGCTATTAGGATTCCCAGCAAAGTTTCCTCCATTCTCTTTTCCTATCATGTTATTTTATGTCAGCTGGGTACATATTGTATGTCCTACAGACAATGGAAAAACAGTAAAATATTTTTTTAATTTTTTTATTATATTTCAGTTCTGGGATACATGTGCAGAACGTGCAGGTTTATTACATAGGCATACACGTGCCATGGTGGTTTGCTGCACCCATCAACCCATCATCTACATTAGATATTTCTCCTAATGCTCTCCCTCCCCTAGCCCCCCACCCTCCAACAGGCCTTGGTGTGTGATGTTCCCCTCCTGGTGTCCATGTGTTCTCATTGTTCAACTCCCACTTATGAATGAGAGCATGCAGTGTTTGGTTTTCTGTTCTTGTGTTAGTCACAGCAAAGTCTTTTATATCTCAAGAGAGACCTCTAGAAGGTCTTTATTCTTGGCTTGTCATTCTTGAGAAGCCCAGCAGTAAGTGGAACCCAAGCTAAGCTTGTGAAGCTGGGCTCATCCAGCTTGGAAAGTCGAAGAACTCCAGGAAAGCAGGTGCTTGGGTTCTTGCACAATCATCCATCCCATCTTCCATCTTTGTTTGGGAACCCTTGACGTTACCCTTTTGATCCCACTCTCCAGTCTAGCGTGAGGTGAGTCAGGTTCAAAACAGCAGCTTCTCAGGCCAGAATGAAATAGCGACCGGCCACCAGGGGAAACAAATGGTACTGCTCAACCAGAAGGATAAATGTCGGGCAACCAAGTTTGTTTTGCCACAGATGAGCAGGGAATGGTGATTCATGAATGCAGAGCTGGCTGGGGTGTTGGAAAACTCATGAGTTGGAAGGAGAGATTCTGAGGACACTGCTCTCTCCTGATCCGACGCTGTTAACACTGCAGACACTCTGGCGGGTCCCTTGGCTTCACAGCCTCTCTATATTTTCACAGTCTGTGAATATTCTCAAATAACTTCTTCAGTTGGGGTTGGGCAGGTCCATTTACACACACTGCAAATGTCTGTGTTTGGGAGATCAGTTTATGCCATGGAATGACACATGGGGAAAGTGTTCATTTTATTTCTCTCAGAATGATTCATTGGTAATAAGTTTCATGCCCAATGCCTGTTTCTGCAACCATAGAAAAGATGCTGGTATTTACCGCAATTTCCAGCTAGTTGTTACTTTTCCTGAAGACCCCTCTTGTCATCTTCCAAGTCCCTTTGTTCCAGCACCCTGGGTGGTGAAGGCTCAAAGAAAAATCTGTGTATCATTTTGGACACATTTTGTGACCAATTTTATAAGTTGGTGTTTTCTGTCTACTTTGTGGCTCTGGAAGGTTGCGACTCTTAAAGACAGGGCCTATTATTCCTCTAGAAAGTATTCACCTCTTTCATAGACAGGATAACAGGATTCTCCTTAACCAAACCTGACATTGGTGCACAGCTATGTTAGTTGCGGAACCTCCAGAAGCAGCCTTGCACATTGAGTTCTGTGTTCTTACTCATAAGGAGGATGTGCTCACAGAAGAATATTAAAGGGAATTTTCCCACATGAGAGAAACCATGGCAGGAGGGGACCTCTCTATTTATATTTAGAGTGAGTCCCTGTAACAGTGTTGATATAGAAATATACAGGTATAATGGCCCATATACAGGGCCATAAACAGGGTTTCTGTTTATTGAGATGGGGGAACTCCATGGCCCAAATACACAGGGGGCATGGTTGCATGCAGAGCATAACTGAATCATTGGTATTTTGAGACAATTAATTTTTTTAAGTTTTTACTCAATTTCCCTTGAAAATCAGAGCCATAAGATGCATTTCTATTAAACCGTATACAAAAAAATAAAGAGGGAAGTTCACTTTTTGAAAAAAGGTCTGAATAGTGTTTTTCAGTGACTTACAGTCAACATTATGGGTTAATGCCAAACTCTGGAGAATTTAATGGGAGAATTAAGAAGTATGTGGACAGGCAGTAAGTAATTGACTTCCTAGAGCAAAGTGCACAGACATAGGTCAGGATTCCGGAACTTGGGCCATTATGGATAACAGCAGGGCTGATTGAAAAGAGTTTCTGAGGGGAGACGGTCTTGCTACGTCATTTTATCCCTTTGCATTCCATTTTTAGGGACACGCTATTTAAAGAATTCTTTCCATTCCATTTCTAGGAAACCCCATTCAGATAATTGTTTTCCTATGTTTCTCTTTTCCTTTCTTTTCTTTTCCTTTCTTTCCTTTTCTTTCCTTTTCTTTTCTTTTTTGAGACAAGGTCACACTCTGTTTCCCAGGCTGGAGTGCAGTGGTGCAATCATAGCCCTCTGCAACCTCCGCCTCCTTCAGGTTCAAGCAGTTCTCCTGCTCAGCCTCCTGAGTAGCTGGGACTACAGGCGTGCACCACCACACCCAGCTAATTTTTGTATTTTTCGTAGAGATGGGTTTCACCATGTTGGCCAGGCTGGTCTTGAACTCCTGACCTCAAGTGATCCACCCACTTTGGCTTCCCAAAGTGCTGGGATTACAGGCCTGAGCCACCACGCCCAGCCCCTATATTTCTTTAAGAAGTGCCAACTTGTTAACAATATTTCTTTTTTTTTTTTTTTTTTGAGACAGAGTCTCGTTATGCTGCCCAGGTTGGAGTGCAGTAGCACGATCTCAGCTCACTGCAACCTCTGCCTCCCAGGTTCAAGCGATTCTTCTGCCTCAGCCTCCCCAGTAGCTGGGACTACAGGTGTCTGCCACCACACCCGGCTAATTTTTGTATTTTTAGAAGAGATGGGGTTTCACCATATTGGCCAGGCTGGTCTCAAACTCCTGACCTTGTGATCTGCCCACCTTGGCCTCCCAAAGTGCTGGGATTATAGGTGTGAGCCACTGCACCCGGCCATTAACAGTATTTCTTTGAATTTATATAATCTCATATAGATAATATATTTCGAATTTATATAATCTCATATAAGCTACACATCTGTGCTCCACTCATCTCTCCAGTACACCTCCAAAATACAACCTTATTTCTTTCAAAATCTTTATTTTATAGGTAATACATATTTATAAAGATTTATAAAGAGGAAGATATTTTCTCTTAGTTACCAAAATTTTGCTACTATGAAATCGGTTTTCATTGGAGTGAATCGTCTACAACTTTCAATAAAGTTTTTTAGAAGTATTTTTAAATTATGTCATGATATATATTTCTGTATGCAATTTTTAGAAAAATATCAGAGAGAGAGAAAGTGTGCCTTTAGAGCAAATCAGGATTTTTTCTACCAAACATAAAAACAGTTATTTCTAGTTTCAGTGAATAGTAAAAATAAATATACCTCATTTCAGGCACTAAAGTTAATTTCCTCCGTATGCTTTTTTCCCTAATTTATTTTTATTTTGGTAAAATACATACAACATAAAACTTACCATCTTAACCATTTTTAAGTGCACAGTTCAGTGATATTAAATACATTCATAATGTACACAACTATCACCACCAACCATCTCCAGAACTGTCTTCATCTTGCAAAGCTGAAACTCTGCACCCATTGAACAGTAACTCCTCATTCGTCCCTCCCCCAATCCCCCGGCAACCACAATTCTAATTGGTCTGTTTCTATGATGTTAACTACTCTAAATACTTCATACAAATAGAATCATACAGTACTTGTCTTTTTGTGGCTGGTGTATTTTACTTAGCATAATGTCATCAGAATTCATCCATGTTGTAGTATCTGTCAGAATTTGCTTCCTTTTTAAGGCTGAATAATATTCCAGTATACATTATACATATATACTGTATTTTGTTTATTCATTCATCTATCAACGGACACTTGGATTTCTTCTACTTTTTAGCTATTGTAAATAGTGCTGCTATAAACATGTGTACAATATCTCTTTGATATACATCTTTCAATTATTTGGGGTATATACCCAGAAGTGGAACTACAGAGTCATATAGTAATTCTACTTTTAATTGTTTTTTTTTTTTTTTGAGACGGAGTGTCACTCTGTCACCCAGGCTGGAGTGCAGTGATGTGATCTCAGCTCACTGCAACCTCTGCCTCCCGGTTTCAAGCGATTCTCCTGCCTCAGCCTTCTGAGTAGGTGGGATTACAGGTGCACACCATCATGCCTGGCTAATTTCTGTATTTTTAGTAGAGACGGAGTTTCATCATGTTAATCAGGCTGGTCTCGAACTCCTGACCTCGTGTTCCGCCCGCCTCTCCTTCCAAAGTGCTGGGATTACAAGCGTGAGCCACTGCGCCCGGCCTCTACTTTGAATTTTTTGGAGAACCGCCACGCTGTTTTCTACATGGTATAGAAATTGTACTGTTTTAAATTCCCACCGACAGGATACATGAATTCCAATTTTTCTTCATCCTTGCCAACACTTGTTATTTTCTGCTTTTTTGATAGCCGCCATCCTAACAGGTGCGAAGTGGTATTTAACTGTAGTTTTGGTTTGCATTTTTCTAAGGATGGTAGCATGTTTTCATGTTTTTTTTTTTTTTTGGCTTCAAAAAATATCTATTAATTTCCATTGCCCATTTTTTTTTTCCCCAGGGATTGACATACAGGAACTTTATTTTTTTAAAGCTTTTTTTCAACTTTTAGGTCCAGGGGTACAAGTGCAGGTTTGTTACATGGGTAAATTGCGTGTTGCCGAGGTTTGGTGTGTTAATGGTCCCGTTGCCCAGGTAGTGAGCATGATGCTTGGTAGGTAGTTTTCAACCCTCACCCCCGCAACCCTCCCCCTCCTGGTGGTCCCCAGTGTCTGTTGTTCCCATCTTTATGTCCATGTGTTCTCAATGTTTACTCCTACTTATAAGTGAGTAAGCAAGTGGTAGGAGTAGTCAGAGGGGTTCTTGTGTTGTGATAAGTGTATATAAATTGAGTGAGCCGCTTATTAGTAGAACTGATAATAGCCACTTATTAGTAGAACTGATAATAGGATAATAGGATGATGGCTAGGGTAACTTCGTATGAAATTGTTTGGGCAACAGCTCATAATACGCTCATTAGCGCATAGTTTGGATTGGATGCTGAGAACATGTGGCATTTGGTTTTCTGTTCCTGAATTCACTTCAGACAGTGGCCTCCAGCTATGTCCATGTTGTCGCAAAGGACGTGATTTTGTTCTTTTCATGGCTGCGTAGTATTTATACATGGTGTATATGTACCACATTTTCTTTATTCAGTCCACTGTGGATGCCTTTGCCCATTTTTAAGTTGGGTTTTTTGACTTTTTGTTGTTGACTTTTAGGTGTTCTGTATGTATTCCAGATATTAATTACTTATTACATATATGACTTGCAAATATTTTCTCCCATTGGATGGGCTGCCTTTTTAAATATGTTGACATTTTCTATTTATGCACAATTTATTTGGTGCGTAAACACCACAATTTATTTGCTGCCAAACGATCACAGATTGTCCACATGAGTGGCTGAGATAGTGACACGTTTGCTTTCTGATGGCTCAATTTACACGAACTTTGATGCATAAAGTGATTAAAAATATTGGGTAAAACTAATGGCTATGTGTATAAGGTATATATGAATCATAATCATAAATAAATTTCAGTTCAAACTTAGGTTATCTCCCCAAGATATCTCATTATGTATATGCAAGTATTCCAACATCTGAAAATAGCTGACATTTGAAATACTTCTGGTCCCAAGCATTTTATCTAAGGGATACTCACCCTGTATTGTTAGTTTTTGTCCTGCAATATTATTCCCTCTGCCTCCTCCTGTCCTTTCCCACTGCCTCTGTTCCTAATCCAGGCCACCCTTGCCCGCTGGCTGTGTCTCTGCTATCAGTCAGGCCTCCCCATCCACCTTTCTTCCTGGCATCAGGAAAGTCTGAGTTCACAGGCTCTATCACATCCAGGCACTCCTTGGACCTTGGCCCTTCAGTGGCATTCCAGAGGAGCAACGACGCCCCGATTCCTCAGACCACATGTGGGGCGATCCTGCAAAGGTCAGCCTATTTTTATCCAGAGGTCGTGGACCTCTTACACGGCTTCTGCTCCAGGGCTGTCTTAGGCTACCGCTTTACGTGTGCTCAGGTTAGCACAGCCTCTTTGTCCAAGCTGATTGAGACTTTCTCTACTACTTGCCTTTACTGTTTCCCTCCTCCTTTTTAGCACCTTGACTTGCTGGGCTCCTATGTAGTCTGAGGCCAATGTTTTGAAATCCAATGCCTCTTCCTGAGGCCTTCTGTCATCAGTATGCCACTGCCTCCTCCACTGAACACTCACAGTACTTTGCTGTTCCCCTTCCTGCCCTTTCCACGGCCTGCCTTACATCAGAGTCATAGCTGTGCAGGTGCCAAGGGTGAGAGTTTTGTCCTGGTGAACTGTGGAGCTAGGATTTAAACCTCAACTTCACCTGCCTCAAAGACTGTGCTCTGAATGAGTATTCAATTATTTCTTTCCCGTGGATATTCGGCCCTCCCCAGTTTCATAGCAATCCCCATGCCTATGTGTTATATTGCCATTGTGTATAAGAGGTTCCCAATAAATACTTCTGGAATGTATCACACTTACACATCTTTATTAAAAAGTTATTTTCTTAAAGGGACTACTCTTGTCACAAAGATACAATAGTCCTTAACTTCTGTGTTTTAATTTTTTATATGTGGCCTGTATTGTCCCACTAAATATAACCATTGTTTGGAATCATTCTGACCAAATGTCCCCTCTCAGTTCTCACGGTTTCCACGGACCCTCTTCTGGTCTTTCTCTCCTCGCATTCGTAGTATTTCTATTTGTGTCACTAATTTTAAATGTAAGTATATACTATTTCATATTATTTCTTAGATGATCTCTTAAGTTTTATGCCTTTCCATAATGCCTATGCCCCAATAATAGTAATTCTGTGCATTTTGTGGAATGAATAAAACAATGAAAGGATGAAAATCCCTTCTTGGCATATTATAAACACGCTTTTAAAAAGACAGTATTTGAATCGTTTGGAATTATTTTTCTTAGTTTTCATACTGCCTACCTAGCTAGGTGATAAGCCAGCATTCTACTCTTGATTCTTCTGTAGATCTTTCATTTATTATCAGATCAACAGATGCTCATCAGTTCAAAAACAGTTTAGGTTAAAAAAGAACTGGGCACTGCTGTTATTTTTAAAAATTATCTTGGGAAGGAAAACTATCATGCTTTAGGCCATAATTTCAAGAGAACAGTTTTTGCGTCCTTGGCATTAGAAGCAGGCAGCCTAAGTGAAATCAAACATTGAGAGATTTGGAAAGAGACCCAGGCTAGGAGATAAGTTTAATAAAGATTTTGTTTTTCCAACTCAGTGTCCTTTTGATTCCTTCCTATTATTCAATTCTGTGTGTGTTTGGCCGAAAATAAACTTTGAGTGACTTTATGATGTTAAAGGAATGCCAAATTATGTAAAAGATCATACTCTTCGTTTTAATTGGGGTTTAAAAAAGGAGTAAGGAGAGGGAGAGTAGTTCTCTAGAAATTAGATTTTAAAATCCAACTCTATTCAAATAATTTCAATACATTTGCCAAGTAGGCAACTCATTAGAGAGAAAAGGTAGAAATTTTGATGAGTTATTCTTTCAGGGAGCAAGAAAGAAGTGTCTTCACCTTCCCAATGTGACACCATGACTGTGTGGAACAGCTACTCATTCAGTCTATCAGAACAAAGAGCCTTCTGCTGATGCCTCCCTTTTCTTCCTCTCTTGCATCTGCAGGTTACCTACCTGGGCAAAGTCTCCACCACTGGCATGCAGTTTTTGTCAGGCTGCACAGAAAAGCCAGTCATTGAGCTCTGGAAGAAGCACACGCTAGCCCGAGAGGATGTCTTTCCGGCCAATGCCCTCCTGGAAATCCGGCCATTCCAAGTTTGGCTCCATCATCTCGACCACAAAGGGGAGGCCACAGTGCACATGGATACCTTCCAGGTGGCCCGCATCGCCTACTGCACCGCCGACCACAACGTGAGCCCCAACATCTTCGCCTGGGTCTACAGGGAGATCAATGATGACCTGTCCTACCAGATGGACTGCCACGCCGTGGAGTGCGAGAGCAAGCTCGAGGCCAAGAAACTGGCCCACGCCATGATGGAGGCCTTCAGGAAGACTTTCCACAGTATGAAGAGCGACGGGCGGATCCACAGCAACAGCTCCTCCGAAGAGGTTTCCCAGGAATTGGAATCCGATGATGGCTGAATGAACTTGAGACGCTTCAGCAAAGGCAGCATTGGTCACGGAGTTCAAGGGAATAGATGAGTAAGCAACGTTTCAAATTTGGGATGAAAAGACTGCCAAACTATTGGCTGACCAAGGTTTTTAAATTCAGAAGAGCAATTCTAAATCTAAAGAAATGTATCATTAAAGTAATTACGTTACATTGAAACCTGCTGCTGCTGTGACTGTGAGGAGGGTGGGAGTGTGGATGGGGAGGAAGGTTCTAGGCTCTCTTATTTTTCTCATTTCCCAATGCCTCTCTGTGGGAGAGCTCCATGCCAGTTTTCACCACGCTCAGGCAAATACTCTGCAGCTGTTATTGGATGGGCCATTCCGATCTGCCTTATGAAATTCCACAAGAATGTTAGGGGCACCTATGGGATCTCTAGTGGGGTGGGCAGGGTGCTGATGGGGACGCTGGCCGCAGGGAGGAAGGAACATCTCGGGAGGGCCCTCTGTTCCTCTCCCACGGCAGATGCCCTCCTCTGTATGCAAATCAGCACAGCCTTTATTGAGCTTTACAACTAACAACCTGATAGTTGGCAGTTAATTCACAGTTACAGATAATGCTTTTATTTACATAAATATACCAAGTAGTACCCTCTTATTGTATTCACTTCATCTATTTTCTTAGAATACTTGCAATTACTAATGACCCCTTCCCTTTCCCTCCTGCTGCCCTGTCCACCCTCTTTCCCCTTCTAACATCCTTAGAGGGATGAAATCTCAGCATATGTTGCAGGACACCAAAAGGAAGAAAACAATCAAGCAAATAAAATAAACAGTCAAACAAACCAGGAGTTTAAAACAACAACCCCAACAACAGAAGCCTTGGCAAAGAGGAATAAGTGATCAGCAAGTGAACACACTCTATGTCAACTCTCCTTTTATCCAGCTGAGATTTATGGTAACTTATTTAATTAATGGTCCTGTCTGATGCATCCTTGATGGCAAGCTTCAAATCTGATTTGGTATCACCGAGGAAACCTTGCCCCCATCACTCAGCATTGCACTTAGATACAGAATGAGTTAGATAAACTTGGCTTGTCTAGAGACCCATGTCATCTTAACCTAAAGGGAAATCTTATTGCGTTATCATAAAATTGATGATATCTTAGGGTCAGAATTGCCCTTTTTTTTTATTTTGAATGGGAAGTTCTCACTAAAACAATCCTGAGATTTCTTAATTTCATGGTTCTTTAAATATTATAAACACAGAGTCAACATAGAATGAAATTGTATTTGTTAAAATACACACATTGGAGGACAAGAGCAGATGACTACTTTTCGAAGTAATGCTGCTCCTTCCTAAAAGTCTGTTTTCAATCCTGGTAATATTAGGGGCACTGCGGCACCTAAGAAGCCTTAAATGAGAGCTAATCCAATCTAGAGAGCGATGGTGTCAGCATTTCGGTCTGCATATCTGTGTGTCCGTATCTGCGTTTGTGTGCGTGTACGTGTGCCCCTGTGTGTGGGCCCAGTTTTCAGGCATGTAGAATAAGCATGGAGTCATATTGAGGAGGACTCACTTCTTGAAGATATGCTTGTTGCTTTACAACATATGTAAGCTATTCTTTAGCATAAATGCATTCATTCTTTAATAAAAATATGTTTGCATTAATAAAGCTGAGGAGTTTCATACTTTGTGTCTGTCCTTTTTCAAGTAATAAAAACATGAAGAACAAATTAGATCAAATAGTTCTATCAAAAAATATATTTAAACTGGGTCATAAATAACCTATTCCTGGATTGCGTTTAAAAATCTTGTTTTATTTTCTAAATGCTCAATTTGTTTTTAATTTTTGCATGCCCCTGAGATGGTGAAGTGGCAATAGTTGAAATAGTTCTATAGTATGGTGGGTTTGTTTCAGTGCGGGGTCTTCCAGAACATGTTGCAAATGATTGCTATTTACAAAAATCTCGTGTATGTCTTTGAAGAACCTAGACTGAAATCCTGGAAGGTAAACACTGAGTGATTTTTTTTCTGATGGGACTGGTTAAAGAATGTCTCCTCCAGGCTATGATATCTCAGAATGGCCCCATTAAACAAGCAAGACAGGTGGCCATGGAGCCTATGTTTTTTGAGCAATGCCCTTCATGGAATCAATAACAAATATAAAGGCTTCCAAAGTAAAAATATAGGTGCCTGTTATAAAGAGATGAATTCAAGTGAGAATTGTAACCTAACTCCTCTGACTGAAATGGCAGTTCTCTCAGGTCAAACTTTTCCCAATTTCAGTTTATCTGTTGTCCTTGAATATACATTTAAAAAGAAGAAACAAAGAAAAAGAAAAAAAAAACAGCCAGCATGTATTTCAACAGTGCCCTTTTCCTCACTGAGTAAAATTAAGTTGAATCCTAAGTGCACATGTGGTTATTTATTGCAGGAAGCATTTGCTAGTTTTTTTTTTCAGACTACCAAGTGTGACATGCTAAGTAATTGTCTCTGATAATATTGGCATAAGTTTTTGCTTGGGATGATTGGTAGCAATTTAAAGATAGACACACAATGATGTTTTCCAATTAGCTGATGAAGTCTTTTGGGATGGCCAATCCTAATTCCTCTCTGAAGGGTGACTCAGCTTTGCATTATTATTTTTTGATGCTTTGTATACCCACTTTCTGTACTGTATTTTCTATGCTAGTGATCACAAAGTACTTTCATGTACATTACTCAGATGCTCCTGAAAAGAACCTCATAGGTGAGCATAGCAGTTATTTCAGAGACGAGGAAACTCATCCTGAGAGAGGTTACATCACTTGGCCATGGTAGCACAGCTAGGGCATGATTGATGAGACTAGAAGCCTCTGACTTCTGGTCCAGGGCTGTGGCTCTGTCAAGACAAGATCTACCTCCTTTGGATTTTTCATTTCTATTCCTCTTAAAACCTTCTAGCTTATTTTAAAGTAGCACACTAAACCATTAAAAATAAGCATTATTTGCTGTTCATTTTTGAAGTATTTTTGACACCAACAGTATTAAAAGCAAAGTCCCAAGAATTTTTTTTGAGCCCAGATAACATAATATGAAGTTTTGCTTAAGTATTTTAATGGCTATAGGCAAAATCGACACATTTTTCTACTTCTACAAAATCAAGATGTCTGTTTTGTTTGTTTTGTTTCTCTGAGGACATGTTAAAATTCTCAATCAAGTCCTTCTGTTACAGGATTCTATGCCCTCTTGTCATTTTCCTTCATGTCGTTCATTGCAGTTTTTAATTACATATTTATTTGTATAATTATGTAAATGTCTGTTTAAACCTCTTCGGTGTCAACGTTTTTGAGATGAGGATTTTATCTCTTTTGTTCATGTTTATTGCCAGCTCCTATGGCAGGACCAGGCACGTGGGAGGAACTCATTTAGTTTCTGTTAGCTGGCTGGCAGGATGGATGGAGGGATAGACAGATGGAAGGAAAATCACCATGTGTTTCATCGATTTGCAAGTTCTAGGACAGAGTCTTGAAACCCTGAAAGGTATCCTAGTGACTTCCTTGCTCAGTTCTCCAAAGGTGAGCAAATGGCTTTTTATTGAAGAAAAACATTGGCCCTTACCTAATTCCAAAAGGAAATTATGGCTGCTTATACATAGAAAAACAATGTTAGATACTCAATGCCACATGATTGAAATGAAATGAACATTATCCCAAGGAAGCAGACAGATGCTGCATTTTAAGACACCTGCATTTAGCAGATTAAAGCACTCCTCTCATGCGTCTGCTCCTGTTCATTTCTGATGCTGAAAGAGAAGAGAGAGAATGTTGGGAGAGGGTGTTTTTACTTCCTGACAGTATAAAGCATATGAATTCAGCTGGGTTTTCCCCAAATTTATACTTTAGAAAACATTGTTTTACTTATGCACTCTCTCCTACTTTTTCTCATTTCTCTTTTTCTTCTTTCATCCTTCCTTCCTCTTTCCTTCTTTCTTTTTTTTTTAATTATACTTTAAGTTTTAGGGTACATGTGCACAATGTGAAGGTTAGTTACATATGTGTACATGTGCCATGTTGGTGTGCTGCACCCATTAACTTGTCATTTATATTAGGTATATCTCCTAATGCTATCCCTCCCCCCTCCCCCCACCCCACAACAGGCCCCGGTGTGTGATGTTCCCCTTCCTGTGTCCAAGTGTTCTCATTGTTCAATTCCCACCTATGAGTGAGAACATGTGGTGTTTGGTTTTCTGTCCTTGCGATAGTTTGCTGAGAATGATGGTTTCCAGCTTCATCCATGTCCCTACAAAGGACATGAACTCATCATTTTTTATGGCTGCATAGTATTCCATGGTGTATATGTGCCACATTTTCTTAATCCAGTCTATCATTGTTGGATATTTGGATTGGTTCCAAGTCTTTGCTATTGTAAATAGTGCCGCAATAAACATACATGTGCATGTGTCTTTATAGCAACATGATTTATATTCCTTTGGGTATATACCCAGTAATGGGATTGCTGGATCAAATGGTATTTCTAGTTCTAGATCCCTGAGGAATCGCCACACTGCCTTCCACAATGGTTGAATTAGTTTACAGTCCCACCAACAGTGTAAAAGTGTTCCTATTTCTCCACATCCTCTCCAGCACCTGTTGTTTCCTGACTTTTTAATGATTGCCATTCTAACTGGTGTGAGATGGTATCTCATTGTGGTTTTGATTTGCATTTCTCTGATGGCCAGTGATGATGAGCATTTTTTCATGTGTCTTTTGGCTGCATAAATGTTTTGTTTTGAGAAGTGTCTGTTCATATCCTTTGCCCACTTTTTGATGGGGTTGTTTCTCTTTTTTTCTGCCTTAGGTGTTTATTTACATGACACTTTTCAGACTTTCTCACATTTTAGAAGGGAAGAGTATATGTGCTCTGAATTCCAGAGAACACATTTTTGGTTCATGATCCATTGACACAAAATTAGACCAGATTGTGGAACACTGCAGATTATCCTAAATTCCCTTTACGGATTTATTTTTTTTTCTTTTCAGTCAGGTAGGACTTGATGACAACTTGCTTCTTCATAGCTTACTTAAGTAATTTCTTAAGTATCTTTCCATCTCCCAGATACACCTTAACCTATAGTGAAGGTAAAGATTCCCATAATTGTCAGAGGTAACTCCCAGATTCTTATTGATCTTCAAGAAATCTTCCTGTGAGATGCCAAGATTTGGCTCTTGGAATAATTTTATGGGATACATTGTCCAGCTTGAGAACTTGTGCTGCTCCTTCTGAAGTGGCATCAACTGATACTAGTCACTAGAAGAAAACTATGTATGATGCTGAAACCCAAGCTCAGAAAGAAAAACATCTGGATGGGTAAAAGTGAATTGCTAAGAAGCAGAAAAATCTGAACCACCTTATTTTGGACATATACTAATAAACCCTTTTTGTTGAATCTAAGACAATTTTATGGCAAAAGTGTTTTTTTTGGAATGTGCTAGTAAATGAATTACCAATAATTACCAATACTTTTATGTCTATACCTTTTGAAAAATACACACACATACAGACACATATATTATATATAATATACACATATGTATACACACACACATATATATATATATATACACACTTTTTTTTATATATACGGTCTCACTCTGTCACCCAAGCTAGAGTGCAGTGGCTTGACCACGGCTCACTCTAGCCTTAAACTCCTGGGCTCAAGCGATCCTCCTACTTCAGCCTTCTGAGTAGCTTGGACTACAGGTGCCTGCCACCGTGCCTAGTTAATTTTTTTAATTTTTTGTAGAGATGGGCTTTCACCATGTTGTCTAGGCCGGCCTCAAACTCCTGAGCTCAAGAAATTTGGCCATCTCAGCCTCCCTGATAATATATTTTTTTAATGAGGATGTATTCATCTCTTTAAGCATTCATATTAAAATTGGGTTATTCAAAAACATTCTGAGGTTTGTGAAATAAAACATGATACTATTTGAGATCTGCTTGATAAAAGGCCTGTCATTACATGGCCTTGGTTGCTATTCTAGACCTTCTTTATTCTCTGGAAGCAAAGCTTAAGAGAAACACTTAAGGAAATACCCACTTTCAAGGAAGAGCCAAGAGTTGGCTGCATCCAAGGTCACTAATTGTTTAAAATTAATTTATTTCAATGGACAAATAAAAATTGTGTATATTTATAGTGTACAAAATTATGTTTTGAAGTATGTATACATTGTGGAATGACTAAGCTAATTAATGTATACATTCTCTCACATACGTGTAATCTCTTCTGGAGACAACACTTAAAATCTACTCTCAGCAATTTTCGGGAAATTAAAAACACAATAAGATATCATCTCACACATGTTGGGATGGCTATCATCAAAGAGTCAAAAGATAACAAGTGCTGGCAAGGATGTGGAGAAAAGAAAACCCTTGCACACTTTTGGTGGGAATGTAAATTAGCACAGCCATTATGAAAAACAGTATGGAAGTTCCTCAAAATATTAAAAGTGGAACTACCATATGATCCAGCAATTCCACTGTTGGATATATATACAAAGGAAAGGAAATCAACGTGTCAAGGAGATATCTGCGCTCCCATGTTTATTGCAACACTAATCACAATAGCCAAGATGTGAGAACAAAGTGTCTACCAAAGGATGAATGGATAAAGAAAAGGGGGTGCATATTCACAGGGGATACCATTCAACCTTAAACAATAAGGAAATGGTGTCATTTGCCACAACATGGATTAACCTAGAGGACAGGAAGTAAAGAAAACCAGACACAGAAAGACAAATACTGCATGATCTCACATATGTGTAGAATCTTAAAATGTCAAACTCACAGAAGCAGAGAGAAAAATTGTGATTACTACGGGCTGGGGATTTGGGAGTTGAGGAGATGTTGGTCAAAAGATACAAAATTTCGGGTAAATAGGAGGAATAAGTTCAAAAGAACATTGTACAACATGCTGACTACAGTTGATAACAATGGATTGTATCCATCCATAGTCTTTTTCTTTTTCTTTTTTTTTTTTTTTGGAGGCAGGGTCTCGATCTGTTGCTCAGGTTGAAGTGTGGTGGCATGATTTTGGTTCATTGCAGCCTCCACCTCCCGGGCTCAAGCATTCCTCCTTCCTCAGCCTCCCAAGAAGCTAGGACTATACATTCACAGAACCACCCCTGGCTAATTTTTGTATGTTTTCAGAAACAGAGTGTCACTCTGTTGCCCAGGCTGATCTTGAACTCCTGGGCTCAAGTGATCTACTCACCTTGGCCTTTCAAAGTGTTGGGATTACAGGCAAGAGCCACAGTGCCAGGCCTCATCTATGGTCATTTTTAAAGTAAATTTGGGATCAACAAAGACTAAAGCTCATTATGGGTCTGAATGGAGTGGTTCTGATTCCAATTTTGCACAGAAAACAAAATCTAACAAATTTCATTATGTTCATAATTAGATTATCTTCACATAGATGGTATTATCAGTATAGAAACATCTTAAATGGGGGGTTTGAGATGGAATTGGACCTTTAATCAGCCTTCTGCCAAATTATCTTTTTGCCTTTCCCATTTTAATTGCAGTAGAGTTTCCTAGAATTTAGTACTGAAAGTAAAACCTTGTTAATTTAGATAAAACTAATTACGAATTTGTGGTTTTAGCCTTGAAAATTTAAATTTTATGCTTATTTTAATAAGCAAATAAATAGGATGAATAACACTGCTATTGGAAGTACTGCCTACTTGGGAAAACACTGCTTTCACATATTAAAATAACAATTTACTAGATATAGTGTAATTTCAGCATAAGTGGAAGTTGGCATGACTGAAATTGTGGCTTTGATGTGCTAGTTTCAAGCCATTCTTCTTTATTTATTAAAATGGGTTCTCAATGGAGCAACAGATGGTTAATGTAATTCTAGGATTTGGAGTCTTGAAAGTAATATAAGCCCTCTTCTTTTAAAATATCCATAATTTATATACATCTTCCCTTTTAGTTTGTATAAATGTTTGGTTCAATTAGCCAAAAAACAAAAACTAAAAATGACTGAAGTATTCTTTTTTCTCATAAAAACAGCTGTTGAAACAGTTGAAATTATTTTTCTGATCACCAACCTGTAATACAGTCTTCGCTTTGCTACTAGTCGCTTTTTTTCTTCTTTTTCTTAAATTATCAACACCAAGCATTATTGTAGATCACCTTAAGAAGCTCAATAACTTATCAAGTCATATAGTAAAACAATTATGACAATTATTTGTAGTGGTCTGGTTTGTATTTAAAGTTCAGTATTTTGTGATTTTTCGGGTCTGCTATTCTGATTGCATTGCTCCACTGCCAATTTACTATATGTTAGCTCCATCCGAATAATGTGTGAGATTCTGAGGATGAATGCATGCAGATTATGCCCTGACCAAAGGGCCACAGTGAACATAGCCAAGTGGCTGTTGGAAACCACCTCAGGCTCCTCTAGCAGAGCCTGTGCCTTGGAAATTGGGGTGAGGTGGCATCAGGCCAGAGGAAGAGGAACCTTTTTGCAACCCATCAGTCAAGAGAAGTGCCTTTGTGTAATTATCTCTCCAGAGGGTGTGCTTTACCTTAGAAATAGCAGGCATGAGTTTGACCCATATATTGGTACTTAGGGTATTTTTTTTCAGGAGTTTTTGGTTAATACTTATATCATTTTTTTCCTAAAAGTGATTACAAGTTGATCTTTTTTCTTCTTCTGTTATTGCCTATCATTAACCCACATGGTCTGTGCTTAAGGAGATGGGAAAAAGGTGGGACTTCACACTTTGAACACATACAACACGCTGGGCCAGGCACTGTATTAAGGTTTATGAGAGTGAGGCATCTCGCCTGAAAGAAGTTAAGACATTTGCCAAAGTTTGTACTGCCAGTCAGAGACAGGATCAGGACTGAAGCTCAGATGCATAACACACCAAAGGCTGGGTACTTCACTAGACACATGCTTCACAAACAAAAGAACTCACAGAGGCAGACCCAAGGACCTCTACGGAGCCATTGATGACTCGAAGGTCATCTTCTGGAGAAAAGCCATCTAATCTCACTGCAGTGGTTGTTGTCTTCCTTCTAACCCTCAGAATCAAAACAATTGAAAACTTTGGTCCATCACATCCTTAATGCTATTGTATGAAAATTGCTGTTTTAAATAACCAAAATCATTGTTTCCTTAGTGATATTTCTTCTCTGCTACTCTTGAGGGAAAGTGTGGCACAACACACACATCAGGCACCTCAGAAAATGAGATAAAATCCATTCTGGGGAAACCCAGGGATGAGCTTTCCAAAGTCCATGCCAGAAAGCCCTGAAACCTGAAGGTAAAACCTGGCGTCACACTCATTTCCCAAGGTGGGATCCTGGGCAGATGTCTCATTGATTTCTTCTGTCTCAGCCCTTCCATTGACCACGCTTTCCCAGCCCTGGAAGTGTCGTGGCAGGGATGGACTGATGCCAAACAACAGAACTCCTGAAGAAGAAAGGAAGGGGCCCAGCATTACCCACAATTTAGTTTCAGCGGAACCAGCTCTGTGCCCTCAGATCTTCTAGATGTGTGACATTTGTCTTTTCTCTGGAAAATGCCTCTTGAGGGCTCTATATCCTTCAAAGTCCATAGTAACAGGGATCTGTCTGGTTTATTCTAATATTTCTGGGCAAGGAATCTGAACACACAGCCTCTAGCCCCACCATTCTTCTCAGCCTCCAGAGATCCTGTTGTTCTAAAACCCGAATTTGATTACCTCAGACTTTCGCTTAAAACCCTTCATGGCAGCCAAGCGCAGTGGCTCACGCCTGTAATCCCAGCACTTTGGGAGGCCGAGGCTGGCGGATCACCTGAGGTCAGGAGTTCAAGACCAGCCTGACCAACGTGGAGAAACCCCATCTCTACTAAAAAGACAAAATTAGCTGCACACAGTGGCGGGCGCCTGTAATCCCAGCTAGGAGAATTGCTTGAACCTGGGAGGTGGAGGTTGCTGTGAGCCAAGATTGCACCATTGCACTCCAGCCTGGGAAACAAGAGTGAAACTCCATCTCAAAAAAAAAAATTATAGTAATAATCCTTCCTGGCCTTCTTCTTGTCTGCAAGAGAAACTAATTAACATTTTACCTCCCTCCCTGCTTGCTTCCCTTCCCTAATTTTATATTTTATTATAATAAATAATTTTTTTGAGATAGGGTCTCACTATGTTGTGCGGGTTGGTCTCGTACTGCTGAGCTCATGTGATCCTCCCACCTTGGCCTTCTGAAGTGCTGGGATTACAGGCGTGAACCACTGCAACCTGCTTATAAAAAAATATGCATGAGCTGCCTCTCACCTGAAATTCCAGGTTCAGGTTGAAACCCTGGGCCTACGTTGCTCTGGGCAAAGAACTTAACAACTTGGGCCTCAGTTTTCTCATCTGTAAAATGGGGAAAATGATGCCTAAATCACAGAGCTGCAATGAGAATTAAAGGAGTGAATATATATGAAGCATTTAGTTTAGGGCTTGCTGCCTTTTGAGTGTTCAGTCAATGCCGCCTGTGTTAGGGTTTTCATTTTCTTCTTTTACTCCTCAATGGACACCTGTCAGATCACCAGAGGAGCACTTTTCAATTTCTCCAAAGGGCTGGACTCACCTTGACATGCCCTGCTCCTAGATCACATAATGAACCCACTTTTGCTTATTCAGCTCTTCCTTCCGGTCACGTGAAGACACGCCCACCACCACCTTCATGTAAAGCTCTCATTCCTAGTCCGAGAGCTCCCAGGGCAATGCTGTCCAATATCTCTATGTTGCCAACCACGTGTGTAATTTCTAGCAGCCTGATTAAAAACGTAAAAAGAAATAGATGAAGTTCATCTCAATAGCAGACTTTAACCCAATATGTTAAAAAAGTTGCCATTCAACACATGATCAATATACAATTTATTTATGTGATATTTTATTCTTGTTGTATTGTGTGAAATTGAGGATATATTTTATACTGTAGAGCACAAATGCTCTGGAGCCACATATGACTAGCGGCTATTGTATTGAGCTGCATAGCCCAAGAGGGTGAGAACCACAGCCTGATCCTCCCTCCTTCACAGAAACCCATCCCGGTGGCTGACACTTAAGAGGGACTCGTAAATGCTTGTTTAGTCAGTAAAGTGTTGAACATGAACAAATCCTGCGAGTATGTAAGTGTATTAGTTTTCTGGCGCTGCTGTACCGAAGTACCATTAAATGTGTGGCTTAAAAAACAGAAATGAATTAGCCAGACGTGGTGGTGCATGCCTGTGGTCCCAGCTGCTTGAGAAACAGGTGGGAAGATCGCTTGAACCGGGAGGCGGAGGTTGCGGTGAGCTGCGATTGTGCCACTGCACTCCAGCCTGGGCAACACAGCAAGACTCTATCTCAAAATATAAATAAATGAAAGATAAGAAAATAAAAATAAAGAACAGAAATGTATTGTCTTCCAGTTCTAAGGACCAGAAGGCTGAGATCAAGGTGCTGGCAAAGTTGATTCTTTCTGAGTCTGTGAGGGAGAACTTGTTCCCTGCCTGTGTCCCAGCTTCCGGCGCATGCTGGCCGCCTTTGATTGCATTTGGCTTCTGCCGCATCACTCCAGTCTCTGGTTTCATCTTCACATCATGTTCTCCTCTGTTTGAGTGTCTGTGTCTGCGTCTGTCTGTCTGTCTCCAAATTTTCCTGTTTTATAAGGACACCAGTCATATTGGGTTAGGATTTGATCTTAACTAATTATATCTGCAATGACACTATTCCCAAATAAGGCCGCATTCTGAGATACTGAGGCTGAGGCTTCATCATATGAATCCCGGTGGCTGGGAACACAATTCACCCCATCACAACAAGGCAGATATTAATGCTGAGTCTTGCTTCAGGTCTCACAGCTTAGAGGGGCACCGCAGGCTTCTCTCCAGGTTGTTTGATTCCCAAATCCCCACTCCTCGACTTTGGGGAGCCCTCAGTGTCTGGGCTTGGTTTCTCCTGGCCAGTCAGGGTTGTGGTTGGGTTATGAAGGACAGAGCAGACCATTTCTCTGAAGCCTATTATTACTTAATTTTCAAAAAGTATTTCGTGAAATAAAATTAGCATGGATCTAAATACACCCACATTACAAGAAGATGAAATTCCCCTGAACTTGCCCTTTGTCGTCTTTCATTTCTCCATCATAGCTGCTTCCTTTTACTGCATTGGTGTCTGCCAACCACTGGCTTGGGTTGTCTGCTGAGGAAAATGAGGTTGTGAGGGGGAAGCAGTTTGAGGATGAAGGAAATAAGACGGTTTCAAGTCGGCAGGATGGCCCCTTTCTCTGTGTAATGACATTAGCCAACTCTTTTGAGGTCAAGTTTCCCAGACGGGGCCAACTCTGGTCTAAGCCAATGCCACAGTCCCTCTCGTGGTGTCCCTTGTTTCCTTTGGGAATTGGTGTTTTTTAGGCATCTCAGCGTGATGATCCAGCTAAAATCTCCACATCACAAAGAGGAGAAGGCTTTGAAAGCCAGAATCTGGGATTTGCCAATAATGCCAGGACTGTGGTGCATTGCTGCGTTTGCAGACCCAGGTCATGTGTTTACGTCTCCCTCTGCAACACACTGAGGAATCCTATTCCTCTGCCTCACTGTGGAGGAGCATCTTTTGCCAGCATTTAAAAAGCTACTTCAATGCCACTTTGTTTAAGATAAGCCCATACCAGCATTCAATTGGCCCGCAACCAAAGAACTTCTGTGCAGCTGGGAGAATTTATTACTAAAAATTATTTTCCAGACCGATTATTTAATTTCTTTTTCTAAAGGTCAAACTTTGTTACATTATGATTAAAGATTCCTCTTTTTAAATTGCCTTTTTTTTTTTTTTTTGCCAAAATGGGCTCCTGTCAGAGGACGTGGAAAACTTTTTATTTCTCCTTTTCTCTGAAAAAATAATGAGTTCTGCAATTCCTTTCAACCTAATAATTTTGGTAGTGCTAAAATTTGTCTCTCTGTTTCTAGGCAAATCCAACTGACACCGTAATATATCGAGTATCCAATGGAGACTATTTCAGGAGTTATTTAAGCATTTAGGACATGGGATTTGGAGTAATATGTTCCAGGCTTTCTTTATAAACTCAGAATATACTAGAAAAAGAAATCAAGAAAATACTTCTGTAGGTCCCCCTGTTCTTGGAGAGAAAATTAGACACAAGATGGTGAATAACAAGTCATTTCATTCAGGCTCAACACTATGTACTAGCTGGTCCATTAGGCTCCCGCATGGGTAGGGGCTGGGGATGAGGATTAAAGAGAGAAGAGAGTTTCGAGGGAATCAAAATAATAAGAGCTAATAGTTTTGAGCATATATACAAGGTAGTGACACCCTAAATACATCATCTCATTTAAGATGACAGAACCTTATGACAGTAGGAATTATCATTCACTCATTATGGGTAAAGGGTTGATGTTGCAAAAGCCTTAGGAAGTTGATGGAAGCCCACCATGACTCAGAAACAGAGCTAAGTCTGAGCTCAGGGCACTTGATCCGAAAGCATGTGATGTGCTTACATGTCCCACAGACATCCCAGAGCTGCTCCCACCCTGATTAGCTTTTTTCACATGGCATTTTGGACTTCTAGGTTGGGCCTCAAACTTTTCCAGCAGATTGAGGTTCAGCTCGAATTTAGAGGACATAGTGCCTCCTCCCTGGCCAGCTGTTGGTGAGCCAGCCACAAAGAATGTTTCACCCCCAGCGCTTGTGCTGCAAGATATACCCCAGGGTGGCTCATTCCCATCAGAGCCCCTTCCCAGGAAGTCAAAATGTGAAATTTCCCATGGACCATTCCAACGATTCTTTCTGATGCCTTCCTGGGCACCCAGTGTCGAATCAGAAAATACATTTCAGTCCTTCTTTTCCTCTGTGCACGTCACAATCTAAATGCTGAGCCTAAGTCATGTAAGATTTGAATGAGATAAAAAGAGAAGTGAGCATTTATTGAGTACTTACCATGTATCACACTTTCAGCTTTTTACTGTCATTCCCTAATTTTATACTTCACAAAAACCATATACAGAGAGAACTATCGTTATCCTTATTTTATAGTTGGAGACAATTAAGTGTAGAGATGTTAATTCTTTTGCTAAATGTCACCACCCTATTGAGGCTGGCTGAATCCTTAGTTTGACATCTTTTCCAGCCTTTCAGGTGAGTGAAGGCCCTTGGCTGGTGGCTGGCGCAAGGCACGCTTAGCTCAGGTAAGTCATAAAAATGTTTCTGCAGTCTCTCTTCTAAGCCACTGTTGTCAGGCCAGCACCTTTCTTATTGGTAAAATAAGTTACAGTTGGGAGCCCGCTTCAAGGATTTCTTTCCTCCAATAAGGAAGAGAAGAACTAACAAGTCAGGTTATGACTGGGCATTTTAACGTATTATTTATTTAAACAGCAGGTGTTATTAAAACATTTTTCAGATATCAATATTGAGACCCAGAGAGATTGACTTCTCCTATTTTACACAAAGCTAGACTGAGACTCAAGACACTCCTCCCAATTCTTTGCATGGGGGGCACCTTCTATGATAAAACAAGAGATGATCTCTAAATTACTGGGAGTGTGAGTGTCTTAGACACATTATTCTTTTTATTTTTTCCTAACATGTTAATTTCTTATCCAGCGACTTTAAGACTGGAAATACAGAAGCCATCATGAATCAATAACTCCAGGGTTACAGAGATAACATACACCCTGTCTAGGGACACTCTTCAAATAATTGGAACATATAAAAACAAAATAAAGTACTGAAACGATACTGAGCATAGTCAAATGAGACAATTGGATCTTTGATGGTTTCCCGAGCCCTTTCATTATTACAAATGTGTTATTTCATGCACTACCATTTAATCAAATGTACCATTGACTTTAATAAATGGTATAACACTAATTTTCAGAACATCAGTAAAAATGTAGGTCATTGTATTATAATTATTGTTCAGATTTTAAAACTCAGGACCCATTACGTCTGTTTAATATCAGTATTTTTGTGAAAATCATCCTGAGAGTGCACTTATGTTCTTTTGTATTATCTTTGCTTTATTATTTTATCTTTGGTTTCCCAACTTTGAAAGAAGATGTTACAATTTACAATCAGATTGTTATTCCAGGGGGAGATATAACAATTCTGGTTTTATTTTTTGGCATTCTCTCCTGTAACTTCATTTCATCATCTAAGAAAACACATTTATAACAGAGAGAAAAGGAAGTGTTAGTCCTAATATATCTCATGTTGACAGTGACCTTCTCATGCTGTTGTGATTAGGGAATGATTGTTGCTTCCAAAGTTCTCCTCATTTGCTAATGAATATGGAATGCTTTTCATATGTATATATAATAAATATATGAAAATTATATATGAACATTGTATATATGCAAATTATGCATAAAAGCTTCATTTAAAACTTCTGTTGCTCTCTGATTTTTGAAAAAAAATAGAAACACAATATTGGTTTCCCTGGTGAAAATTCTTTCCAGAAGACACAATATGGTATGAGATATTCACTAACAGCAGGCAATATACAAAGCCATTTCTACTGGAAAATATACCATCTGGAAAAAAACAATTTGTGGAAATGCATGTCAGTATGATTATGTTATCTTAGGTTAATGATGATAGTAATTGCGTCAACAAAGTAGTTTTTTAGTAGAAAATGGAAGAACATTTGGAAAGAGTCATTATGAATAGGATTTGGTTATATTTTCTGGCTATGACTTCATACATTTCAAAGCAAGAGGAACTGAACCAAGACCATGTGCCTGTTTCCATGTGCTGGATAAAATGCTGGAAGAGGGATAGGGGGAGTCTTGAGGTTTAATAAGACTGAAAAAACTCTGTTTCTTAGAGTTATCCTTAAGTAAACCTGTGATGAGCTTGACTCAATGTCCATGTCATTCTCTGTGCTTCAGTGTCCTGGTCACCTCCTAGTTCCTCATATACTCACACCAATGGCCTTCACACATGTTGTCCCCTCTGCCTGGAGCAGTTCCAACTTCCTGGCCCCAGTTCCCCAGTCTTAAACCCAACCCCTACGACATAAGCAATACTGCTTTAGCCTCTAGAGGAGGGATCAAAAAGCCCTCACTATACACTACTAGCATGTTGCTGTGAGCATTTTCTATGCACTTATCACAGTTATAATTGTGTTCTTATTGGCATGACTTTTTGAATAATGGTTGTCCATTCCCTGCTAGATTTTAAGTTCCCTAAGTGTCTAACTCAATGCCTGCCACTTAGAAGGGACCCATAAATATGTTCTGAAAGAATCAATGACTTGGCTTTATAGTAGTGATGACTGTGGCCACAGACCACCATCCTGAAGTTCACCACTAGTTTTACTAAGCAGCAGTGAGTGGTTCAGCTGGTGGTTGGCATGCTTTGCTGGCTGCCTTCAAGCATGGCTGGGGACTGAGGAATAGCAATTTCATCTGTTTGAAACTATCTGGGCTGTGTGGAGATCAAAGTAGGTGGGGGGGAATTAGAGCAACTGATTCCTTAATCAACCCAATCAGAAGGACTTCAAAGAAACTTCTGTATTGGAAAGATTGGGCAAGAGTTCCAAGGAAGATGAAGGTCTGGATGTAGGAAATGTTAAATCTTCTATTCTGACTTTATGAAGCTCTGTTTCTATCATATTGCAAATGTTTCCAGTTCAGTTCTAGGCATGTGCCCAAAGAGAACAGTAATGACTAGAATTATAAATTGAAAGAACTGGGAAAAGCCTTAGAAAATTGTTTAATGCTTTTTTCCCCAAGATGGAGACCTGGAGCAGGGCAGTGACTTGCCCACAGTCACCGAGTGCTGGATTCCAGACCTGACCCTGTCCACACACCAGTATCAGGTCTGGAATCCAGCCCTCTTTCTATCAAGGTACTTGCCTGCTTTTCCTACAGCAAGTCTGCTGCTTATATACCTGGAGCCCCTCACTCATATGCCTTGCTACCTAGGAGCAGGTGACCTGGGAAAACCACTTAACCTTCAGGGACCTCAGGCTTTTATTTCCCAGATGTGAAAGAACAGGGCTGTGCTAGATAATGTCTAAAAATCCCTTTGAATTGTAGATTTTTTGTTATTATCAACAAACCCTCTGCTCTTCTCATACTGCACGATGCCTTGGACATCATATCTAAACCCACTCAGTGTGATATGAAAGTTCAGCATTAATAATCAGTAGCGTAAATATAGCACTTACTATACGCTAGACACGCATAGAGCAACTAATTTAATCCTCACAGTGACCTTATGGGAAAGACTAGTATTTATTCCCATTTCACAGATGGGAAAACTGACCTATAGAAAACTTAAAAGTCATACACAAGGTCTCACAGATCCTACGCAGTAGGGCTCAGACTTGAATACATGCATTCTGTCTCCAGAGTCCATACAGACTTAATTTACAGACAACTGTCTGTGCAAAGTGGACTTTGCCTTTTATATTTTTGTTTATATACTACTCATTTTCCAAAAGGATTAGGAGTAATTTACTGATGTACACACTATACCACATACACAACTTATGAATAAATAAGGGGGAAGGAAAGTCGATGGATGGGGTCAATATCAAAAGTCTTTGGAACACTTTCCTAGATGTGGTTCTTGGTGTCCTAGTAGTGAATGTAAAGAAAGGAAAAAAAAAGAAAGAAAGAATACCACCTGGAAACTTTCATCTATGTGAGACAGGAATTGGAAAAAATTTTTGAAGAATCTCCACATATTATTCTGATAACAAGCAAAATAGTGGAATGAAGTCCATTATATTAAAAAACAAAATGAAACAGAACAAAACAAAAGCCATTTGGTCAAGAGAGACATTCCCTAAACCCTTAAAAATGGAGCTCAATTTTATTTTCATCCTTAAAATATTGTTTCAGGAATTTCAGAAAAAAGGTATTGTCTTCTACCCACTTTCATTTTCTTTTATCTTTTTTTCTCCTATATTTTTCTTTTTCGTCACATGAATTCAGGCAAACTAGGGAAACCTAGCCAATTATGAGATCAGTCTTCTTTTGTCCTCTGAATTTCTGAAGCTCCAGAGTCCACTGTGACTCTCTGGACAAGACTGGTACCCACAATGTGAGAGCCCTATCCATAGCTTCAGACAGACCTAGGCACCTTCACATCCTCCTCCAAGATCTGGGCATCAATTCTGGTTCTTACATCACCCCCATGCCCACCCCTCTTTATCCCTAAGGACAGAATATACCACAAGCCCTTTTTCAAACCTGCAGCCTAACAGCCCTCGTGGTCAAGAAGATGGTTTTTACTGTGCAGTCATCTACTAAGAGCTCATCTTCATGTAGTCTTTTCCAGCCTCTGGCTACAGCACCCTCCCCCACATTTGCTACAGCTATTCATGTGTTCATTCATGCATTTTTCACTACTTCATTAATTCATCAAATATCTGGAGACTCACTTCTTTATCCAACTCTGTGACAGGCACTCTATCATGAGTAAGAAGTTACTCTTCATTTCTTCATGGGGGAACGTAATAAAGGGTCAAGTTAATCAAATAATCTTACAAAAACGTGTAAAAAATTTTTGATGAGTGCTAGAACGGAAATAGCCGAGTTTCCAGAGACACTCTAGACTCTTCATACCATTCCTTTCAACAGATTTTACATTCGTCTCTGTCTTTCCAAGCTTCATTTGTGAATTTTCACTTTCCATAAACCCTTCACAATGATTTAGAATGTTCACACATCTTTAAATCAACTGATTATCTTCCCATATCCTCAGATCTATGTGGCCCACCCTTTGGGTATCCAGTATCTTGTCTCCCATCCAAATATAACTCTGGTAGCCTGAACCCAACAAAATGACTATAACAGTGGTTCTCAAAGTGTGGTACCTAGATCAGCAGCAGCATCACCATTTGGCAAGTTGTTAGAAACACAGATTTCTGGGCCTCTCCTTAAACCTACTGACTCGGAAAATGTGGAGATGGGGCAGACCAATCTGTGCTATAAGAAGGTGATTTTGACAAATGCTAAAATTTGAATGCTTCATATAGCACAGGAGCTCTAGCATATAGAATACTCAAGATGAATTAGTCTTGAGACGTAGTGTCATATTGACTTCATTAATTCTGAATGAACTACCATGTAAATGACAATCCCTAGTGGTTTAGCATGACCAGAGTTGTTTTTTTTTTTTTTTGGATGCTCAATTGAAGATCTTATTCTACATAATGGATTTACATGTTTCAAGAGTAAAGGTTTGTTTTAAATAATACTTTTTCCTACGTCATCCTTACAACCCCATTCCTACACCCCTCCTGGGTAATGTTTAGCTCATTTGGAAAGAAAACCAATGTCACATCGAATCAAGGCATTTAAATACAAATAAAATTTCATTTCTTAGGAGTATATACAATTTTAAAAAGAATAGGAAAAGATACAAGCTTACAAGATAGGAAAATTATAAACAATCATATAAATCATAAACAATCATAGAAAACAAACACCTATTCTCTGGCTGGGGTCAGCTTCTGAGCTCTGTGTGGCTGACTGAGGCTGATGATGTCCATAGGACATCAGTACTCAAAAATGAAACTATCTGATCTGACAGATTTCCAGCTCCTCCTCATGATGGTCAGATAACAGGCCCTGAGAAATGAACAGTCTTTCTGACATTTTCCAGGAAACCGAAATCTTGGTTTCAATTAGGAGGACCAAACCTCAACTATATTGGGATGGCTAATGGCTGAGCCAATCTTTTAATGTTTCCTTGTTTTCATTTGCAAATTAATAAAATGCAGTCGTAAAAATGAGAAAATGATGGGCACTCACTTCAGAGAAATGAAAAATGTCAAGTTGTGTTTGTTCCCATGGGGTGGTTTTTATGGTTAGGGAGATGGGGATATGGCAAAGCTAGCTAACTCAGTTGTCCAACCTGGCAGGCCTTCTAAATTTTGTCTTCTTTTACTTATTTTTTTTTATATGCATTTTTAATTTTATTATCCAATATAAAGGTCTATTTTAACATGAAAGCATAGCTATTTAAATTCATGTGTATAAGAAAACTGTTGCGTCTTAGTTCTGTCATTAAGTTTTATGTTGTATCATTATTTATTTATTTTATTTACTATTTATAGGAACTGTATACAGGAGATAATGAGGCTTAAGCTTTAGGGCCCTTCCTTGCACATGGCCATTGGGCAGGCCTAACAATGTGTTCACTGTGTCATGAGTTTTTGTAAACTTTGCAAAACCATGAAATTTCTGTGTTCCTTTAAATTCAACTGACCGCCTAAAATTGCACAGGCTTAAGCTTCACAAACCCTGGCTCTCCTGTTCCCCACCTGCGTAAATACTGTATAGAACTCAGAAGGTAGATAAAGACATAGGTAGATAGACACACTATTTCCAATCTCTCATTATTATGAAAAATGCTGTGATGACTTTGTATATTATTTTGATAGGGATGCCATAACAAAGAACTACAAATTGGGTGGCTCACACAACAGGAATTCATTTACAATTCTGGGGGCTAGATGTCCTAAATCAAGATGCTGGAAGGGTTTTTTTGGGGGGGGGCGTTGGCGGGTTGTGAAGGTGAATCCATGCCTTCCTCCTAGCTTCTGCTGGTTTGCTGGCAATCCGTGTTGTTTTTTGACTTGTGGCAACATTACTCCAGTCCTTCCATGGCATTCCCCCTCTGTGTGTGTCTCTTTCCAAATTTCTTCTTTATATAATAAGGACACAGGTCTTATTGGATTGGGGGCTCCTTCTATTTCAATATGACTTCATCTTAACTAATTAAATCTGCAACAACCCTATTCCACATAAGGACACATTCTGAAGTACCAGGGGTTAAGACTTAAACATACATTTGGGGAAGACATGGTGTAACCCGTCTCACTAAATGGGCTGGATACTTTCCATTTTTCCC